>NC_000014.9:102035714-102338714 GCF_000001405.40 Homo sapiens
TCCCACGAGGCCACAACTCCCACACTGACACATGTGTCTGTAAATGCTTAGACCTTCTCTGTAAAGACAGGCGAAAAACTGGTAAAAGCCATCACCTGGGCAAGGGACTTTGGTGACCAAAGAATAGGGTCAGAAAGGCAGGGCAGCATGGTTCTTCTCACCATATGCCCTTTTATAGTTGAGTTTTGTAAAAGCTTGTGTGTATATTACCAGTTGGGTTTTTTTTTAACGTTTTAACTGGCTAGACCGTAGGTAGATCACATTAGCTTATTTGTGTCCTTTCCTCATTTGTAGAATGGTTCGATAACAGTGTCAGCCTCATAGGGCTGTTATGAGGATTACGTGACGTAGTGTCTGTAATTTGACACGGTCCTTGGCAATTAAAATTCTGTATAATGTTAATCCCTTGCTGCTGCGACATCATTGATGTTGATACGTGCTGTCTAGAAGGATCGTAAACATGAAAAAGCTATTCTAACAGTGCAGGATGCTGAGAGGATGATTGTCCCAGAAGGAAAAAGATTTTTAACTATGGCCCTCTTGGTGTATGACTCAAGCTACCTCCTCATGCCAATAGTTGTTCAAAAGGATGAGGTGATGTTAGCATTAAGCATGTAAGCTTTATTGGTAAACCTGAAAACGTCTCCGGAAACCACTCTCGGGTGGTGGTAACAGCCTATCAATCAGGGTCTCTCATCAGGGACTCGGCTAACCGTGATCCTGTGCTTTCCCCATTCGGTGTTTCAACCTTCTCTTCTGTGGCCTCATCCTCAGGTATCCGCTGATCATTGACCCCTCTGGACAGGCCACAGAATTCATTATGAATGAATATAAGGATCGTAAGATCACACGGACCAGCTTCCTGGATGACGCCTTCAGAAAGAACTTAGAGAGTGCACTGAGATTCGGTAACCCCCTTCTGGTCCAGGTTGGTGTTGGCCTTTGAATTCTTGAAACACTGCATTCAAGAGTGAATTCCTTTTTGGGGGCTGCCTTTAGTTTTCAACTTTGTAAGACTTCATTTTGTATCAGAAGGATAAAGCTTTGCGGTGGTTCTGTAATAGATAAATTCAACAGAATCATTATTTGCATTTAAAATTCTATTCAGTGGTCGGGCGAGGTGGCTCACACCTGTAATCTCAGCACTTTGGGAGGCCGAGGCGGGTGGATCATCTAAGGTCAGGAATTCAAGAAAAGCCTGGCTAAACCCCATCTCTACAAAAAATACAAAAATTAGCTGGTTGAGGTGGCTGGCACCTGTAGTCCCAGCTACTCGGGAGGCTGAGGCAGGAGAATCACTTGAACCCGGGAGGCGGAGGTTGCAGTGAGCCGAGATCATGCCACTGCACTCCAGCCTGGGAGACAGAAAGAGACTGTATCTTAAAAAAAAAAAAAATTATATTCAGTACAGCCATAAAAAGCAAGAAACAGCCAGGCGTGGTGGCTTATGCCTGTAATCCCAGCACTTTGGGAGGCCAAGGCAGGCAGATCACAAGGTCAGGAGATCAAGACCACCCTGGCCAACATGGTGAAAGCCCGTCTCTATTTAAAATACAAAAATTAGCCGGGTGTGGCGATGCACACCTGTAGTCCCAGCTACTCGGGAGGCTGAGGCAGGAAAATTGCTTGAACCTGGGAGGCGGAGGCTGTAGTGAACCGAGTTTGTGCCACTGCACTCCAGCCTGGGTGACAGAGCGAGACTCCATCTCAAAAAAAAAAAAAAAAAAGAACAAGAAAAATGTTCAAGAAACAAGAACAAGGAACATGTTCCTTTGCAGGAACATGGATGGAGCTGGAGGCCATTATCCTCAGCAAACTCATGCAGGAGCAGAAAACCAAGTACCAGATGTTCTCACTTAGAAGTGGGAGCTAAATGATGAGAACACATGGACACACAGAGGAACAACACACACTGGGACCTTTCAGAGCATGGAGGTTTAGGCTTATAACCAGGGTGATGAAATAATTTGTACAGTAAACCCCATGACAAGTTTACCTATGTAACAAACCTGCACTTGTATTTCTGAACTTAAAAGTTAAAAATGTGTTTTTAAATAAAGCATGTAAGGTCACTAGGAAGCATCAGATTTGCAACGAGATGAATTCATTATGCAAATGGAAAAAAATTTTTAAGAAATGAAATAAAATGCCATTCCAAGGGTCTGTGTCAGCACTGTCCCCAGAACTTTCTGCAGGGGCAGGAATGCCTTATGGTCCACACTGTCCAGTGTGGTAGCCACTAGCCTTGGGGGCTACTGAGCACTTCCCATGGCTAGTGTGACTAGGAACTGAGTTTTAATTTTTTATTTTATGTTTTTTTGAGACAGAGTGTTGCTCTGTCCCCCAGTCTGAACCTCCCAGGTTCAAGCAATTCTGTCTCAGCCTCCCAGGTAGCTGGGACTACAGGCATGTGCCATACACCCCCAGCTAACTTTCGTATTTTTAGTAGAGATGGAGTTTCACCATGTTGGCCAGTCTGGTCTCGAACTCCTGACCTCAAGTGATCTGCCTGCCTCAGCCTCCCAAAGTGCTGGAATTACAGGCGTGAGCCACCGCATCTGGCTGAGTTTTTAATTTTAGTTCATTTAAATGTAAGTAGCCACACATAGCTAGTGGCCACCACACGCAAGTGGCGGGTGGCTTTTGGGAAGGTATGCTTATCCAGAGTAGGACAGCAACATAGCATTTGGGTGAAGATAAAGTTACAAAGCCCTGACCATCAAGTTCCACCCGTGTGGAATGCAGGATGTGGAAAGCTACGATCCAGTTTTGAACCCGGTGCTGAACCGTGAAGTGCGGCGAACAGGGGGGAGAGTGCTGATCACTCTCGGGGACCAGGACATAGACCTGTCGCCATCGTTTGTCATCTTCCTGTCCACCCGGGATCCAACTGTAAGGAATGGGACCCTTCCCCAGGGAAATCTGGCAGGATGTGGTTTTGAAACTGGATTAAGACAGACTGTTCTGTTACCTATTTTGGCAGGTCGAGTTCCCACCAGATCTCTGTTCCCGGGTTACTTTTGTAAACTTCACAGTTACCCGTAGCAGTTTACAAAGCCAGTGTCTAAATGAAGTACTTAAAGCAGAAAGACCTGATGTGGACGAGAAACGATCTGATCTTCTTAAACTTCAAGGTAGGATCTGGACCTGTGGCTTTTAGATGGTTGGTGCAGGGGAAGGGGCTGAACTTTTAAGTGACTAGGATGTTCCACGTTTGTGGCAAACACTTCTGAGAGCATACCTTTTGAAGGATTATTGCAAACTCTGGATGTTTTATTCATTTAAGGGGAATTTCAGCTCCGTTTGCGTCAGCTGGAAAAATCTCTACTACAAGCTCTGAACGAGGTGAAAGGGCGCATTTTGGATGACGACACGATCATAACCACTCTGGAGAACCTGAAGAGAGAGGCTGCAGAGGTCACCAGGAAAGTTGAGGAGACGGACATTGTCATGCAGGAGGTGGAGACCGTGTCCCAGCAGTACCTCCCGCTCTCCACCGCCTGCAGCAGCATCTACTTCACCATGGAGTCCCTCAAGCAGGTGGGTGCCTTGGCCATGCAGAGACTGGCGGGCCCCGCACAGTAGCTCCTTGGCCGCACAGAGGCTGGCGGGCCCTGCACAGTAGCTCCTTGGCCACGCAGAAGTTCAGCGGGGTGCCGAGGGAGCTGCCTCACCGCTGCCCACTGCTTCCTTTCAGATACACTTCTTGTACCAGTACTCCCTCCAGTTTTTCCTGGACATTTATCACAACGTCCTATACGAGAACCCGAACCTGAAGGGTGTCACCGACCACACACAGCGCCTGTCCATTATAACAAAGGACCTCTTCCAGGTAGAGTGAGGTCCTCAGCCGCTCCCTGGCGGGGGGGAAGCAGGGTGCTGCTTCTCTTATGGAACAACATCGTCTCCTGCTCTTGTCCCAGGTGGCGTTTAACCGAGTGGCTCGAGGCATGCTGCATCAGGACCACATTACCTTTGCCATGCTGCTGGCAAGAATCAAACTGAAGGGCACCGTGGGGTAAGAGCACTCACGCCCACAGGAGGATGCCATATTGCTGGTGGCCCCCAAGGGTTTCATGATCAGATACATGCTTTTATTATTTCTTTTATTTTCTCTTTTATTTTCTTTATTTTATTTTTTGAGACGGAGTCTCCCTTTGTTGCCTAGGCTGGAGTGCCGTGGTGTAATCTCACCTCACTGCAACCTCCACCTCCCAGGTTCAAGCAATTCTCCTGCTTCAGTCTCCGAAGTAGCTAGGACTATAGGCGCAGGCCACCACATCTGGCTAATTTTTTTTGTATTTTTAGTAGAGACGGGTTTTCTTCATGTTGGCAGCCCAGCCTGGTCTCAAACTCCTGACCTCAAGTGATCCGCCCACCTCGGCCTCCCAGAGTGCTGAGATTATAGGCCTGAGCCACTGTGCCCGGCCTGTTTTCTCTTTTCTTAAATCACAGCTGTTATCTTAGTGACAGTGGGAGTGAACGTGAGAGACCCTAGCTAACCTGTTGCACCCTTCGCAGGGAGCCCACCTACGATGCAGAATTCCAGCACTTCTTGAGAGGAAATGAGATTGTCCTGAGTGCTGGCTCCACCCCCAGGATCCAGGGCCTGACTGTGGAGCAGGCGGAGGCGGTGGTGAGGCTGAGCTGCCTTCCCGCGTTTAAGGACTTGATTGCAAAGGTTCAGGCAGACGAGGTGATTGTTCTCTTGAATGTTCCCAGTAGGTAAATGTTGGCCTTTTCCCAGGAAATGTAAGGAATTGCATGTGGTATAAAACCCAGAATGTTGTGTCTGCGCTCTCGCGTCAGACTCTCGCTCAGTCGTGGGTTCTGCCCCAGAGGCCAGCCCTGCTCCATGGGTGCTTCCACTATTGTCTCCACAGCAATTTGGCATCTGGCTGGACAGCAGCTCCCCGGAGCAGACTGTGCCCTACCTCTGGAGTGAAGAAACACCTGCAAGTAAGCCCCACTGTGGTTTTCTTTCTGGACCTGAATGTAAAGTTGGGTTTTGCTGCTTAAAGGGATGCTTTCAAAAAACACAAAGTTACTAGCCTGGGCAACATAGTAAGGCCCCATCTCTACAAAAAATAAAACCTTAGCCAGGCGTGGCGGTGCACACCTGTAGTCCCATCTACTCGGGAGGCTAAAGCAGGAAGGTCACTTGAGCCTGGGAGGTCGAGGTTGTGTGAGCTGTGATTGCACCACTGCACTCCAGCCTGGGCAGCAGACAGAGGCCTGTCTGTGAATGAATGGTCACTGATTCCCAAGATAAGTATTTCAATGTTAAAACTTTTTAAGGAAACCACTTAGGGAGATCGCTTCTAGGTAGGTGTTGGCTTAGAAGTAAATCAGAAATTTCCAATTCCTATTCATCTCATGCTTAAAGACCACAAGAGAACTAGATGGGGAACTCCTGCCTAATGCTAAGGAGTTAACTGGCTGTATTCATGCTGCAGACAGGAATGGAATGCCATCAGCCGTTTTTGAGTGTGTTAGGCCAGACCCTGGGCTAGCCAGGCTGAGAGGAAGTGTCAGACTGTGGAGGGCAGAGCGTGGAGCCCCCTTCCTGAGTACCTTCAGGTGTTCTCAGGAAGTGAGCAGGTATTAGTTTAGTAATCTAAAAATCAGCAAATGGCACCTTTGTCCTATGGATACATCCAGGTAGTAAGGTGTTCTCACAGGCGTGTCCAGAGGGCTCACGGAAGGCACAGCAGATGTGGCTGAATTTCCTGATTTGAGCTGATCCTGAAATGCTGAGCATTTGCTGAGTGGGTACTTTGGGAAGAACAGTCCAGGCAGGGGAGGGCGTCTCTGAGTCCATGCTTCCACCCAGCACCCACCCCTCTGTACCTGTTTCAGCACCCATTGGCCAGGCCATCCACCGCCTGCTCCTGATCCAGGCTTTCCGGCCCGATCGCCTGTTGGCCATGGCCCACATGTTTGTTTCAACAAACCTTGGGGAGTCTTTCATGTCCATCATGGAGCAGCCGCTCGACCTGACCCACATTGTGGGCACAGAGGTAATGTCCTGGTACAGCCCGGGCTTCCCACGAGACTCCATGCCCACCTCCCCAGCCACAGGTGGCAGCAGCCCTGGCATCTGCTCTCACTCCGGGCTACAGTCTCCTCCTAAGACCAGGAACTCGCTGCAGATTCTCAACTCCTGGCTGCATGGTGCCCACACCTCTGGGCCCAGAAAGAACATCTTCTCAGGCCCCTCACTCGGGGCTCTCCTTTCCCTTGACAGGTACACACTATTTGCTGGCACTGTAATAACTTCTGCCTTCTTTGTTTGCAGGTGAAGCCCAACACTCCTGTCTTAATGTGCTCTGTGCCTGGTTATGATGCCAGTGGACATGTCGAGGACCTTGCAGCCGAGCAGAACACGCAGATCACTTCAATTGCAATCGGTAAGGATGCTTGAGGGGCTTCATGGGCTGGAGCCCTGCAGGATTTGTGGTGGGCATTGATGTCCGAGGCTGCCGCTGCTAACACTAAGTTTCCCTGCACCAGGCTCTGCAGAAGGCTTTAACCAAGCAGATAAGGCAATAAACACCGCTGTAAAGTCGGGCAGGTAGGCCTGTTCTCTTTGGCTGAAGAAAGCCTTAGTCCCCAGGCATTCAGGCAGGCAGCCTGGCATGCTGTGTGACTCTCACTTTGTGTGTGCAGGTGGGTGATGCTGAAGAATGTGCATCTGGCCCCAGGGTGGCTGATGCAGCTGGAGAAGAAGTTGCATTCCCTGCAGCCGCATGCCTGCTTCCGACTCTTCCTCACCATGGAGATCAACCCCAAGGTGGGTGGTTGAAGGAGTGGAGACGTTGCAGGCTGGCCTGGCACTGTGCTGTCGGCACGTGTGTGGTGGAATTGAACAGGCGCCCTCATCCACACCCGAGCATAACTGGAACGGCGCTCTCCCTTAGGTGCCTGTGAATCTGCTCCGTGCGGGCCGCATCTTTGTGTTCGAGCCACCGCCAGGGGTGAAGGCCAACATGCTGAGGACGTTCAGCAGCATTCCCGTCTCACGGATATGCAAGGTAAGTACCTTGTCCTCCTGGTATGCTTTCCCCATAGAAGCTAAAGCCCAGTCCCATCACCAAATGCAGAAGTGGGTCCCTGGGCCCCCGGAAGTGCCGTGTGGTGAACTGCACAGCTGCTTTTGCTTTTCAGCTGTAGGTAAAATTTCCTTCCATGGCCGGGCACCGTGGCTCACACTGGTAATCCTAGCACTTTGGAAGGTCGAGGTGGGAGGATCACTTGAGCCCAGGAGTTCAAGACTGTCTGGGCAGGCCAGGAGTGGTGGCTCACGCCTGTAATCCCTGCACTTTGGGAGGCTGAGGTGGGCAGATCACTTGAGGTCAGGAGTTCAAGACCAGCATGGCCAACATGGTGAAACTCCGTCTCTACTAAAAATATAAAAAATTAGCCAGGCGTGGTGGCGTGCGCCTATAATCCCAGCTACTGGGGAGGCTGAGGCAGGAGAATCGCTTGAACCCAGGAGGCAGAGGTTGGCAGTGAGCTGAGATCACATCACTGCACTCCAGCCTGGGCGAAAGAGCAAGACCCCGTCTCAAAAAAAAAAAAAAAAAGACCTGTCTGGACAACATAGTGAGATCCTGTCTCTATATAAAATTTCCTTCCTTTGAGCAGGTTGAAAAGTAAAAGCCATGTTTGATTATGGGGTGTGATGAGGTCCCAGAGGAGCAGAGATGCCCACGGAGAAGCTGGGACTCAGAGTTGTGTCCCCAGGTGGCAGGCAATCTCCTCTCCCCCAGCACAGGCCCCCAAGACCAAACAGAGCCCTCCCAGGCGCCAAGTGAAGACCGAAACTCTTGGGCGAGAGGAGGGGGATTGTGGCAGGGGTTTCGTTCTGTCAATTCTGTTCTATTTTGTGCCACATTCACGTTTTCTGACATTCTTAGAAACTCTGTCTTCTCTAGATTTCTTACTGGCTGAATAAATTCTGATGGTCTCATTGGATGACACGTCTATTAATAGAAAAGTTGGCATACTTTTCTCCTAGCAGCAGTACTCATGTGAATCTGCTGCCATCGTCAGGATGTGGAGAGCTCTTTGTAAAGCTTTGACTGACCTGGCATCTGCACTGTTCTTGGCGAAGTGCTGTTTTCTAATGACTCTGTGCTTGGTCACTTTCCTCACCAGTCTCCCAACGAGCGTGCCCGCTTGTACTTCCTGCTGGCCTGGTTTCATGCGATCATCCAAGAACGCTTACGATACGCACCACTGGGGTGGTCAAAGAAGTATGAATTTGGAGAGTCTGACCTGCGGTCAGCTTGCGATACGGTGGACACGTGGCTGGATGACACGGCCAAGGCAAGTGTGGGCCATGCCAGGACAGACAGTGGACGTGTATCTGGGAAGGATGCTGCAGGGCGTGGTGCTGAGAGGCCAGACTCTGCGTGGAAGAGCGAGCTGACCCCTCGTGACCGCCAAAGCCTAGCTGGCCATGGGGAGTGAGGAGGAAAGCTGTGCCCCTCGAAAGGAAGCCCCGGGCCTGCCCGCCTCTGACCACACACACGAACCCTGCTTTTCCTCCCCCAGGGCAGGCAGAACATCTCACCGGATAAGATCCCGTGGTCTGCACTAAAGACCTTAATGGCCCAGTCCATTTATGGCGGGCGCGTGGACAACGAGTTTGACCAGCGTCTGCTCAACACCTTCCTGGAGCGCCTGTTCACAACCAGGAGTTTCGACAGTGAGTTTAAGCTGGCATGCAAGGTCGACGGACATAAAGACATTCAAATGCCAGATGGCATCAGGTATGCTGCTGCCTGCTGGAATGGAGACAGTTGTGATGTCAGGGCGTCTGGTGTCACTCAGAGGTGACCCCTGACATCATTTCCAAATGCACTGGTTTTCTAGGCGAGAGGAGTTTGTGCAGTGGGTGGAGTTGCTCCCCGACACCCAGACGCCCTCCTGGCTGGGCCTGCCCAACAACGCCGAGAGAGTCCTCCTTACCACACAGGGTAGGCAACAAGGATCCTCCCCACACGCAGGGTGGGTGGCGAGGGTCCCCTCACGCGGGGTGGGTGGCGAGGGTCCCCACACGCAGGGTGAGTGTGCACTGCTGTCCCAGGGCCCTCCCTGGTTATGCTGGGTGTGGCTCTGTCAGCCTCGGCCTTCCTGCCAGTCTCCAGCTGCTCCTAGCTCCACTCCGAGGGGAGGCAGAGGAAAGAACTGGCTCTTCTCTGCAGCATCAACTCAGTTCTAGAGAAAAGGCTTGATATTTATGTAAATGAGCCTAGAAATAACATTTAGATGTTCATCTCATATTGAAAAGCAGTTACTGGCTGGGCACACTGGCTCACACCTATAATCCCAGCACTTTGGGAGGCCAAGGCGGGCAGATCACTCGAGGTTAGGATTTCCAGACCAGCCTGGTCAACATGGCAAAACCTCGTCTCTACTAAAAATACAAAAATTAGGTGAGCATGGTGGCAGGCACCTGTAATCCCAGCTACTCAGGAGGCTGAGGCAGGAGAATTATTTGAACCCGGGAGATGGAGGTTGCAGTGAGCCGAGATCACATCACTCTACTCTAGCCTGGGCAACAGAGTGAGACTCTGTCTCAAAAAAAAAAAAAAAAGCCGGGCGCAGTGGCTCACGCCTATAATCCCACTATAATCCCAGCACTTTGGGAGGCTGAGGTGGATGGATCACCTGAGGTCAGGAGTTCGAGACCAGCCTGGCCAACATGGTGAAATCCCATCTCTACAAAAAATACAAAAACTAGCCAGGTGTGGTGGTGGGTGCCTGTAATCCCAGCTACTCTGGAGGCTGAGGCAGGAGAATCTCTTGAACCCGGGAGGCAGAGGTTTCAGTGAGCTGAGAACGCGCCATTGCACTCCAGCTTGGGCAACAGAACAAGATTCTGTCTCAAAAAAGAAAAAAGAAAATCAGTTTCTTTTTTTTTTCTTCAAGAGTTGAAAAGTACCTGATATTAAGTGATTTTTTAAAACCATTCATCTTCCCTAGAATTTTTTAGCAGTCTTTGTTTCCTTTTCACTTACTTACAAGATGTTTTTTAAGACTTCAAGTGCTGTGAGCCAGAAGGGAGCTAAGAAATTCTCTAAGCCAGTGGCTCTCATAGTGTGGCTCCCAAACCAGCAGCAGCAGCAGCCTCCCCAGAACTTCTTAGAAATGCAGGTTCCCAGCCGGGCACGGTGGCTCAAGCCTGTAATCCCAGCACTTTGGGAGGCCGAGGTGGGCGGATCACAAGGTCAGGAGATGGAGACCATCCTGGCTAACACGGTGAAACCCCGTCTCTACTAAAAATACAAAAAAAATTAGCCGGGTGTGGTGGCGGGCACCTGTAGTCCCAGCTACTCAAGAGGCTGAGGCAGGAGAATGGCGTGAACCCGGGAGGGGGAGCTTGCAGTGAGCCGAGATGGCACCACTGCACTCCAGCCTGGGCGACAGAGCAAGACTTTGTCTCAAAAAAAAAAAAAAAGAAATGCGGGTTCCCAGGCCCTGCCCAGGCGCACTCTATCAGGACAGGGGATGGGCCCAGCAACTGGCCTTCACAAAGCCTCCAAGCACTACACGTGGGGTTGACAGCAGCTGATCAAATCTCAACTTTTTCTTATGGGAAAAAGTCACGAAAAGCTAAGAAGACAAGAAAAGCTAAGAAGACAAGGGCATTGCTGAAACTCACAGCTGGTTAACAGGACAGAATCAGGAGGGATAAGCCAGGCGAGCTGGGCGGGTCTGGAGGGAAAGCCAAAGCCAGGCGAGCTGGGCGGGTCTGGAGGGAAAGCCAGGCGAGCTGGGCGGGTCTGGAGGGAGAGCCAGGCGAGCTGGGCGGGTCTGGAGCACACTGCAGGCACCACAAGGCTCGGGGTAATCCCAGCCACATGGTGGCAGTCACAGGCCAAGGGACACTGTGGTGACCAGTTTTCTGAGTTAAGAGGGCAGGTGGCACCCCCTCCTGGAGCGCCTCTCGAGCACGCACTCATTCATGGTCGGGCTGAAAGCCGGCCGGGGCTTGGCCCAGGTCTCACAGTGAACCCAAACCCAGGGTCCTGAAGAGCCTTCCTTGAGTCTTTGGACTCGGGCTGCTGGTTCCGTTTTTTTTTTTTTGCTTTGAGACTGAGTCTTGCTCTGTCACTCAGACTGGAGTGCAGTGGTGCAATCAGAGCTCACTGCAGCCTCAGCTTTCTGGGCTCAAGCGATCCCCCCACCTCAGCCTTCCAAGTAGCTGGGACCACAGGTGCCACCACCACACCTGCCTTTCTAATTTTTTGTAGAGATGAGGGTCTCACTATGTTGCCCAGGCTAGTCTTGAACCCCTGAGCTCTAGAGATGCTCCCGCTTCCGCCTCCCACAGTGCTGGGACTGTGGGCGTGAGCCACTGTGGCTGTCTTGCTGGTGCTGGGACTGTGGGCGTGAGCCACTGTGGCTGTCTTGCTGGGTCAGTTTTAACAGTCATGTTCTCGACCTGGTAACAATTCTTATTCTGTATCTGTCTCCTTAGCTTTCTGGTCAGGCCATTGTCTGTGCTTTAAAAACATACATGACTGGCCAGGCATGGTGGCTCATGCCTGTAATCCCAGCACTTTGGGAGGCCAAGGCGAGCAGATCACCTGAGGTCAGGAGTTCAAGACCAGCCTGGCCAGCATGGTGAAACCCTGTCTCTACTAAAAATACAAGAAAAAATTAGCCAGGCGCGGTGCCACATGCCTGTAATCCCAGCTACTTGGGAGCCTGAGTCAGGAGAATCACTTGAACCCAGGAGGCAGAGGTTGCAGTGAGCCAAGGTCACGCCACTGCACTCCAGTCTGGGTGACAGAGCGAGACTCCATCTCAAAAATATATATATACACACACACACACATATATATATACATACACATACGTATATATATATACACATATATGTATATATACACGTGTGTGTGTGTGTGTGTGTGTATATATATATATATATATATATGTACACACGGCTGAGCACCTTCCAGATTTTGCTGCAGTTCCCAGTGTGGACTCACTCACCATGTGGCCTTTACGTTCAAGTCCCTTTTCCCTCTGTGATTTCTTGCCCGTCCCCTCCCTCCTTCCTGCTGCGACTGTGGGACTGTGGCCCAGGTGTGGACATGATCAGTAAAATGCTGAAGATGCAGATGTTGGAGGATGAGGACGACCTGGCCTACGCAGAGACTGAGAAGAAGACGAGGACAGACTCCACGTCCGACGGGCGCCCTGCCTGGATGCGGACACTGCACACCACCGCGTCCAACTGGCTGCACCTCATCCCCCAGACGCTGAGCCACCTCAAGCGCACCGTGGAGAATATCAAGGTAGCTGGGAGGGTGGCGGGCCGGCCAGGTCTCAAGGTCCCAGGTGCTGGGTATGGTCATGGACCATTGTTCCATGGACCATTGGTTCCACTGTGCCGGACGGAACGTACTCACACCGGTGTCACCTCAGAGCAGGTGTCCAGCTGAGCCCAGGCATTGGGCAAGATGAGTTGGCCCTTTTGAAATGGACTGAAAACACCCTAGAAGATTGTGAGATAGGCAGACAGCGCCACAGCGAGCAGCCGCAGCCCTTCCTCCCTAGAGAGCCCCGAGAGCTGCGACTCGGGCAGGGGCCTCAGCGGGTTTCTGAGCAGCCTCAGCTTCACACAAGCTCGGTTCCAAGTCACGCTCTGCCAAAGCTGTCCGTGACCCTGGACAGTTCGGAAGCTCTGGGGCTCTCCCCGGAGGCCGAGTTACTTCTGTTTGACCTTTACACTGGAGAAAGGACCTCTTCCTAACTTCTCTTCACCCTTTTGAACGATTTTAGGATCCTTTGTTCAGGTTCTTTGAGAGAGAAGTGAAGATGGGCGCAAAGCTGCTTCAGGACGTTCGCCAGGACCTTGCAGATGTCGTCCAGGTGTGCGAAGGAAAGAAGAAGCAGACCAACTACTTGCGCACGCTGATCAACGAGCTAGTGAAAGGTGCGTGAGAGGCCGAACTCGTGGTGTGGCTTCCGGCGGGCACCTTGGCCAGGGGCCACAACCCAGCCCAGCCACACAGCACCACGTGCAGACAGCCAGGCCTGCAGGAGCTTCCGAGAGCAGCTCTGTGCTCTTACCCTCAAGGTGGGCGGGGGGAGGGGAGGAGCTTAGAAATGCTGAAGAATTTGTTTTTCTTCTGTGCTGGTTCACTGAATGTTGACCAAAATCTTTACACAACTTCTAGTTTTTTAGGGGTCTTCCAAGACGACAGTGAATGGGGAATGTGGTGGTCCAGGATGGTGACAGACGGTAGTAGGTTACGGCCTGTGAAGAATGGGTGTCCCCCAGGACAGTGGAAAAGCAGGGGCAGGCGGGCATGGGGGGCTCATCCAAAGTTGTGGGGAGCCCCCAGCATCCTCCTGTTTGCCCCAAAAGCCCTAATTGCCAGGAACACTGAGCCACTTGTGTGACATGAGGTTTTAGCCGCGGTTTTGCTTGGATGTGATTATGGTCCTCCAGAAAGACACACCTGGACTAATTTGACCCTAGAAACTGCACGGTTCTGAGACATGCTCTGGACCAGCCTGAGCTAGAGCAGATGTGGTGAGGGCGGCGCCAGGGGCATAAAGTGCAGCCTGGGAAAGGCAGTAGGTGGAGCCGCCAGCCGCCTGTGTGGGCAGCCAGGATGCCTAGCACTTGCACATTTGTTCCATCTGTGCTGGGGGAGTTGTGAGAGCTGACACCCTGGGCTCTGTGTGCCTTGGCTGCAGGGATCTTGCCTCGGAGCTGGTCCCACTACACGGTGCCTGCCGGCATGACCGTCATCCAGTGGGTGTCCGACTTCAGCGAGAGGATCAAACAGCTGCAGAACATCTCACTGGCAGCTGCATCTGGTGGCGCCAAGGAGCTAAAGGTGAAGGCGCTCCTGACGAGTCTCGGGTGGTCAGCAGCTGTCCTGGGCTGGGGTGGGAGTGGCTCTGGGGAAAAACACAGGGCCCAGGTCTGACCTGAGCTCCTTCCCCTGGGGGCTGCTGCTTTCCACAGAACATCCACGTGTGCCTGGGTGGCCTGTTCGTGCCTGAGGCGTACATCACTGCCACCAGGCAGTATGTGGCCCAGGCCAACAGCTGGTCCCTGGAGGAGCTCTGCCTGGAAGTCAACGTCACCACCTCACAGGGCGCCACCCTTGACGCTTGCAGCTTCGGAGTCACGGGTGAGTGGAGTCTCACAGAAAATACTGGCTCTTTGCAGGTGACCTCGGTGGCCTGAGACCATTGTTCCCAGATACATGCACTTAGGGTGACCGGCTGGCAGTTGGGTGGAGCCTCTGGGCGCCCTGTGACTGGGGTTTGTGTAGCTGTTGTGTTCACCTCAGCCTGGGTTTTGGCTTCCGCCTCACAGGTTTGAAACTTCAAGGGGCCACGTGCAACAACAACAAGCTGTCACTGTCCAATGCCATCTCAACCGCCCTTCCCCTGACGCAGCTGCGCTGGGTCAAGCAGACAAACACCGAGAAGAAGGCCAGTGTGGTAAGGAGGCACTGCCTTTCCCAGGCATTCTGCAGGGACCCCTGCGGTAACAAGGGCAGAGGCGGCTCCTCTTCTATGCCTGGGTTCCACTTGGAACGGGAAATGAGGTTCACAGAGGAAATCCATTTCGCACCTGTCCAAACCTCTCCTTGCCGGGCCCCATCAGCTGTCCCGGGCAGTCTTCCAGTTTTCTTACTTTTCCCTTAAGCCACCAGTAAACCCCTCTGCTTCTGCAGGTAACCTTACCTGTCTACCTGAACTTCACCCGTGCAGACCTCATCTTCACCGTGGACTTCGAAATTGCTACAAAGGAGGATCCTCGCAGCTTCTACGAGCGGGGTGTCGCAGTCTTGTGCACAGAGTAAACTTTTCTAGCTGCCCCTTTCTGTAATAGTGAAAGTTGGTATTTAACATTTATTCATTTTTAAAATATTTGGAAGGTCTGAGCTTGTGAAAAGAAAGTGGTTGGTCTGAGGTTGGAGGAAGCTGAATGGAATCTGACGGTTGGGAGTGGTGGAAATTGGAAGGATACCAGGAGGTATTTGGGAAGGCCAATGGCGTGGCTCCTTTGAGGAAATAAAACACTAAGCATGAGCCGGCTCCGCCTCTTCTGTCTCCGCTTTCATCCCAGGGCACAGAGCCTTGCCTTCCATGCTGCCCAGGGAGGGCAGCCCACGGCAGCCATGCCCCTCCCCACCTCGCTTTCATCATGAGCTCGCTCCCGAGCGGCCACAGCACTCATGAATGAAGACCTTGGGGCCCTTCACAGACACAGATGCAGCCAGCTGTGGCTCTGAAGGCCCTGGGGCCCGGGCACCATGGTTCACACCTTTAATCGCAGCACTTTGGGAGTCTGGGAGTTAAAGACCAGCCTCGGCAACATAGTGAGACCCCGTCTCTACAGGAAATTAAATCAGGTGTGGTGGTGCATGCCTGTAGTCCCAGCTACTTGAGGGCTGAGGTGGGAGGATCACCCAAGCCCAAGAGGTCGAGGCTGCAGTGAGCTGTGATCTCACCACTGCACTCCAGCCTGGGTGACAGAGCAAGACCCTGTCTCAAAAAAAAAAAAAGCTGGGCGTGGTGGCTCATGCCTGTAATCCCAGCACTTTGGGAGGCCGAGGCGGGCGGATCACCAAATTAGCCGGGCATGGTGGCACATGCCTGTAATCCCAGCTACTCGGGAGGCTGAGGCAGGAGAATTGCTTGAACCTGGGAGGCGGAGGTTGCAGTGAGCTGAAAAAAAAAAAGGCAGCCCCCAGCCGCTTGTGTTCTTGACCAGGGCCCCAGGACTTGGCTCCTCCAGACAAGGGAGTTTTGTGCTGTAGATGAGGGAGTTGCCCATCGCCGCCCTAGCAAGTCCATTCCCACACGACCTTTCCAGTGGTGATGATGACAGTGGCCCATACAGCTGACTGTTTGCATCTCACGTTCACATTGCTAGAGGTGATGGGTGTGCTACACCCGTGGAAACAGGCTTCTGGCATCTCAGTGTCTTTATTTTATTTTTGAGATGGAGTTTCGCTCTTGTTGCCCAGGCTGGAGTGCAGTGGCGTGATCTCAGCTCACTGCAACCTCCACCTACCGGGTTCAAGTGATCCTCCTGCCTCGGCCTCCTGAATAGCTGGGATTACAGGCATGCACCACCATGCCCAGCTAATTACTATATTTTTAGTAGAGACAGGGCTTCACCGTGTTGGC
This sequence comes from Homo sapiens, assembly GCF_000001405.40. NCBI lineage: Eukaryota > Metazoa > Chordata > Mammalia > Primates > Hominidae > Homo > Homo sapiens. The sequence continues at coordinate 102,051,897 of NC_000014.9, forward strand.
CAGGCTGGTCTCAAACTCCTGGCCTCAGCCAGTGATCCTCCTGCCTCAGCCTCCCAAAGTGCTGAGATGACAGGCATGAGCCACTGCACCTGGCCAAATTTTTGTATTTTTTGTAGAGATGGAATCTCGCTATTTTCCCTGGGCTGGTCTCAAACTCCTGGCATTAAGGGCTCCTCCTATCTCAGCCTCTCAAAGTGCCGGGGTTCTAGGTGTGAGTCACCGAGTTGAGCCCCTAAACACATGTTTTTCTTTTTAGAGACAGGGTCTCACTCGGTTGCCCAGGCTGGAGTGCAGTGGCGTGACCATGGCTCACTGCAGCCTCAACCTCCCGGGCTCAAGTGATCCTCCCACCTCAGCCTTCTGAGCAGCTGGGACCACAGACACACACCACCATGTCGGCTAATTTTTGTATCTTTTGTAGAGACAAGGTTTCACCATGTTGCTCGGGCTGGTCTCGAACTCCTGAGCTCAAGTGGTCCTCCCACCTTGGCCTCCCAAAATGCTGGGATTACAAGTGTGAGCCACCACACCCAGCCCCTAAAAACATTTATGTGCATCGACATCAGCTTTGATCAGAAGAGCCCCTGCTCCTCTTGGGCTGGGACCCCTTCCTGGACTGAGTCTGCTCACCTTGGATTAGGCCACCTACTGCTTCTTCCTCTTCCTTTTCTCAGGCTCTGCAAGGAAGAGCTCCAGCTTCCTCTTGGAGAAGGAGATTCTGGGCCCCTTTTCTCTCTCCCAAACCTAGGTGGTGGCCATGCCCCTCGAGCTCTGCTTGGCACGTGTCTGCCAGTCTCAGGGGGCTCCATGGGAGTGAGGAAGGGCTCGGCGGCCCTGGGGGTCTGGTCCTCCTCCGCCATCCTCGAGTCCTCGGGCTACGTGCCCTCATCTTTGGCTTCCAGGGACACGGGCCCAGCTGGCCACTTCTATGACAAGAATGTGGGTTTTTTGTGACAGGGCGTCTACTATATGAACTTCCTCTGGACTCTGACTTCAGTGTGTAGGAAGCCACCTTACAGCTCATGTCACCCAGAGAACAGTCGTTGCAGCTCCAGTTGGAATGACTGGGGGTGTCTTCCGAATCGCCATCATAAAGATCTAAAAGCTGAGGACAAAAGTGTTTCTCAGTCCAAGAGCAGTTCTGCGAGGCGGAATCAAGTCTAACATGCTCGCATGCGCTGACTCTTCCTCCCGTCACTGATGCTGGTTTTTGCAGGCTCTGCCTTGCAAATGAATTTTTCTTTCTTTTTTTTTTTTTTTTTGAGACGGAATCTTGCTCTGTCGCCCAAGCTGGAGTGCAGTGGCGCAATCTGGGCTCACTGCAACCTCCACCTCCCGGATTCAAGCGATTCTCCTGCCTCAGCCTCCTGAGTAGCTGGGACTACAGGCGCCCGCTAATTTTTGTATTTTTAGTAGAGACGGGGTTTCACCATATTGGTCAGGCTGGTCTTGAACTCCTGACTCAGGTGATCCACCCGCCTCAGCCTCCCAAGGTGCTGGGATTACAGGTGTGAGCCACCACGCCTGGCCGAATTTTTATTTGTTTTTTGTTTGTTTTTGTTTTTTTTAAAAAACTGAGTCTCGCACTGTTGTCCAGGCTGGAGTGCAGTGGCGCGATCTCGGCTCACTGCAAGCTCCGCCTCCCAGGTTCACGCCATTCTCCTGCCTCAGCCTCCCAAGTAGCTGGGACTACAGGCGCCCACCACCAAGCCCGGCTAATTTTTTGGATTTTTAGTAGAGACAGGGTTTCACTGTGTTAGCCAGGATGGTCTCGCTCTCCTGACCTCGTGATCCACCCGCCTCCCAAAGTGCTGAGATTACAGGCGTGAGCCACCACACTCGGCCTCTTTGTTTGTTTTTTTTTTTTTTTGAGACAGTCTGGCTCTGTCACTGAGGCTGGAGTGCAGTGATGCAACCTCATCTCACTGCAGCCTAGACCTCCTGGGCTTAAGTGATCCTCCCACCTCAGCCTCCCCAGACTACAGGTGCACACCACCACGCCCGGCTAATTTTTGTATTTTTTGTAGAGATGGAGTTTCGCCATGTTGCCCAGGATGGCCTTGAACTCCAGGGCTCAAGCAATCCACCCACCTCAACCTCCCAAAGTGCTGGGATTACAGGCATGAGCCATTGTGCCCAGCTGCAAATGAATTTTTAAAAATGTGTTAGATCAATATTCATATCACCCAAAAACAGCCTGAGAGCCCGCCACCACTGGGGACTCAGCCTGAGCCTTGTTCCCAGAAAGCCCTCAACGCAGTGCTGGGCACAGACCTGGGAGGCTTGGCTCAAACCGCCCTGCCCTCCGTTGGCAGGGCAGAGCTCCGTCTTTTCCTCTCAACAGCTCTTCCAAAGGGCAAGGCAGCATTTTCCTGGTGAGGGGCAAGCGAAGCTGAGGCCAGACCCACCCCCGAGTCTTCCCTCTGCCACATCCAGGGCCTGAAGGGCGTTCTGGGGAGCCTCCACCTTCACACCGAAGGCCGCCAAGGTGGTTGGCAAGAAGCTGAAATGGGCGTTTAAGTCCGAACCTTGTTTTCAAAGGTGCCCATTGCCTGTTCTCAAAGCAATGCACCTGAGAAGCAGTGGCAGGTGGCACAGCCCACCCCCAACCGCCAGGGCCACCCAAACACCAGTTACAACACCATCACCAACAGAGCCTTTGCAGAACTTTTTTTTTTTTTTTTTTTTTTGAGACGGAGTCTTGCTCTGTCGCCCAGGCTGGAGTGCAATGGTGTGATCTTGGCTGACTGCAACCTCCGCCTCCCAAGTTCAAATGATTCTCCTACCTCAGCCTCCCAAGCAGCTGGGACTACAGGCACCCACCACCATGCCCGGCTAATTTTTCTATTTTTAGTAGAGACAGGGTTTTGCCATGTTGCCCAGGCTGGTCTCGAACTCCTGACCTCAGGTGATCTGCCCACCTTGGCCTCCCAAAGTGCTGGGATTACAGGCATGAGCCACCACTCCTGGCCCTCTTGTATTTTTTTGTAGAGACAGGGTTTTGCCATGTTGCCCAGGCTGGTCTCCTGGGCTCAAGTGATCCACCCACCTTGGTCTCCCAAAGTGCTAGGATTATGGGCCTGAGCCACCCCACCCGGCCCAACCTTATTATTACTGAAGTCGCCTTGTTACACACAAACATCTACAGTGCCTCCTGGCCACTCCTTCTGGACTTTTCTTTCCTAGCCCAGGTCAAAGTGGGCCTTCGGGAGGACCCTGGAGGAGAAGCCCCCTCCTCTTCACTTCCACCCTCTCTCTTCCACCCCTGGAAGTCAGCTTTCTGACCTCAGAATCCCAGCTATCTTCTGGACTCAGGTGACAAGTCACCTAAGTGACAGATCCAGCATGCACTTTATGACCATCACTCTGCTCCTCCTGCATCAGCGCCCCACCCAACAGAGCCGACCAGGCTGGGAACACCGAGACCGAGAGCGCGTGGCTGTGTCTACAAAGGCCTCCTCTTTGAGGGAGACACGCGAGGCACGGGTGGGGCGATGAGACAGGATCGGCCGGTCCTTGACAGTCTCTGAAGCTGGGAGAACATGACCCCATGCTCTCCTGTTGGAGTCACCACCTCTTTGCCAACAGCCACCAAACCTCCACCTCCAATTAAGCTCCACCCCCATGTCCCCACTGCCCTCCGGACATCTGTTCAGCACCCCCCTCGACCTGGCCAAGGCTCCACGCACCGCCCTGGTTTCCCGCTCTGCCCAGCCCCCCGCTGAAGTCTCTAATGGGTTCTTCCGATTCCACCTGTCCAAGGTAAAACCCTGAGGTTGTCCCTCCTCCGCGGCACCTCCAGGTATCTGGTTGCTCAGGCTGAAATGTTTCCCAAGGCCCTGGCTCCTCCTCCTTCCAAACCCCGCAGGCAGCTGATTAGCAAACTCTGACTCTAACCTCAAAACATGTCCAGAATTCAGCCACATCTCCCCACTTCCCCGCCTGGCCCTGGGCCCCGCTATTCCATCTCAATCTCTGCCCTGGCCCCCAGCCCAGCATCCACTCTCAGACCAGAGCAATGCTTGTGAACTCCGAAAATCTGAGACAGGTCTCAGTTAATTTAGAAAAGATATTTGTCAAGGTTGAGGACGCGCACCCATGACACAGCCTCAGGAGGTCCTGACTGGGGGGAGAGAGACCCTCTCATATTGTTTTATACTCAGTACCTGTTTTAAGAAAAAAACGAAGTGAAATCAAAGACAGGCAGCCCGGCGCCAGGCCCAAAACCAGGCCTGGGCCTGCCTGGCCTAAACCTAGTCGTTAAAAATCAGCTCATGACTTAGAACCCGATGTTACCCATAGATTTCAGGCATTGTATGGAAGAACATCGTGAGACTCCCTGCTCTGTTCTGTTTCACTCTGACTACCAGTGCATGAAACCCCTGTCACGTATCCCCCAGACTGCTCAATCAATCACGACCCTTTCACGTAAAATCTTTAGTGTTGTGAGCCCTTAAAAGGGACAGAAATTGTGCACTTGGGGAGCTGGGATTTTAAGATGGTAACTTGCCGATGCTCCCAGCTGAATAAAGCCCTTCCTTCTACAACTCGGTGTCTGAGGGGTTTTGTCTGCGGCTCGTCCTGCTACACTGACCACACGTACCCAAGGTGCTCAGAGCCCAGTTTGGTTTTATACATTTTAGGGAGACATGAGACATCCGTCGACATACGTAAGATGGACATTGGTTCCGTCTGGAAAAGCCTCAGAGTGGGGAGGGGGCTTCCAGGTCACAGGTAGGTAAGAGACAAATGGTTGCATTCTTTTGAGTTTCTGATGAGCCTTTCCAAAGAGGCGATCAGATATGCATTTATCTCAGTGAGCAGAGGGATGACTTTGAATAGAATGGGAGGCAGGTTTGCCCTAAGCAGTTCCCAGTTTGACTTTTCCCTTCAGCTTAGTGATTTGGGGACCCCAAGATTTTTTTCACATGTTGCTAAACCCCACCACGTAGCACACCAGAGACTGAGCCCTCACCGCACCCCCAACTCCCGCTGCAGCTCAGCCCTCTCGCCCCTCCACCTGGCCATCCCGTCCTTCCATCCAGTCTTTACTCTAGGGTCACCCTTCCCTGAGGCCTTCCTGGAGTCCCCTTCTCGTATTTCAACACACCTCACACACGCACAGGTGCACACGCGCACACACATGCTGCACAGTTGCACACACGTGCAGACACGCTGCGCAGATGCACACGTGCACACACATGCACACCCACACGCTGCAGTTGCACACACGTGCACACGCACACCCACATGCACAGTTGCAAACGTGCACACACTGCAGATGCACACACGTGCACACACATGCACAGCCACAAGCTGCATAGTTGCACACGTGCACACGCTGCGCAGATGCACACACGTGCACACATGCTGCACAGTTGCACACACGTGCACACTACACAGATGCACACACGCTGCACAGATGCACACACGTGCACACATGCACACCCACACGCTGCACAGTTGCACACACACGCTGCGCAGATGCACACACGTGCACACACATGCACACACACGCTGCAGTTGCACACACGTGCACACACACCACAGATGCACACACGCTGCACAGATGTACACACACGCTGCATTTTTCTCTTTGGTCCTTACACTCTAACATGCTCACATTTTCCTCCTCTATCACTGTTAGGATCAGAGTCACTCCCTCCCAAAATGACCTGTGCTCCAGGACCTGGGGCTCGGCTGCTTTGTCTACGGCTGTGTCCCGGAAGCCAAACCCCTGGCTCTGAGCAGGCAGTGGTGCTCAGTAGGCATTTGCTGGATGAGATCCAACACCTAACACCTAACACCTAACACCCAACACCTAACACCTAACACCTAACACCTAACACCTAACACCTAACACCCAAACCAAATGCCTTTCCCACAAAACGTGCCCCTCTGTCTGCAGTGTTCCTTGAGTGCCCCAAAATCACTAAGCTAAAGGGAAAAGTCAAGCTGAGAACTGCTTAGGGCAAACCTGCCTCCCACCATCCACGAAGACTCCTGAGCCGGAAGCCACAAAGCTTCCACTGGAGGCTGAATAGCTGATGGGTCTAGAACCAGACTCCCTGGGTGAAACCGCCTTTGCAAAATGATGGCAGCGAGGGAAATCTGATGTGGCCGACCCCATCTTGCTTCTAGCCTCACAGCCTGGCCTCTTCACTCATTCCTGGGAGTCGTTCAAACTAACTTTGGGAGAAATTTAGTTTGGAGTTTGAATGATAATAGCCCTTCCCCAAACTAAACTGCACTTGTAAAACTAATGAAAGACCACCACGTTAGGAGGACAAGAGGGCCCTGAATTCTGCTAACGGTCAGCTTAGTTAAAACATTACCAGCCATTGTTCTAGAGGTCACGAGAATTGCAACTTTCACAATCACTCTTGCAATGAAGCTAAGATTGTCCTTTTAAAATGTCTTTAGGATTTTGCATTTCTGATAACAGGATGGCCCCAGCCAGATCATGACTCAACCAGTCCTGTGGTCCCTGCCCAGGAGCGGACTCAGTGCATGAGGACCACTTTCCACACCCCTACAATTCCATCCCCAAGCAAGCAGCAGCACCCATACCCTAGCCCCCCGCCCACCATACTTTCTTTGAAAAACGTGTAACCTCCGAGCCTTTGGTGAGATTGATTTGAGTAATAACTCCGTCTCCTTTGTGGCGTGGCCAGCCTCATGTCAATTTAACTTTTTTTTTTTTTTTTTTTTGAGACAGAGTCTTGCTCTTGTTGCCCAGGCTGGAGTGCAGTGGTGTGATCTCGGCTCACTGCAATCTCCATCTCCAGGGTTCAAGCGATTCTCCTGCCTCAACCTCCCAAGTAGCTGGGATTACAGATGTGAGCCACCACGCCCAGCTAATTTTTGTATTTTTAGTAGAGAAGGGATTTCACCACGTTGGCCATGCTGGTCTCGAACTCCTGACCTCAGGTGATCCGCCCGCCTCAGCTCCCAAAGTGCTGGGATTACAGGCGCAAGCCACAACGCTCGGCCTCCTAAACTCTTTCTTTAGTTCAATGCCATGCACTAAAGTGGATTGATTTTGTCTGTGCAGCCGGCAGGAAGAACCCACTGGGCAGTGACATGACTCCAAAAAACGGATCTGCCACGAACCCAGCTGTGTGACTTCAGACGTCTAAAGTGGCTTCTCCTAGCCTGTTTTCCCATCAGTAAATCTGGACAAAACGGTAAGGAGTCCCCACTGTGACAGGTGAAGAGGCATTTCATTTCATTGGCTACCTCAAGGTAAACATTTCACTTCAACATCCAACTTCCCACTCCCACACAAATCACTGCCCATGAGAATCACAAGGCTCAAAGGACACCCAGCCACTGGAAAAGTGCATTTTTTAAATAAGAGCATCACCTGTCACCCAGGACAGTGGAAGTCTGCATGCCACATGCAGTGTCTTTTTTTTTTTTTTTTTTTGAGGCGGAGTTTCTCTCTTGTTGCCCATACTGGAGTGCAGTGGTGCGATATAAGCTCACTGCAACCTTCACCTCCAGGGTTCAAGCGATTCTCCTGCCTCAGCCTCCCGAGTAGCTGGGATTATAGGCATGGGCCACCACGCCCGGCTAATTTTGTATTCTTAGTGTAGATGGGGTTTTTCCATGTTGATCAGGCTGGTCTCGAACCGCTGACCTCAGGTGATCCGCCCACCTCGGCCTCCCAAAGTGCTGCAATTACAGGCATGACCCATGGCCCCTGGCCATTTTTTTTTTTTTAAGAGAATTTCTTTTTTTCTTTTTTTTTTTTTGAGACGGAGTTTCACTCTTGTTGCCCAGGCTGGAGTGCAATGGCATGATCTCAGCTCACTGCGACCTTCACCTCCCAGGTTCAAGCAATTCTCCTGCCTCAGCCTCCCGAGTAGCTGGGATTACAGGCATGGTCAGGCTGGTCTCGAACTCCTGACCACAGGTGATCTGCCCACCTCGGCCTCCCAAAGTGCTGCAATTACAGGTGTGAGCCACGGCGCCCGGCCATTTTTTTTTTTTTTAAAGCGAATGTATATATTTTTTTTTTGAGACAGGGTCTTGCTGTGTTGCCCAGGCTGGTCTCAAACTCCTCCCACATCGCTCCCAATGTGCTGGGGCTAAAGGGCCTGAGCCACCGTGCCCAGCCCAGTGTCTTCCTCTTTGAAGGGAGGGTCTTGTTTAAAATGCTTTCAGGAGGCCCTGTGGAGTGGGTTGAATGGTGACCCCCACAAAATACATATCCGCATCGAATCTCCTGGGACCTGTGAATGTGACCTTATCTGGAAATGGAATCTTTGCAGAAATTATTAAGGATCTTAAGATGAGATCATCCTGGATTTAGGACAGACCCTAAATCCAATGACAGGTGTCCTTATAAGAGAAAGGCAGAAGGAGATTTCAAACACTCACACACACACACACACGCGGAAGCAGAGACCGGGGGAGTCGTCCCCCAGCCGAGGAGTGCTCCGGGCTGCCAGGAGCCACCGGAAGCCGGAAGCGGGGCCTGCAGCGGACCCTCCTTCCGAGCCTGCAGAGGAAACCGGCCTTGCTGATGCGCCCTGTCAGAATTCTGACCTCCAAGACCACCAGGGAAAGCAGGAAGCCCTAGAGGGCCGTTTCCAGGACTGTGAAAGAATAGATTTCTGGCGGGGCGCGGTGGCTCACGCCTGTAATCCCAGCACTTTGGGAGGTGGAGGCAGGTGGATCACCTGAGGTCAGAAGTTCAAGACCAGCCTGGTCCACATGGTGAAACCCCATCTCTACTAAATATACAAAAATTAGCCGGATGTGGTGGCAGTCGCCTGTGGTCCCAGCTACTCGGGAGGCTGAGGCAGGAGACCTGCTTGAACCCGGGAGGCAGAGGTTGCAGTGAGCCAAGATGGCGCCATTGTGCTCCAGCCTGGGCAACAAGAGCAAAAACTTTGTCTCAAAAAAAAAAAGAATAGATTTCTGGGTGCAGTGGTGTGTACCTGTAATCCCAGCTACTCGGCAGGCTGAGGCAGAAGAATCCCTTAAACCCAGAGTTTGAGACCAACCTGGGCAATATAGTGAGACCCCCCACCTCAAAAAAAAAAAAAAAAAGTCATTTTCTGTTGTTTGAAGCCACCAGTTTGTGGTAATTTGTTGGCAGCTATAGGAAACCCCTACAGTCTGTGAGGTCTAAGAACAAACTGGGGGCCGGGCGCGGTGGCTCATGCCTGTAATCCCAGCACTTTGGGAGGCCGAGGTGGGTGGATCATGTGACGTCAGGAGTTCGAAACCAGCCTGGCCAACATCATGAAACCCTGTCTCTACTAAAAATACAAAAATCAGCCGGGCGTGGTGTCAGGCGCCTTAATCCCAGCTCCTTGGAGGCAGGAGAATCGTTTGAACTCGGGAGGCGGAGGTTGCAGGGAGCCAAGGTCAAGCCATTACACTCAAGCCTGGGGGACATGAGCGAGACTTCTCTCGGAAAAAAAAAAAAAGAACGAAGTGGGTGCTGTGAGAAAAATGGCGTTATTTAGACTGGGTGCGGTGGCTCACACCTGTAATCCCAGCACTTTGGGAGGCCGAGGCGGGTGGGTCACCTGAGGTCGGGGGTTCAAGACCAGCCTGACCATTCCAGCACTTTGGGGGGCCGAGGCAGGTGGATCACGAGGTCAGGAGATCGAGACCATCCTGGCTAACACGGTGAAACCCCATCTCTACTAAAAATACAAAAAATTAGCCGGGCGTGGTGGTAGGTGCCTGTAGTCCCAGCTGCTCAGGAGGCTGAGGCAGGAGAATGGCGTGAACCCGAGAGGCGGAGCTTGCAGTGAGCCGAGATCGCGACACTGCACTCCAGCCTGGGAGACAGCGAGACTACGTCTCAGGAAAAAAAAAAAAAAGACCAGCCTGACCAACATGGTAAAACCCCATCTTTACTAAAAATACAAAATTAGCCGGGCGTGGTGGCATGCGCCTGTAATCCCAGCTACTCAGGAGGCTGAGGCAGGAAAATCACTTGAACCCAGGAGGTGGAGGTTGCGGTGAGCCGAGATCATGCCATTGCACACCAGTCTGGACGACAACAGCGAATAAAGAAAAAAAAAGACATTATCTAAGAGACATGTTGTTCCTTCCACTTGAAGTTAGGAAGAGCAAGTGCCACTCACGATGCCAGTACTCAGTGAAGAAGGGGAGAGGCATCAGTCCGGACTAGAGGCATCTTTAGTCAAACATTTAAGGACCCACGATAGGCAAAAGACCAGGCTAGACAAAAAATCATCTAGTATTCAATTTGGGTTGCCACAACTTCAGTCATTTCAGAGTGACATTTCCAAAACGTAGAAATACTCCAACTTGTAGGGAAAACAGATAAAAGAGGTGGGGGGTAGTTTGAATGCAACTATGGTCTCATTTTTCCAAAGGTATCATCCTTCAACTTCATAGCTTAGTTTTAGAATGCAGTTTGTTTTTTTGTTTGTTTTTGAGATGGAGTCACGCTCTGTAGCCCAGGCTGGAGTCACGCTGTGTAGCCCAGGCTGGAGTGCAGTGGCCCAATCTCAGCTCACTGCAACCTCTGCCACCTGGGTTCCAGCAAGTCTTCTGCCTCAGCCTCCCAAGTAGCTGAGATTACAGGTGTCCGCCACCATGCCAGCTAATTTTTGTATTTTTAGTAGAGATGGGGTTTCACCATGTGGGCCAGGCTGGTCTCGAACTCCTGACCTCAGATGATCCGCCCACCTCAGCCTCCCAAAGTGCTGCGATTACAGGCGTAAGCCATTGTGCTGGCCTTTTTTTTTTTTATTTAAAAGAGATGGAGGCATCTCACTATATTGCCCAGGTTGGCCTTGAAACCCTGGGCTCAAGGGATCTGCTCACCTCAGCCTCCTAAGTAGCTGGGACTACAGGTAGGCACCACCGCCCCGGCAAAACTGACATTTTAAAATGGAAACATTAAGCTGAGTTGGTGGCTCACACCTATAATTCCAGCACTTTGGGAGGCTGAGGCGGGCAGATCATCTGAGGTCAGGAGTTTGAGACCAGCCTAGCCAACATGGTGAAACCTCGTCTCCACTAAAAATAAAAAAAAAAAAAAAACAAATTAGCCGGTCGTGGTGGCGCATGCCTGTGATTCCAGCTACTCGGGAGGCTGAGGCAGGAGAATCGCTGGAACCTGGGAGGCGGAGGTTGCGGTGAGCTGATATCGCGCCACTGCACTCCAGCCTGGGCGACAGAGCTAAACTCCTTCTCAAAAAAATAAAATAAAAATAAAAATAAATAAAGAAAGAAAGAAAAGAAAATAGAATGGAAACGTTAGGGAGTAGCAAAGCAACTCTGACCAGCCCTCGGTTCCGCCCCTTGTTAGTGTGGGCCCCACCCCTGGCCGTTTTGGCCCCGCCCCCGCGTCCACGCCGCCGGCTCCCAACTTCATAAGCTGTGACGATTAAGTAGTATGAAAAACCCAACAGCAAAACACAAATGGAACACCAGAGGGTGCATTTGTCACCAGACATCTTCTGGAGTCTTTTGCTAATTGCACATACCACTGCCAGATGGCAAAGGATCAGTACAGGTTTCCTCATGAACGCCTTTAACATTTTAGTTTGTAAATGCAATTGTCTGATGCATTAGTAAAATGCTGGATAATAGCAAAACATTAATAATAATAATAATAATTAAATGCTTGTCAACCAGGCAGTAAGAGGACAAAGATGACAGGCCAGGGCTTTCCCCAGACAGCCCAAAGCCTCAGGCACGCTGGTGGCCTCCCTCCCCAAGAATGGACTGACCGGATTCCTGGAGCCACCAGCCCTGTCACCCCGCCCCTGCAGCCACGCCTGGGGGAGCGGCGGCCGGTAGGGCCGGGCGGCTGCGAGGCCAGAAACGCCTCCAAGAGCTCCTACCTGGGGTCCAGAAGGTAGTCTGGGGAGCAAGCTCCGGAGAGACGAGCGGGGGAGACTGGGGTCCCAGCAGACGCAGAATGGTCTCTCCACAAAGAGGGGTTAGCAAATGTACTCTCCAGACCTGTCCCCACCCTCCACACCGTCAAAGAGCAAAGAGAAAATCTTCCAGGCCCCCACTCCAGGCATGGTGGGTGCGTCAGGATTCAGAACAGATGACCTCTGCCTTGACCTCCAGGCTGCCCTCAGGTTCAGACCAGGGCTTAACTCAATGCCGCATTTCTGCCTCAAAGGAAAAACGTGGTTCAGAAGTTCCCACTTAACAATATTTAACAATTCACCAATAGTTTTAGTTCAAAACCAGATATCCTTTCCTTGAAATGTGTTGTGAAAGATTTCTCAAGCTCCTTCTCCCCAGCGTGGTTCCTAAGAGCCTTAGCGTGAGCTGAGACTCAGACCCCTTCATTCCCGGGCAATACTGAAATGCTCTCGGTTTCCAGGGCGCTGCATCTTTACTCCTCCACCCACCTGCAACGGTGATCTGGTTTAGGCGTTCAGTATCTGAGCACCTTCTCTGGATCAGGCACCAGGGAAAGCAGGAAGCCCTAGAGGGCCGTAGAGGCCCGTTTTCCCAGGATGAACACACACTTCTTTCTTTTTCTTTCTTTTTTTTTTTTCTTTTTTGAGACAGTCTCACTCCATTGCCCAGGCTAAAGTGCAGTGGTATTATCTCGGCTCACTGCAACCTCTGCCTCCCAGATTCAAACGATTCTCCTGCCTCAGCCTCCCAAGTAGCTGGGATTACGGGTGCATGCCACCTCGCCCGGCTAATTTTTTTTTTTTTGAGATGGAGTTTTGCTCTTGTTGCCCAGGCATGGCGTGTAGTGGCGCGATCTCGACTCACCGCAACCTCCCCCTCCTGGGTTCAAGTGATTATCTCACCTCAGCCTCCCGAGTAGCTGGGATTACAGGCACCTGCCACCACGTGTAATGCCCAACCCTGTTTTTACTAACCCTGTTCTTAGACTCTCCCTTTCCTTTAATCACCTAGCCTTGTTTCCACCTGAATTGACTCTCAGCTAAGAGAGCCAGACAGACTCCATCTTGGCTCTTTCACTGGCAGCCCCTTCCTCAAGGACTTAACTTGTGCAAGCTGACTCCCAGCACATCCAAGGATGCAACTAACTGATAAGATAGTGTGGTGATCAATATCCACAGTTCCCAGGAATTCATCCAATTGATAACGCCCAAAGCCCCGCGTCTATCACCTTGTAATAGTCTTAAAGCCCCTGCACCTGGAACTGTTTACTTTCCTGTAACCATTTATCCTTTTAACTTTTTTGTCTACTTTACTTCTGTAAAATTGTTTTAACTAGACCCCCCCTCCCCTTTCTAAACCAAAGTATAAAAGAAAATCTAGCCCCTTCTTTGGGGCCGAGAGAACTTTGAGCATTAGCTGTCTCTTGGCTGCCGGCTAAATAATCGGACTCTTAATTCGTCTCAAAGTGTGTCGTTTTCTCTAACTCACTCAGGTACAACACACGCACAGCTAATTTTTGTATTTTTAGTAGAGATGGGGTTTCACCATGTTGCAGACTGGTCTCAAACCCCTGACCTCAGGTGATCTGCCCGCTTTGGCCTCCCAAAGTGCTGGGATTACAGGCATGAGCCACCATGCCCAGCCTAATGTTTTATTTTTTGTAGAAACAGGGTCTTGCTATGTTGCCCAGGCTGGTCTTGAACTCCTGGGCTCAACCAATCCTCCAGCCTCAGCCTCCCAAAGTGCTGGGATTACAGGGTGAGCCACTGGCACCTGCCACACTCTTGAAGGAGTCATATCCTCGCTCCCATGGAGGGGGGACACCCCCATCCTCTATGTGTGAGGAGGAGTCCTCACTTCCCCGGGTGGGCCAGACTGCTTCGGGCCTCTCTTGGCACTGGGGGCCTCTTCTTGATGGTGACAGCCCCTCCAGCGGCCCGCACACCTGGCTGGGGGCACCTGGGCACACTCGCACCTAGCACGTCTGCACCATCTGCACCGAGACCCGGGCTAGGCCAGAGCTTCCTCTGTTCCCAGAAAAGCAGCCCCAAATTCAGCCCGGTGTAGCAAATAATTGGTCCATGATCTCCGACTATGAGCAGAGCGTGTTGTTACTCAAGCTGGGGCCATTGTGAATCTGGGCTCAAGATCAATTTGGCCCTGGGGGTGACATTTATATAAAGTCTTTGAGGCTGAGCCTCCAGGGCCATCAGAGGGCACAGGGCTGCCACTCTGCACTTACCTCTTGGATGGGATGTCCATTTTGTTCCCAGAGTGATCACCCAGGAGTTAAGGGTGGCGGGGGTCCTGCGGTCCAGCCTGTATGATGTTGCTGTCTCCACGGCAACCCAGCACGGAAGGGCCCCGCCAGCCCGCCCAGGACCTCCCCCGCAGGCCCCGCTGCTCCTCCATCCCCCTGCCTGTTCCCTGCCAGCCCTGCCCATAGCCCAGGCCCCAGTAAGGCTCCTCAGATTCCTCCTGTCCGCCCTGGGCCCACTCTGGGCTCCACTCACTGCCAGAGAGGCCTCTGTGAGGTCGTGATTATGCCACAAAACTTTGGGGAATTCCCCTATGCCCTAGGATGACATCCAAATCCTTTAACATGGCCACAAGGGCCCACGCTGCCCCGGCCACCCAGCAACCCCCTTTTCAGTCCCTATCTGAGAACCTTTCACCCCAAGGCTGCAGCGACTCCCACCTCCTCTCATTCCTGGGAGGCACCAAGCCACCTTTCCTTCCAGCCACCCACAGCTCTTTCTTTTGCCAAAAATGCTCCCTTCACCCTCATCCCTGGCCCTGACTTAACCTTTGGGTTTGACACCTCCTCCAGGGAGCGTTCCTTGACCTCTCAAGTCTTTGTTAGGATCCAGCCAACCCCTCTGCACTACCACAGTAGGCCAGACCAGCCTGTGTAGAAAGTATCTGTTGATTTCTTTCTTTCTTTCTTTTTTTTTTTTTGAGACAGAGTCTCACTCTGTCGCCCAGGCTGGAGTGCAATGGCGCTATCTCGGCTCACTGCAACCTCCACCTCCCAGGTTCAAGCAATTCTCTCCTCCCTCAGCCTCCCAAGTAGCTGAGACTACTACATGCGTGCGCCACCACACCTGGCTAATTTTCTGTATTTTAGTAGAGACGGGGTTTCACCATTTGCCCAGGGTGGTCTCAAACTCCTGAGCTCAAATGAGCCACCTGCCTTGGCCTCCCAAAGTGCTAGGATTACAGGCATGAGCTACTGTGCTCTGCTGTGTCGGTTGAATTCTATGATGTTACTATACTGTCACCCTCTGAGCCTAGAAATTCTGAACCCTCAGCTCCTTAAGCACCTAGTGCAGTGTCTGGCACAGTAACCTTCAAAAAAATTTTTGAACGAATAATAAAAGGAATCAGTGAACTGAATCTGCCACAAGTCATGTTAGCTGCTCAGTTTTTTTTCTTTTTTCTTATATTTTTTTTTTGTTGTTGTTGTTTTTTGAGACAGAGTCTTGCACTGTCGCCCGGGCTGGAGTGCAGTGGTGCAATCTTGGCTCACTGCAAGCTCCGCCTCCCAGGTTCAAGTGATTCTCCTGCCTCAGCCCCCTGAGTAGCTGGGATTACAGGAGCCCGCCACCACCCCCAGCTATTTTTTTTTATTTTTAGTAGAGACAAGGTTTCACTATGTTGGCCAGGCTGGTCTCGAACTCCTGACCTCGGGATCTGCCTGCCTCAGCCTCTCAAAGTGCTAGGATTACAGGTGTGAGCCACCA
This sequence comes from Homo sapiens, assembly GCF_000001405.40. NCBI lineage: Eukaryota > Metazoa > Chordata > Mammalia > Primates > Hominidae > Homo > Homo sapiens. The sequence continues at coordinate 102,067,523 of NC_000014.9, forward strand.
GGCCTGGCCTCACTTTTTTTTTCTTAGTAATGTTTGAAGTCAGGAAGTGTGAGTCTTACTACTTTGTCCTTTTTCAAGATTGGCTTTTCTGGGTTCCTTAACATTTTCTTTTCCTTTTTTTTTTTTTTTTTTGAGACAGAGTTTTACTCTGTCACCCAGGCTAGAGTGCAGTGGTGCGATCTCGGCTCACTGCAACCTGCACCTCCCAGGTTTAAGCAATTCCCCTGCCTCAGCCTCCTGAGTAGCTGGGATTACAGGTGCCCGCCACTGCACCCATCTAATTTTCGTATTTTTTAGTAGAGACAGGGTTTCACCATCTTGGCCAGGCTGGTCTCAAACTCCTGACCTCATGATCCACCTGCCTTGACCTCCCAAAGTGCTGTGATTACAGGCGTGAGCCACCATGCCTGCTTCATTTTCATATAAACTTTATAACCAGCTTGTCAGTTTCTGCACAAAAATGCCAGCTTTTTTTTTTTTTTTTTTTTTTTTTTTTTTTGAGATGGAGTCTTGCTCTGTCACCCAGGCTGGAGTGCAGTGGCGTGATCTCGGCTCACTGCAAGCTCTGCCTCCCGGGTTCACGCCATTCTCCTGCCTCAGCCTCCCGAGTAGCTGGGACTACAGGCGCCCGCCACCACACCCGGCTAATTTTTTGTATTTTTAGTAGAGACGGGGTTTCAGTGTGTTAGCCAGGATGGTCTCAATCTCCTGACCTCGTGATCCGCCCACCTTGGCCTCCCAAAGTGCTGGGAAATTGTTAATAGGGATTGGGTTGCATCTGTGGATCAGTTTGGGTGGTATTGCTTATCTCCACAACATTAAGCCTTCCGATCCATGAACATGGTATGTCTTTCCATTTTAGTTTGTCTTTAATTTCAACAATGTTTTGTAGTTTTCAATACACAGTATAAAAAGTCTTGCATTCCTTTTGTTAATTTTATTTATTTATTATTATTATTATTACTTTTTCTTTGAGACCCACTGTGTCACCCAGGCTGGACAGTGAGTAATCCTAGCTCACTGCAGCCTTGACCTCCTAAGTTCAAGCAATCCTCCCACCTTGGCCTCCCAAAGTGCTGGAATTACAGGCATGAGCAACCAAGCCTGACCTAATTTTATTTTTAAATCTTTTATTCTTTTTGGTGCTATTGCAAATAAAAATGTTTCTTTATTTTCAGATCACTCATTGTTAATGTATAAAAATACAATTGATATTTATATATTAATCTTGTATTTTTTTTTTTTTTTAGTAGAGACAGGGGTCTCACTATGTTACCCAGGTTGCTCTTGAACTCCTAGGCTCAAGTGATCCTCCCACCTTGGCCTCCCAAAGTGCTGGGATTACAGGTATGAGCCATCATGCTCGGCCAATCTTGTATCCTAAAATCTTGCTGAACTCATTAGTTCTATAGATTTGTGTGTTTGTAATCCTTAGGAGTTTTTATATACAAGATCATGTCATTTACAAATGCAGATACTTTTTACATTTTCCTGTCCAATCAGGATATCAGGATGTCTTTTCTTTTTCATGACTAATTGCCCCTGGTTAGAACCTCCAGTACAGTGTTAACTAGAAATGACAAAAATGAACATCTTGACTTGTCCTTGTTCACTCACTTAATCGTACATTTAATTATAGTACCAAGTGCCTTGAATATGTCTGAGTGCAGAGATGTAGTAGGGAAAATACTTATGGGTGAAATGGTACAATGAAATCTCAGAATTGCCTCAGAATGACTTGGAGAAAGAAAGAAGGGTGCATTGAGTGTGGATGGGTGGGAATGGCCATGGCCAGTTGGCTGGTTGTTGGGGATGGTGATGGTCACTAAGGTTTCATACTATTCTGTCTGCTTTTGTGTACTTTTTTTTTTTGAGACAGAGTGTTGCTCTGCTGCCCAGGCTGGAGTGCAGTGGCACGATCTCTGCTCACTGCAACCTCCATCTCCCAGGTTCAAGCGATTTTCCTGCCTCAGCCTCCCAAGTAGCTGGGATTACAGGCACCCGCCACCACACCCAGCTAATTTTGTATTTTTAGTAGAGACAGGGTTTCACCAGGTCGGCCAGGTTGGTCTCGACTCCCAACCTCAAGTGATTCGCCTGCCTTGGCCTCCCAAAATGCTAGGATTACAGGCATGAGCCACCATGCCCGGCAACAAGAGTTGTTTAAATGGCACTTATTTGTGGAAGACACCAAGCCAAATATCCCACACATCTGGATTTGTCCGCCTGCTTCCTCAGAGTGTCATTTAGCACGTCCCTTTATCCCCTTATTTCCTATTAACTCAAATTACCAAGATAGTCTCCTGTTTTGAGACATGTAGATATTTTCAAATTCCCCTGCTACAGGGTTGTGGAGAACATTCTTGTACCTTTCTCCCGGTGCAAGTGGAAAGACTTTCTCTAGCACGTACCAGGAAGTACTCAGGGTGAGTTCTCCCACTCCATCAGATGTGCCAAATTGCCCTCCAGATTAACTGTATTGATCTGTACCCCCATCAGGTCACATGAGAGACCCCATTTTCAGACCATAGCCAACATTTGGTACTGTCCTCCTTTAATTTCTGCCATTCCTGATGGGTGTAAAATGCATCTTCTTACACTCACTTTCCCTTTCATGACTTGCAGTGCGGTTGGGCATCTTCTCTTACGTGTGTTGCCCTTCCAGGCTAAGGAAGGAGACTGAGACAGCAGAAACCACAGGATTCAGGAACTGCTTAGAAATGGTACCAACTGGTTTTATTAAAAGGGAAAGTGTTTGGCCAGGAGCGGTAGCTCACGCCTGTAATCCCAGCACTTTGGGAGGCCAAGGCAGGCGGATCATGAGGTCAAGAGACGGAGACCATCCTGGCCAACATGGTGAAACCTCTAAAACTTCTACTAAAAATACAAAAACTAGCTGGGCGTGGTGGCGCACACCTGTAGTCCCAGCTACTTGGGAGGCTGAGGCAGGAGAATCTCTTGAACTTGGGAGGCGAAGATTGTAGTAAGGTGAGATCACACCACTGCACTCCAGCCTAGTGACAGAGAGACTCCACCTTAAAAAAAAAAAAAAAAAAAGGGAAATTGTTGCCAGCCGTGGTGGTGCGCACCTGGAATGCCAGCTACTCAGGAGACTGAGGCAGGAGGACTGCTTGAGCCCCAGAGTTTGAGTCCAGCCTGGGCAACATAATGAGGCCCTGTCTCAAAAAAAACCGCACAAAATAAGCAGGGGGTGGAGGGCAAAATAGCATACTTTTCTATATCCACCACAAATGCATTCAGATGTTAAATGTTTTATTGATTTTCATTCTAATGTGTTTTCTGTTATTTTTATTTTTTAGTAGAGATGGGGTTTTACCACATTGCTCGGGGCTGGTCTTAAACTCCTAACCTCAAATGATCCACCCACCTCAGCCTCCCAAAATGCTGAGATTACAGGTGTGAACCACTGCGCGCGGCCTGTTTCTTGTTTTTTGAATTTTTTTTTTTTTTGAGATAGAGTCTCACTCTGTCACCCAGGCTGGAGTGCAGTGGTGCGATCTTGGATCACTGCAACCTCCACCTCCCGGGTTCACACCATTCTCCTGCCTCAGCCTCCCAAGTAGCTGGAACTACAGGCGCCCACCACCATGCCTGGCCAATTTTTTGTATTTTTAGTAGAGATGGGGTTTCACCGTGTTAGCCAGGATGGTCTCGATCTCCTGACCTTGTGATCCACCCGCCTTGGTCTCCCAGAGTGCTGGGATTACAGGCGTGAGCCACCGCGCCCAGCCTGTTTTTTGAATTTTAACCTGGCATTAAAAAAACAAGAGTGCTTCTTTTTGGACTGCATTTCGAGTTCTGGAACTTTCATTGATCAAGTGTTGAGGCCTAAAACGCTTTCATAAGAAGATGATTGATGTTCCAAGCAAAAACGTACACTTGGCAGATAGCGTGTTCAGCTCACTTGCTCTGCACTAACATAATGGCATCTTTGTTCAGATTTTGGTGGTGCTATTAATACACCGTGACTCATTAAAAGCCCCACTTCCTGGAATGTTCTTCTCAGGGAGGTGATGTGACATTCCCTCCTATGGAGGAAGAATCTATAATCACACTTTCAAAGTCTTGAGCAGATCTTGAAGGCTTAGCAAAGGGAACAAAAGCTTCCTAAATTATACAGAATTATTTAAACAAATTGTCATCCCCACAGGAAGGGGGAAAACATCATTTGTACATACCACTTCTTCACTCAGGCCACAAATACGTATCAGGTGTTTGCCACATGCACCAATTTAGCAGTGAACACTCACGCCTTCCCTCCTGGGCTGACAGGCAGCAGAGAGACAGGAAGACTGACCTGAAACGAATGGTCATTTCCTTATAGTTGCATAATGCTACAAAGAAAGGTAGAAGACGCAAGGAGAGTGTATGCGGGGCTTATGTTATGTCAGGAAAATATTTTCTGAGACCAGATAATGGAAGGATTATCTGGGGCCAGATAGTGGAAGAGTGGAAGGATTTAGCCTGGTGTGGGGGGACATGGAGACCATCTCAGGCAATTGGTGGCTTACCGGGTACAGAGTTGTTGTTGGGGGAATGAAAAAGTTTTGGAAATAGTAATGATAGTTGCATAATGTTGTGAAGGTAGTTAATGCACTGGACTGTACACTTAAAAATGGTTTACAATGGTCAGTTTTATGTTACAGGCCGGGTGTGGTGGCTCACGCCCATAACCCCAGCACTTTGGGAGGCCAAGGTGGGCAGGACACGAGGTCAGAAGTTCGAGACCAGCCTGGCCAATATAGCAAAACCCTGTCTCCACTAAAAGTACAAAAATTAGCCGGGCGTGGTGGCAGGTGCCCATAATCCCAGCTACTTGGGAGGCTGAAGAAGGAGAATCACTTGAACCTGGGAGGCGGAGGTTACAGTGAGCCGAGGATCGCACCACTGCACTCCAGCCTGGGCGACAAAGCAAGACTCTGTATCAAAAAAAAAAAAAGTTACATATATTTTACCACAATAAAAAAAATACAAAAAAGCTGGGCGCGGTGGCTCACACCTGTAATCCCAGCACTTTAGGAGGCTGAAGTGGGTGGATCACGAGGTCAGGAGTTTGAGACCACCCTGGCCAACATGGTGAAACCCTGTCTACTAAAAATACAAAAATTAGCCGAGCAGGGTGGCTGGCGCCTGTAATCCCAGCTACTTGGGAGGCTGAGCCAGGAGAATCACTTGAACCTGGGAGGCAGAGGTTGCAGTGAGCTGAGATCACGCCATTGCACTCCAGCCTACGCAACAAGAGCAAAACTCTGTCTCAAAAAAAAAAAAAAAAAAAAAAAAAGAGAAAGAGAAATCATTCCAGGCAGAGGAGCTCTGTTGTCTGGTGTGTGAGGTCTTAGAAAGAGACGTCAGTTTTTTTTTTCTTTTTCTTTTTTCTTTTTTTTGAGACAGAGTCTTGCTCTATGCCCAGGCTGGAGTGCAGTGGTGTGATCTCGGCTCACTGCAACCTCCACCTCCCAGGTTCAAGTGATGCTCCTGCCTCAGCCTCCTGAGTAGCTGGGATTACAGGCACCTGCCACCATGCCCAGCTAACTTTTGTATTTTAGTAGAGATGGGGTTTCACCATGTTGGTCAGGCTGGTCTTGAACTCCTGACCTCAGGTGATCCACCCACCTCGGCCTCCCAAAGTGCTGGGATTACAGGCATGAGCCACTGCAGCGGTCTGTCAGTTTTGAGTTGCCCAGCGCTGAATCCCCCTCCTACATTCTGGGGACTCCCCAACCTCACGAGGCCAGATGGGAGGAAAAGGCCATGAAAAGACCAGACACCGGTTTTCCCAGCCTCTCTTGCAGCTAGGACACAGGCTAGGCTCAGCCAATCACATTTTGAATGGGGTGTTTAAATGGGGCAGCTGGTGTGGGGAAAAGCCAGGGTCCAGGGACAATCTATTTTGGAAGCGGGTAGGGGAAGATATAGTCTGTCTACCTCTTACTTGCTGTGTGACCACTCTGATCTTCAGTTTCCTCATCTATCAAAAGGAATTGATAAACGATACCTTCTTCGTAAGATTCTAGACTCAAATGAGACCTCATTAATGTAATTGTTGCAGCTGACTGGTGGGCACCTGTCGGTTCATAAAACAATTCCTGACCAGGTGCAGTGGCTCATGCCTGTAATCCCAGCACTTTGGGAGGCCGAGGTGGGTGGATCACCTGCCATGCTGGTCAGGAGTTCAAGACCAGCCTGGGCAACATGGAAAAACCCCATCTCTACTAAAAACACAAAAAATTAGCCAGGTGTGGTGGCAGTGCTTGTAATCCCAGCTACTTGGGAGTTTGAGGCAGGAGAATAACTTGAATCCCAGAGGCAGAGGTTGTAGTGAGCCAAGGTCACGCCACTGCACTCTAGCCAGGGCGACAGAGTGAGACTCTGTCTCCAAAAATAAATAAATAAATAAATAAACAAAACAAAATATACATAACATGAAGTTTACCATTTTAACCTTTTTTTTTTTTTGAGACAGTGTCTGGCTCTGTTGCCCAGGCTGGAGTGCAGTGGCGTGATCTCAGCTCATTGCAAGCTCCGCCTCCCAGGTTCACACCACTCTCCTGCCTCAGCCTCCTGCGTAGCTGGGACTACAGGCGCCTGCCACCACACTCAGCTAATTTTTTTGTACTTTTAGTAGAGACGGGGTTTCACCTTGTTAGCCAGGATGGTCTCGATCTCCTGACCTCGTGATCCGCCCGCCTCGGCCTCCCAAAGTGCTGGGATTACAGGTGTGAGCCACCGCACCCTGCCCATTTTAACCATTTTTAAGTCTGCAGTTCAGTGGTGGAGATATCCACATTATTGTACAAACATCATCACCATCCATCTTCAGAACTTTTTCATCTTCCCAAATGAAAACTGTTCCCATTAAATGCTAACTCTCCCTTCCCTCCTCCCCAAGCTTGGGCAACCAGCATTCTACTTCCTGTCTCTCTGAATTTGCCTACTCTAGGTACCTGAGGTAAGTGGAATCATACAGTGTGTGTCCTTCTGTGACTGGCTTATTTCACTTAGTACAATGTCTTTAAGGTTCATCCATGTCGTAGCATGTGTCAGAATTTTCTTCCTTTTTAAGCCTGAATAATATTCCATTGTATGCATAGACCACATTTTGTTTATCCGTTCATCTTGAGTAAATCCCAAGGAGTGGAATCCCTGGATCATGTGGCAATGCTATGTTTAACATTTTGAGGAACAGCCAGACTGTTTTCCAAAACAGTATCATTTTACATTCCTACCAGCAGTGTACCTATGAGGGTTCCAATTTTCCACATCCTTGCCAACATTTGTTATTATCTATCTGCTTCTATTTTGTATGTTTTGGAAATCTCCCAAATAAATAGTTTATAAAAAAGAGAAAATTAGCCAGGCGTGGTGAAGTACGCCTGTGGTCCTAGCTACTCAGGAGGCTGAGGCACAAGAGTTGCTTGAACCTGGAAGGTGGAGGTTGTGGTGAGCCAAGATGGTGCCACTGCACTCCAGCCTGGGTGACAGAACGAGACTCAGTCTCAAAAAAAAAAAAAAAAAAAAAAAAAAAAAAAAATTAGAAACTGTAAGTGAAAGTGTAAACTATGAAGTGCTTAGGTTAATTTGTTATTTGTTAGCATAGATTTGTGTGCCTGTCATGTGCCAGACACTGTTATGAGTATTTGGGATACAAACATAAGCAAAACACACACACATCTGTAGTCTTAAACTCAAGACTGGGCCTATCTGCTCCTCCAGAACCCCTTCCCTGGAAGCAGAGCTGAGCCTAGGACATCCATCCCACTCCCCAGGCCCTGCCCAGCTCTTGGGCATTTGGGAGGTGTCGGGGTGCAGGAGTAGAAGTCTGATGCCTGCACCGCAGCCCTGGCCTCCCTTAGCCCAGAGAGCCCTGCGTGTTCTCCACTTCCAGAGCTTGTTTTTCTTATCTATAAAATAAAGTGGGGCCGGGTGCAATGCCTCATACCTGTAATCCCAGAACTTTGGGAGGCTGAGGCAGGAGGATTGCTTGAGTCCAGGTGTTCAAGACCAGCCTGGGTAATACGATGAGACCCCACCCCCACCCCCCACCCCATCTCTACAAAAAATACAAAAATTAGTAATTAGCCGGGCATGGTGGCACGTGCCTGTAGTCTCAGCTGCTTGGGAGGCTGATTTGGGAGGATCGCTTGAGCCTGGAAGGTCAAGGCTGCGGTGAGCTGAGCTTGTACCACTGCACTCCAGCCCAGGCAACAGAGCCAGACCCTGTCTCAAATAATAAAATATAAAATAAAATAAGGCAGGTATGGTGGCTCACACCTGTAATCCCAGCACTTTGGGAGGTGGAGGTAGGCAGATCCCTTGAAGTCAAGAGTTCAAGACCAGCCTGGCCAATATGGTGAAACCCTGTCTCTACTAAAAATACAAAAATTAGCTGGGTGTGGTGGCACATGCTTGTAATCCCAGCTTCTTGGGAGGCTGAGGCGCGACGACTGCTTGCATCTGAGAGTCAGAGGTTGCAGTGAGCCAAGATTGTGCCACTGCACTCCAGCCTAGGCAACAGAACGAGACTCTGTCTCAAAAACAAAACAAAGCCGGGCGCGGTGGCTCATGCCTGTAATCCCAGCACTTTGGGAGGCCAAGGCGGGTGGATCACAAGGTCAGGAGATCGAGACCATCCTGGCTAACACGGTGAAACCCCGTCTCTACTAAAAATACAAAAAATTAGCCGGGTGTGGTGGTGGGCGCTTGTAGTCCCAGCTACTCAGGAGGTTGAGGCAGGAGAATGGCATGAACCCAGGAGACGGAACTTGCAGTGAGCCGAGATCGCACCACTGCACTCCAGCCTGGGCGACAGAGTGAGACTCTGTCTCAAATAAATAAATAAATAAATAAATAAATAAATAAATAAATAAATAAATAAAATATAATAAATAAAATGAAAGCTGGAATATGGGCCCACCTGGTATGAAGATGAGACAATTTCGGCCAGGCATGATGGCTTACACCTGTAATCCCAGCACTTTGGGAGGCCGAGGCAGGCAGATCATGAGGTCAGGAGATCAAGACCATCCTGGCTAACACGGTGAAACCCTGTCTCTACTAAAAATACAAAAAATTAGCCGGGTGTGGTGGCGGGAACCCGTAGTCCCAGCTACTCAGGAGGCTGAGGCAGGAGAATGGTGTGAACCCAGGAGGTGGAGCTTGCAGTGAGCTGAGATTGCGCCACTGCACTCCAGCCTGGGCGACAGAGCGAGACTCCGTCTCAAAAAAAAAAAAAAAAAAAAAAAAAAGATGAGACAATTTCGTGAAAGGAGAAGGAAAAGCGGACTTAGCCAGCTGCCTCAGTATTACCGGTATTAAGGACATTTTTCAAGGGGTGGGTACAGGCCCCACCGTTTTGAAGAGGCTTCTCATGGCAAACCACAGGCTACCAGGCCCATGGCTAATGTTCCAGGAACACACAATAATTTGTATCCCCCCTCAGACGGCTCACATGTCCCTTCCCAAGAGCAAGCATGCCCACTTCTCAAGCCTGGGAGTGTGCCCTTCCTTCAGCCAGGAAATCCACCTCCACTTCCCTCTTTTTGAATGAGGTCAGCTTTATTTATTTATATATTTCTTTCTTTAGACCATCTGAGCAGGCGTATTTATTTAATATTATTATTTTATTTAATAAAAAATAGAAACAGGGTCTCACTATGTTGCCCAGGCTGGAGTGCAGTGGCTAGTCACAGGCATGATCCCACTTCTGATCAACCTTGGAGTTTTGAGCTGTTCCATTTCTGACCTGGGTCTGTTCACCCCTCTTAGGCAACCTGGTGGTCCCCCACTCCCAGTAGGTCACTATATTGATGCTGAACTTAACATGGACTCTCGACTGCAGTACAACACTACAGCCCAGAACTCCGGGGCTCAAGAGATCCTCCTACTCAGCCTCCCAAGTGGCTGGAACTACAGGCGTGCTCCACTGCAGTCCCCTTTCTATCAGTCTGGATATCTCCTTCCCAGAGCTTCTCCGAACTCTGCCCCACCAGCAGAGCAAACCCCACCCTGCTCCGTGCCTAGCCCTTGGTTGGGGTATTCCTGGTAGCTGCTGTAGCTTAGTTCTGCCCTGCTGGCCTCCCCAAGTGGTGCCATCATCACTCGTGTGGCCCACTGCACTGTATTGGGCTGGCTTTTAGTAGGTATTCTTTTTTTTTTTTTTTGAGTTGGAGTCTCGTTCTGTCGCTCAGGCTGGAGTGCAGTGGTGCTATCTCAGCACACTGCAAGCTCTGCCTCCTGGGTTCGCGCCATTCTCCTGCTTCAGCCTCCCAAGTAGCTGGGACTACAGGCGCCCACCACCACGCCTGGCTAATTTTTTGTGTATTTTTTTTTAGTAGAGATGGGGTTTCAGTGTTAGCCAGGATGGTCTCGATCTCCTGACCTTGTGATCCGCCCCACCCCACCCCCCTCGGCCTCCCAAAGTGCTGAGATTACAGGCATGAGCCACCGGCCTTTAGTAGGTATTCAATAAAAACTTGAATCAGCAGGACGCAGTGGCTCACACCTGTAATCCCAGTGCTTTGGGAGGCCGAGGCAGGCATATCATGAAGTCAAGAGATCTAGACCATCCTGGCCAACATGGTGAAACTCTGTTTCTACTAAAAATACAAAATTAGCCGGGCGTGGTGGCGTGTGCCTGTAATCCCAGCTACTGGGGAGGCTGAGGCAGGAGAATTGCTTGAACCCAGGAGGTGGAGGTTGCAGTGAGCCAAGATCGCGCCACTGCACTCCAGCCTGGCGACAGAGCAAGACTCTGTCTCAAAAGAAAGGAAAAAAAAAAAAGCAAATATTGATCTTGATGAATCTATGCCTGGTAGGAATCACTAAAAGTTGAGAGGACTGAGAGATGGTGAGGACAGGGGTGGTGTAGGCCACTTCCTGAGGCGACGAGGCAGGCAGGGATTCTGCTCCAGAAGAGCCATGCATGTGGTGGAAGTGGCCTGGGTAAAGTGAGCTCTCAGGACAGGAGGAGAGGGTTAGCCCTAAGCAGATGAAAGAGTCCTGGCCAGGTGCGTGGCTCATGCCTGTAATTCCAGCACTTAAAGCTGGCCAAGGCGGGCAGATCACCTGAGGTCAGGAGTTCGAGACCAGGCTGGCCAACATGGTGAAACCCTGTCTACTAAAAATACAAAATTGGCCGGGCATGGTGGCGGGTGCCTGTAATCTCAGCTACTCGGGAGGCTGAAGCAGGAGAATCGCTTGAACCCGGGAGGTGGAGTTTGCAGTGAGCCTAGATCACGCCATTGCACTCCAGCCTGGGCAATAAAGTGAGACTTCGTCTCAAAAAAAAAAAAGAAAAAACATATATATATACACACACACAGCTGGCACCACCTGATCATTTTCCAGCACTTCCATTGCCCTCAAAAGTTCCTTCTTGCCTCTCTGCAGTCACTCCCTGCTCTGACTCCTGGCCCCAGGCAACTACTGCTTTTCTTTCATTTTTTTATCTTTATAGAGACAGGGTCTTGCTCTGTGTCCCAGGTTGGGGTGCAGTGGAATGATCATGGCTCACTGCAGCCTTAAACACCTGAGCTCATGCAATCCTCCCACCTCAGCCTCCCAAGTAGCTGGACTACAGGCATGTGCCACCATGATCAGCTATTTTAAATTTTTTTTTGGGACGGTGTATCCTTCTGTTGCCCAGTCTGAAGTGCAGTGGCGCAATCAGCTCACTGCAACCTACGCCTCCCGGGTTCAAGTGATTCTCCTGCCTCAACCTTCCGAATAGCAGAGATTACAGGTCCCTGCCGCCACGCCCAGCTAATTTTTGTATTTTTAGTTGAGATGGGGTTTTGCTATGTTGGCCAGGCTGGTCTGGAACTCCTGACCCTCAGGTGATCCACCCACCTTGGCCTCCCAAAGTGCCGGGATTACAAGCATGAGCCACACCTGGCCTTAATTTTTTCAGAGGGACAGGGTCTCACTTTGTTGCCTAGACAGTCTTGAACTCCTGGGCTCAAGCAATTCTACCTTTGCCTCCCAAAGTGTTGGGATTACAGGCGTGACTCACCATGCCTGGCTCAACTATCCTATGCTAAAATCATTTCTAGCATAATTTTGGTAGATTCCTTATGAGTTTCCTACCTAGACGACCATGTCATCTATAATTCTCTTGTCCAGTTTGCATGTCTTTTCAGCACTCACCACCCTCCCTGGCAGGATGGAACTTGATTATGGAAGGTTTGAAACAACAGTGAATTTTGAAGCAATAGGGTAAGAATTGTGGTCCTGGAGCAGTGCAAGGGCATTTTCAGCATGACATTCATGTGTCATCTAGCTCATCTTCTCACTCACTGGGCTGGGGATCCATCTTCTTGGTGGTACAGTCTCCAGCATGGGGGTTGCTGGGAGATGGGTACTTACCTGTGCATCTGGACCTATTTGCCATAAATGCTTTCCCAGTAACTCCAGGAGGATGAGTTCATTTGGGAGATCATTTATAGAGGTTCTATATTGACTTGATTCCCTCAAGTGCCTTATGTTTTTAATTGAAAGAAATCTTAAGATTTAATATTCTCTTGCTAGACCTGGGAAAAAACAAAATTGACTTTTTACCCTTTTTGCCATTCACTTCCTAGTTTAACACCGTAAACCTTTCTTCTAACACCTTTCAGTACGCAACAAAACTTAGCAGAATAAAATGGGGCTTTGGAGTTAAATTTAAATTCAGCCACTACTAAGACCTCAATTTACGTAATTCCTCCTGTATATTATCGAAGGGGATTAAGAACTTTTCAGAGAATTTAAAGGACTAAACGTGATTGCCATTTACCAAGCATTCAATACCTGCTTAGCACGAGACTGAGACAAGGTCTCTCCCTGCCTGTGCACTGCCCCCTTAGACACTGTCACATATCCAAGTCCCAGGCATTTCCTATCATTTTTATATATGGCGTTAGGCTCAGAATGCAAATCCTATATGCTATCTAACCAAGTTTTGTCTCTAGAACCACCAAATTTCAGAAGTGAAGACTTTTATTTAGCCATTACCACCCCCAGTCCCCAGAGGGACTCTTACCTATTGGGCTGATTTTTTCATCTTTTTTTTGAGATGGAGTTTCGCTCTTGCTGCTCAGGCTGCAGCGCAATGGTGCAATCCCAGCCCACCGCAACCTCCGCCTCCCAGGTTCAAGCGATTCTCCTGCCTCAGCCAGGATGGCTTTAAGTAGATTTGTAAAGAACTTTGAGACACTGTAAGGCCAAGGAATTAAGTGACTGTATTTAACACAGAAGGTATTCCATGAATAACATCAAAACAACGTGGACACTAAGAGAACACATGTAACTCATGGACGCAGGGGATGCATGTTGTCTGCATTCCTGTTTTCTGTGCCTACGTGTGCTCCACCCCACACCTGCTGAGTACATGCTGGGAAGACCATGTCAACCCTTGGAGCAGCTAGTGTTTAACCATCTCCTGCTAGCGCCTCATGTTTTACATTTTGGCACTAACTGTCATCCAGATACTCCCCTTTCCCCCTAAATAAGACACTGTCACACAATATCTTTTAACTCATCTGTATTTGTTACAACTTTAAGCAGAATGTGACTCGAGCACTACATTTCCATCCACAAGACTGGGTCTGAGTTATTTTTGAACAGCTTTACGATATGCTTAGGTAGGCTTTTAACTTTGCTCCTCCAAACAATACTTTTCTTTGGAAAACAAGCCCTGTGGAGAGATCCTTCCATCAAGTTGCTTCAGTTTAACCTATTTCTAGAGGACTAGTACATGCAGAATTGTCAACTACAGGGAATGAAAAGTTCAAAAAGTAGATCCTACAAGATGTAACGAATACTTTTCTAAACATCAAGATACAGCTCAGAACACTTCAATAACAAGATTTGGTCTACTTAGGCATCCGGCTTGACAGCTAAACACTTTAGACCACAAAGTTAACATCATGTTACATACGTCTTACAGTGCACGTTACCCCAATCTGTGAAAATAAACCAACATGAAACTCAAAAAGCATTACTAGCTCTGCTTTAGTGCCTAAGGTATCACAGCATCACTTAGTAGACAGAAATCTTATCTTCCCCTTAAAGTAGTTGTCATGCCATACAGACTTTTTAATATTAACAAAAATAAAGAAAAACATCCTTGAAAATATATTATCAGAGGAATTGTAGAGTACTGAACAGGTAAGTCATCCCTCAGCCAGAGATTAGTCTACTTCTTCCATGCGTGATGTGTCGTCATCTCCTTCAAGGGGTGGCATTTCTTCAGTTACAGCAGCACTGGTATCATCAGCAGTAGGGTCATCTTCATCAATACCTGTTTCCAAAATAAAATCCTCATATTACAAAGATTTCTTAAAGCCAGCTATTAGGGTAATACTCTTGGTTTCTATCTGCTTTCAAGACAGTATTACAGGACATATGAGTCTCAATTTCATTTCTTTGCTCTTGTAAGACCTTACTTATCCCTAAAAAAAACATACTTTAATACCTCCAAGCAGCAAGCAGGACAAGGTGCTCCAAGTTTGGATAACTGAAAGTTCACCATTTTCTTCAATGTCACGTGTGTTTATTTTCTTTTTAACATTACATAGTATAAGGCTTACCCAGACCAAGTTTGATCATCCTGTAGATCCTGTTAGCATGTGTCTGGGGATCTTCCAGACTGAAGCCAGAAGACAGGAGCGCAGTTTCATAAAGCAAGATGACCAGATCCTTCACAGACTTGTCGTTCTTATCAGCCTCTGCCTTTTGCCTTAAGGTCTCAATAATGGAATGGTCAGGGTTTATCTCCAGGTGTTTCTTTGCTGCCATGTAACCCATTGTTGAGTTGTCTCTTAGGGCTTGAGCTTTCATGATTCTCTCCATGTTTGCTGTCCAGCCATATGTGCTTGTGACAATACAGCATGGAGATGTCACCAATCGGTTTGACACAACCACCTGTAATCAAAAAGTGATGACTAGGAACCTAGAAAGATTAATTCCTAAACTTTCATTGTGAAATGAAATCTGTAGAACCCAAATTTCAATAGATCCAAAATACTATCTACTGTCAAATACAACTTAAATGTCGCATTAGGTATCCAAAGAGCACAGGTTATAATTTCATGTTTTACATGCACAATTTTTTTTTTGAGATAGAGTCTCGCTCCATCACCCAGGCTGGAGTGCAGTGGTGCGATCTTGGCTCACTGCAACCTCCGCCTCCTGGGTTCAGGCGATTCTCCTGCCTCAGCCTCCCAAGTGGCTAGGATTACAGGCCGTGCCACCACGCCTGGTTTATTTTTTTCTATTTTTAGTAGAGACTGAGTTTCACCGTGTTAGCCAGGATGGTCTCGATCTCCTGACCTTGTGATCCGCTGCCTCAGCCTCCCAAAGTGCTGGGATTGCAGGCGTGAGCCACCGCGCCCAGCCACACACAACATAGTTTTCTGTTTTAAGTTGAAAACATGCGAAAATGGGCTATGTATGACTAAGCTTGAAAGCACCTTAGAAGTATCAATGATCAGGAAATGCTGTATTCACATACCTTTTCAACTTTTTTCTCCAATATGTCTTTCATGATTTTGCAGAGGTTCTCAAACTTTGTTTTTTTCTCTTCCTGCTTCTTTTTCTCTTCTTCATCCTCTGGAAGTTCCAGGCCTTCTTTGGTGACTGACACTAAAGTCTTCCCCTCAAATTCCTTCAGCTGTTGGACACAGTACTCATCAATGGGCTCAATCATATAGATCACTTCTAAGCCATGTTTCCGAAGACGTTCCACAAAGGCTGAGTTAGCTACCTGGTCCTTGGTCTCACCTGAGGTATTACAAAGTTACTTTTAGACCTTTTAACAGTTAAGAATGGTTTCATCTAGCTCTGACTTTTCTTGCTAGCCAGATACCTAGGCAGAACCTAAGACAGAAAATGACCTAGTTCATGTTAATTATCTTGCCTAGATCAATACCAGTTGTAACAGTGCTACCTGAGTAGAAAACACACCCACAGAGCCTACAAGATTGTAAGAACGACGTGTATGACTGTAACATAGTGTTCTCTTACCTGTGATATAATAGATATGTTTCTGGTTCTCCTTCATTCTGGTGCAGTAGTCCTTGAGAGAAACCATCTCATCACCAGAGGCAGATGTGTAGTACCTTAACAGCTCTGAAAGCTTCTTCCGATTTTGAGAGTCTTCGTGTATTCCAAGCTGAAACAAAGTATGTTCTTTACAAAGACTTTCTGAATTAAAAAAAAAAAAAAAAAACTAAAGAGGCCAATTGGAAAACTAATGGTTATTTACACCAACCTTTATGTTTTTAGAGAACTGCTCATAGAATTTCTTGTAGTTCTCTTTATCTTCCGCCAGTTCAGTAAAGAGTTCTAAGCATTTTTTGACCAAATTCTTCCTGATAACTTTCAAAATTTTGCTTTGTTGCAACATCTCACGGGATATGTTTAGAGGGAGATCCTCCGAGTCTACCACCCCTCTAATGAAGTCTGAAAAAAATATAAACCAAATGCACTGAGTCATTCCAAGGACAAAACTGGTACTATGTAAACTCCCAAAATCAAAGATAACCTGAAGATGATGGGACGTATTTTTGAGACAGTCTCACTCTGTTGCCCAGGCTGGAGGGCAGTGGCGCAATCTCCACTCACTGCAACCTCTGCCTCCCGGGGGGGTTCAAGCTGTTTTCATGCCTCAGCCTGCCACTACATGGGGCTAATTTTTGTAATTTAGTAGAGATGGGGTTTCACCATGTTGCCCAGGCTGGTCTTGAACTCCTGACCTCAAGTGATCTGCCCACCCCGGCCTCCCAAAGTGCTAGGATTATAGGTGTGAGCCACCATGCCCACCCAGAAAGTACTTCTTTAATCAGTGACAGTGATTATTTTTCCTATCTATACTTACTCAGATATTCAGGGATTAGCTCCTCACAGTTATCCATGATGAAAACTCTGCGTACATACAATTTGATGTTGTTCTTTTTCTTTCTGTTTTCAAACAGATCAAAAGGAGCACGTCGTGGGACAAATAGAAGGGCTCTGAATTCCAACTGTCCTTCAACTGAAAAATGCTGTAATAAAACAGATACACTAAGTACCAATGAACAATGCATTATAGAAGATATTTGGGGTGGTGGAGAAAGATGATAATCTAAGGACAAGCTTGAAGCACCCATCAGTCACTCACCTTCACTGCCAAGTGATCTTCCCAGTCATTGGTCAAGCTCTTATAGAATTCTCCGTACTCCTCATTAGTAATATCGTCGGGATTTCTGGTCCAGATGGGCTTTGTTTTGTTGAGCTCTTCTTGATCGATGTACTTTTCCTTAATCTTCTTCTTCTTCTTCTTGTCACCATCCTTCTTTTCTTCTTCCTCATCAGAACCAACATCTTCAATTTCAGGTTTGTCTTCCGACTCTTTCTCTTCTTTTTCTTTTTCTTCTTCTTTGTCTTCCTTTTCTTCAGCCTCATCATCGCTTACTTCTTTATCACGTTCCTTCTCCACCTTCAAAAGAAAACACGAAATCACATCACTGCTGCACTCCAGAACTAAGCGACAGCGCTGCACCACTATTTTCAACCTAAGGCCCAAGTCTAAATTAGCCAACTTGAGAAGCACCCAGCTTTTCATCAATATTTGATACATCCACTTAATAGCCCGAGGAACTTTTACAGAGTTAGGTAGTAGAGCTTAGGTTCCCCAGGCTTCAGACTAGTTGAACAGATCTAGGGACTAAGGATGTAGTACAGTCACCCCAATCACCTACAGACAGAAATTCACTCTGCAATTACATAAAAACTTACAAAAAGAGTAATGGGATATCCAATAAACTGAGAATGTTTCTTCACAATCTCCTTTATTCTTCGTTCCTCCAAGTACTCAGTTTGGTCTTCTTTCAGGTGTAGGATAACTTTTGTTCCACGACCCATAGGTTCACCTGCAAGAGAAGAAAGAAAAATTGACTTAATACATTCAATTTAGTGCTCAACGCCATGCCTAACACCCTTATAACGTGTCTATAAAGCAAGGTTTGCCGTTACTACAGATGCAAAGGCCACCACAGCAGAACCTTTTGGGCAAGGTGCCTCGCCCAAAAGAACCGCCCACCAAGTCATGCCATTACACTAATTAAGTGCTCTAGCTTGTTCCTGATCGTTGGGCAAACACAAATTCTGTAAGCTTCACCGCATCCCCAGGGGTCCAAGGGTTGCAGCACCCCACCCTTCCACCGCTCACTTAACCAGTGAATGTTCAGGTGCCTACCTGTGTCTGTCCTCACTGTGAATGATCCCCCTGCTGAGGACTCCCAAGCGTACTGCTCATCATCGTTATGTTTGGTGATCACAGTTACTTTCTCAGCAACCAAATAAGCAGAATAAAAACCAACACCGAACTGGCCAATCATAGAGATATCTGCACCAGCCTGCAAAGCTTCCATGAACGCTTTGGTCCCAGACTTGGCGATAGTACCAAGGTTATTGATCAAGTCAGCCTTGGTCATTCCAATTCCAGTATCCACAATAGTGAGAGTTCGATCTTGTTTGTTCGGTATAAGGTTAATATGCAGCTCTTTCCCAGAGTCTAATTTACTGGGATCTGTCAAGCTTTCATACCGGATTTTGTCCAATGCCTGTTAACAAAAAATATTAATTTAAGCATACAGCACCCCCAAGAAGTTCACACTGAAACCAAAATCCGATTCTGGGTTAATAAGTGACTTACATCTGATGAATTTGAAATGAGCTCTCTCAGAAAGATCTCTTTGTTCGAGTAGAAAGTATTGATGATCAATGACATCAACTGGGCAATTTCTGCCTGAAAGGCGAACGTCTCAACCTCCTCCTCCTCCATCGGTTGGTCTTGGGTCTGGGTTTCCTCAGGCATCTGGAACGACACCGCGCCGGTTTAAAACCTTGCAGGACGTCTACAGAGGCAACACGAAATTCCATCGCGTTCTCCAAATATTTTTAAAGCCGAATTGGAGATTTGCGAAGTTTAAGTAAACCGAAAATAGAAGGGCGGCTGACAAAGGATGACCTCATTTCGGAGCGCGGCAACTACCACGAGCGTGTGCGCGCTTCCGGGAGGCCGCCGCAGGCCCGGGCCCAGTCCCCCGCCGCGGTCCCCAACGAACACCCCGGGTGCCCTCCCGCGCGGGCTGCGGCTCCGCCACGGCGGCCTCCTCCGCCTGCGCCCCCAGCGGGGCCGGGCGGGGGACCCCCGCGGCGGGGCCGCTCTGTTCGCGTGCGGCGCCAGCTCTGGCGCTGCTGCAGAGCCTCGGGGAGCCCGCGGCCGCCCGGCCCATTCCTGAAGCGGGGTGCGGAAACCGCAGCGGTCCCGAGGCCTCCGGAATAGAAAGCGCGGCCGCCCGGGAGCGCGGCCCTGGCTGCTTCAGGGATCTGGTCCGGCCCCCACAGCCTCCGCCCCGCGCCAGCCGCCCCCAGTCCCGGTCCCCAGTCCACCTCCACAGGCCCCCACAACCACCCGTCACCTTGGCTAAGTGACCGCACAGGACCAACGGCACAGCCACACCGGGACGCTGAAGCAACTGACGCGCCACCCCCGCGCCTGCCTTATATAGCGACGGGCCCGCCCAGCGCGCGGCGCTTTTTCCAGAAGCCTCCCGAACCTTCCGGAAGAACCCTCCCCAGCCGCCGCCGCGGCCGCGCGCCTACGCATGCGCCGTTGCCGCGGCACCCCGCCCCCGCGCCTTCCTGCGGGCGCGCGCAGGCCCTGCTCGTGGCCCGGCCCGGGCAACCTTCCCTCAATCGCCGCCGCGCGCCTCTCGCACGCCCCCGCGCCGGCCTCAATGCGCCTGCGCGGCCCGGAATTCTCGGGAAGGTCCGGGCGCCTTCTGGGGCCGCCCGCGCCCTCCGCCCTGCACCCCCACCTGCCGCGGGCGGGCGGAGGGCACGCCCGGGCGTGGGGGCCTTTGAAGTGAGGTGTAGTTGGTCACCCGGGCTGAGCGGAACGCGGGGCCGGGGTGGGAGGCGCGCCTGGAGGGAGGGTCGTGCGTGGACGGAGAGCGGCCCGGGTCTCACGCGCCCGGGAGACTTCCGGAGCCGTCGTCCTGACTGGCGCCGCGCCCGCTGCCAAAGAATCCAGCCGCAAGCGGCGCCGGGATCGCGGGGCTCTGCCCTCTGGGGGCTGTTAGCCTCAGGCTGCTGCGCACTGGGGAGGCTGTCCCGCGGCCTGCGCGCTCGGGGATTCTCCAGACCCACCGCTGGCTCGGGAGCGCTCCCTACTTTTGGGTTCCCCGAAAGCCATGTGCTTCATACTTAAGGGTCCCTTAGCTTGGGAATCGGGGACTTGGTGAACAAATTCATGCTTACCCAGCTACACCCGGCATGATTTTGAAAAGCCCATCGTTTTGCCGACCGATTTGCGGTCTCCAAATTAAGTATCTAACACTTTGGTGATTAACTTGCCCTAAAAGGTTTTTTTTTTTTTTTTTTTCTTTTTTTTTTTTTTGGACAGGCTCTCGCTTTGTCGCCCAGGCTGGGGTGCCGCGGCGGAATCTCGGCTCACTGCAGCCTCGACCCTCCCGGGCTCAGGTGATCCTCCCGCCTCAGCTTTCCCAGTAGCTGGGACGAGCGTGGGCAGAGGACCACAGGCGCGGACACCACACCTGTCTAGTTTTTGTATTTATTTGTAGAGTCGGGGTTTCACCATGTTGCCCAGGCTGGAAAAGCCAGTTTCTACATGGGAATTTTCGGATATTTTGGCCAAGGCCAGCTGTGGGAACCTTGGAGGCATTGGGGTTCCTTCGACCTGGCTTCCCTGCCTAGTCCATGTCCTCTTCCTCTTTGTCTCTGGCGCCTCCCATGATTGGGCCGCCTCCTGCCTAGACTCATAGCCAGGCCCTCGGAATAATCTGAAAGCTCCTTGCCGTGTAAAGAAACGATGGAACTACCTCCGCTTCCTGGTCTTTAGGGAAACGCAACTTGCTCAGGAGCAGGGGTTTTCAGACTGCGGCCTGGGACCCCCTTAAGAGCGTGTGAAATCAACATAAAGCGTCTTGCCTGGCATTACAAAGCGGGGGAAGTGGAAGGAAACTAGCAGCCACGTGGCGCGGGCCCCAGCGGTGGTGACCGGGTGTGTGCCTGGTCCTGTGGTAGCTGTTGCGCAGCCTGGGGGCGCGCCCCCGGCCCAGGCTTTCCTACAGCTGCAGCCTGGACTGGCGGGGAGGAATCCGGAAGCAGGAAGAGCGGTGAGCGGGTCGCTGAAGGGGCGCAAGGTCTTCCCTGGCGACTGCCGCCTTTGCCTGTTTCCTTCCTGTCACCACCAGCCACTGTCCCCGCTCTCCTCACTTGTAGGAACTTTTCCTACCGCAGTTTCTGCCATTGCCCAGGGGGTTTGAGATATAGAGGAGCCATCCAGGGCCCTAACTCTGACGTTCTTTTTTTTCTTTTCTTTTTTTTTTTTTTTTAGACAAAGTCTCACTCTTGGTCCCCCAGGCTCGAGGGCAATGGCACAATCTCTGCTCACTGCAACCTGCTCACTGCAACCTCTACCTCCTGGGTTCAAGCGATTCTCCTGCCTTAGCCTCCCGAGTAGCTGGGATTACAGGCACCCACCACTACGCCCGGCTAATTTTTGTATTTTTAGTAGAGACGGGGTTTCACCATGTTGGCCAGGCTGGTCTCGAACCCGTGACCTCAGGTGATCCGCCCGCCTCGGCCTCCCAAAGTGCTGGGATTACAGGCGTGAGCCACGGCGCCCGGCCAGCTCTGACATTCTTTGTCCTTTGTTTTGGGGACCTTCATTTACCCCCATTTCTCCAGTGAACCTGCTCCAAAGCCCCTCCCTGGGTCTGGGCATCACTGGGAACCACTGTTTCCCGTCAGGCCCCATCTTTAATGTCCCTTCTTCCTTCCACAACTTCTTGTCTTTCCAGCTCTCCCCCCTCGGTTAATAAACAGGACATTTTTGTCCTGTCTCCAGGTGACATTCCACAGTTACCCACCAGGTGCGAACTCTGTAATGGTTTCTACCATCAACACGCCAGCCCCTGGCTGTTCCTTCTCTCTTCTCAGACTCATGCCCCTCTCCCTGGCACATCACGGAGCTCTTGGAGGTGGGTCTTTGCCCCCAGGAAATCTTGTCCAGCACTCTCACTAATAGAACTTGTGTGCAGATGACTCACGGAAGAGCCCGGCCAGGACTCAGCTCCAGACCTGGATGCTGAGCCTCATGAGCTTCCCCCCTGTCTCCAGCCCTCTTTGAGGGCTCGTTAGCCAGGTCACTGACTATCCCACCTTAAAGAACCCCAAGCATCCCCACAACGGATCTGGCACTGAGTCCTGCCACTTCTGCCTCCTAAGTACCTCTTGAACCCAGCCACTTCCCTCCACCTTCATCCCCCGCTTCCACACAACCGTCAGCTCACCTGGAAGGCCTCCATAACCACCTAACTGCTCCCTGCATATGGTCTGGTCTGTCTCCAAACTGTAGCCAGGGTGAGCTTTGAGAACACAGACCTGGCCCTATCTATTCCCTCCTCCCCACCCTCTGCAAATTCTAGCTGACTTCCCATCCTTCTAGGAGGAAGACAGAGCTCTTTAGGCCTGTGAGGCCCTGCAGGTCGCTGCTGCCTCCCCATACAGCGCCAGTTCCCACTGTGCTCCTATTTCTGTGTCTGGCGCACTCCCCATGACTCGCCCCCACGAGGCTGTGCAAATGCTGTTCCCTCTGCCTGGAACACCATTCCCTCTGTTCTTCTCTAATTAATTTTTAATGGATCTTCTGCTCACACATTTTCTTAGGAACCCCACCTGCCTCCCACCAGGCCAGGTGTCCTGTCATGGAGAGGTTCTCAGAATGTGGTGCCCTCTCCTTCAGAGTACAGACCACATGTGCTCCTCTGCTTCCTCTAGCCCTCCAACCCCAAGTTCTTCCACTCCTGCTTCACCGCCTTTTCTGTCCAGCCTCCTCCTCTTCCTTCCTCAACAACATATTTCTTTTTTTTTTTTTGAGACGGAGTCTTGCTCTGTCGCCCAGGCTGGAGTGCAGTGGTGCGATCTTGGCTTGTTACAAGCTCCGCCTCCCGGGTTCACGCCATTCTCCTACTTCAGCCTCCCTAGTAGCTGGGACTACAGGCGCCCGCCACCACACCTGGCTAATTTTTTGTATTCTTTAAGTAGAGAGGGGGTTTCACCGTGTTAGCCAGGATGGTCTTGATCTCTTGACCTTGTGATCCGCCCGCCTTGGCCTCCCAAAGTGCTGGGATTAGAGGCGTGAGCCACAGTGCCTGGCCTCAACAACGTATTTCTAATAGATCACCAAGCCTTGCAGATTTAGCATCCTAAATATTTGTTGACCTCGTCCCACAGTGATGTTGCTGTTAGGGCAATCTGACCATTTTCCTCCTCTATTTGAAAGCTTTCAGTGTCCCTCAGTAAAGCTGGAGCATGGATTCTGGATCCAGGTGGCCTGGATTCAGATCTTAGCTCAGCCACTGCCTGTGTGACCCAGGGCAAGTCACTTACCCTTTCTATGCATCCAGTTCAGTATCTGTAGCATAGACATGAACATGTCTTCTTCATAGAGTGGTTATGAAGCTTAAATGAGCCACTTCTGGTTTTGGAGATGGCTCAGGTGATAGCCTACCCCATAGCAATTTATGCCCCCTCACTTGCTTGCCAGGCAGCAGGCTAGCTACTTTGCATGCAGTTTCTTAGTCCTCTCGACTCTGAAGTAGGTGTCTTTGGTCCCACTGTACAGTTGAGAACACTGAGGCTTAGGAGAGGTAAGTCCTTTACTCAGGGTCACCCAGAGCAAGGGCCTCCAGGGCAGTTACACCCAGGTCTGGCTCATGATTTTTGTTTTATCCTGATAAACAGTCTCAGCTGGGTGCAATGGCTCACACCTGTAATCCCAGCACTTTGGGAGGCTGAGGCAGACCAATCAATTGAGGTCAGAAGTTTGTGACCAGCCTGGACAACATGGTGAAACCCCATCTCTACAAAAAATACAAAAAAATTTAGCTGGGTGTGGCAGCACACACCTGTAGTCCCAGCTACTCGGGAGGCTGAGGCAGGACAATTGCTTGAACTCAGGAGGCAGAGGCTGCAGTGAGCCGAGATTGCACCACTGCACTCCAACCTGGGCAACAGAGTGAGACTGTCTCAAAAAAACAAACAAACAAAAAAAGAGACAGTCTCACTCTCTTGCCCAGGCTGGAGCACAGTGGCACAAACATGGTTCACTACACCATCAGCCTCCTGGGCGCAAGTGATCCTTCTGCCTCAGCCTCCTGAGGAGCTGGGACCACAGGCATGTGCCACCACACCCAGCTAAATTTTATTTTTTTTGTAGAGATGAGGTCTTGCCATATTACCCAGGCTGGTCTTGAACTCCTGGACTTAAGGAGTCCTCCCACTGTGGCCTCCCAAAGTGCTGGGATTACAGGTGTGAGCCACCACAACTGCCCTTGGCTCATTCATTTTGATACATTTTCTCATTTTCATTCAGCTCAAAATATTTTTAAAATTTCCTTTTATTTCTTGACTCATGGGTTATTTTTACATGTTTTACTTTTCAAATAGTTGGAGGTTTTTCAGATTTTTTTTGTTACTGATTTTTTTTTTTTTGAGACAGTCCCGCTCTGTCGCCCAGGCTGGAGTGCAGTGTCGCGTGCTCTTGGCTCACTGCAACCTCCGCCTCCTGGGTTCAAGCAATTCTCATGCCTCTGTCTCCCAAGTAGCTGGGATTACATGCATGCGTCACCACACCTGGCTGACTTTTTTGTATTTTTAGTAGAGATGGGCTTTCACCATGTTCACCAGGCTGGTCTCAAACTCCTGGCCTCAAGTGATGTGCCTGCCTCGGTGTCGCAAAATCCTGGGATTACAGGAGTGAGCCACCATGCTATTATTGATTTCTAATATTTAATTCCATTGTGGTCAGAGAACATACTTTGCATGATTTAAATCCTTTTAAATTTATTGGGCCTTGTTTAATGGCCCAGAATATGGTCTATTTTGTTTAAATGTTCTTTTTGAAAAATAATTATGCTGAGAAAGATGCCAGTCAGTCATTTATATAAAATTTTAGAAAATGCAAACTAATCTATAGTGACAAAAAGCAGATCACTGGTTGCCTGTAGGAGGTGGGGCAGACAGGGGCAGGAGGGAAGGATCACAGGGACCTGAGGAAACTTTTGGATGATGAATCTTCATTATTTTGATTGTAGTGATGGTTTCCTAGGTATATACATATGTTGAAATACATCAAATTGTACTTTAAACATGTGCAGTTTATTGTTGTTTTTATTTTTTTGAGACAGGGTCTGTCACTCAGGCTGGAGTGCAGTGGCAAAATCTCGGCTCACTGCAGCCTCTGCCTCCTCAGTTCAAGTAACTCTCATGCTTCAGCCACCTAAGTAGCTGGGACACGTGCGCCACCATGCCCAGCTAATTTTTGCTTTTTAATAGAGACATGGTTTCACCAAGTTGCCCAAGCTGGTCTTGAACTCCTGGCCTCACGTGATCCGCCTGCCTCGGCCTCCCAAAATGCTGGGGTTACGGGCGTGAACCACCGCGCCCAGCCAACAGCTGTTTTTAAATAATCAATGTTTAGCAAACCTTGTAGAAAGTTGAAGAAATGTTCAGGATCAACCTATAGTTATATAGGAAAATTAAGTGGTTCATACTTAGGAAAGAAAAATTGTAAATCAGTGTAGTGTGGGAAAAGTAAATTAAAAAATATATATATATATATTTAAAAAAAAAAAGGCCGGGTGCAGTGGCTCACGCCTGTAATCCCAGCACTTTCGGAGGCCAAGGCGGGCGGATCACAAGGTCAAGAGATTGAGACCATCCTGGCCAACATGGTGAAACGCTGTCTCTACTAAAAATACAAAAATTAGCTGGGCGTGGTGGCATATGCCTGTAATCCCAGCTACTCGGGAGGCTGAGGCAAGAGAACCGCTTAAACCCGAGAGCACACCACTGCACTCCAGCCTGGTGACAGAGCAAGACTCCGTCTCAAAAAAAAAAAAAAAAAAATTCTGTCATTTCTTGGAGACACAGTTTCCGAGAAAGATGGCATCAGTTAAAGCACGGGTCTGGAGCCAGATTGTGAATTCTGGTCCTGCCACTCGCTGGCTGTGTGACTGTGAGCAAGCTTCTCAGCCTCTCTGTGCTTTGGTCTAAATCTCTCTACAATAGGTGTGACCATAGAAGGGATGTGAAAGGGCCAGGCGAGGTAGCTGATGCCTTTACTCCCAGCATTTTGGGAGGCCGAGGCGAGTGGATCACCTGAGGTCAGGAGTTAGAGACCAGCCTGGCCAACGTGGTGAAACCCCAGCTCTACTAAAAATACAAAGAATTAGCCAGGCATGGTGGCATGCACCTGTAATCCCAGCTACTCAGGAGGCTGAGGCAGGAGAATCACTTGAACCTGAGGGGAGGAGGTTGCAGTGAGCCAAGATTGTGCCACGGCACTCCAGCCTGAGTCTTTTTTCTTTTTTCAAAAAAGAAAAAAGAAGGAAGGTGGGAGGACCCGGGAGCGGGTGCTGGCCATTGATGTTTCAGAGTCGACCCTAAAGTGGATTTCCACGGAGCAACCCAGTTTTTCCATTGAGTAACTATAAAATCGGGATGCTTCAGTACCAAAACTTCACCAAGCAAGTTTCAACCCATCCTTCAAAGGCCGGCTTGGGGTTGGTCACTTCTTGAATTCACCACATGCTGCCGCCGGGAAGCCGGCAAACTCGTTCCCCTCCCCTCCCACTGTTGGCAGCACTGAGTGCGGCTGAAAAAAAATGTCTGGCCACATTGATAAGCCAGAAATGGAGCCTTACTGTTCATTATTTGTCTGTTCACCATTCTGTTCATATCTGTTTACCAAAAGCCCATGTCCAGGCCCTGGGTCAAAGTGGGAGCAAAATTGGGTCCTGACCATTGTGGTCGAGGCAGGCATAAAGCCCCCACCACCTAAATATGTGGACTTAGAAACTCTTGAAGAGTGCTAGGATGGTGAGGGGCACCCCATGCACTGAGGAGGGCAGGTGCTGGCTGTGGGGAGGGAGTGTGGGGAAGGGCATGCAGGAGAGGGAGGGAACAGAGTTTGCAAGAGCCCTGAGGGTCTGCGGTGAAATATAGAAGGAATACTAGGAGTTAGCCAGGGAACAGTGAGAAGGCAAGAATTAAAAAGAAAATGGAGGCTGGAAAATTCCTTCAGTGCAGTGGGTAGGGGGACACGGAGCCCCTCTTGGGGCAGGGGTTGGCCACTGGAGCTGAAGTCAGAGGTAGGCAGGGGCCAAGGGACTGGAAACGTGGCCTGGAGATCATAGGAGGCATTGTGGCATCTTCCCAGGAGCTGCAGTCTGACCCGCATCCACTCTGACCGTGGTGTGTAGGAAGCACGCTTCCAATGAGACCTGAGGAGAGCCTGTCCCTGAAGAGTTGGTGGGTGTAGCAGGGGCAAACTTGGGAGAGGTCAGGGGAGCGAGTTAACAGGGTGAAGCACAGGAGCCCCAGAGGCTCCCGGGTGGGTGAGGCTGTGTTCACCAGGGGAACATAGGGCTCAGGCAGATGATGGCAGGTGACCCTTGCCAATGGTTCAGTGTCACCTTTGTTGGACCACAGTGTCTGCTGCGCATCCACGTGGATGGGCCTCCAATGAACAGGATGCTGGGAACATGAGCAGGAATGTGGTAGAAGGGATGTATTGAGAAGGAAGGCAATGGGACAGGCATGGATGGGCACAAAGACGGTTCCCAGGATGGCAGTCTCAGTAGGGCCAGAAAGCCTGGGATCTCAGAGGAAGAGAGGCCTGGGGGACAGGAGGCTGTGCCTGTGAGAGGGTCCAGTCCTGGGGGTGCTTGGGTGTGGGAGCACCTGTGGGAGAGGGGTGGCGGGACTCTTTCTTCCCTATCACCCCTCACCTGCAGGCCTCCCTAGCCTCCCTCCTGCGGAAGCCTCAGTCTGCATCCCCTGGCATCTGCTCTGAGTCAGGCAGGGGACAGATGTGCGTGAGCCCCTCTGAGTAAAGCACAAAGAACTGACAGAGCAGAGGCAGCTCCCTCAGGAACTTCTGTTCTAGTCGGGGAGGGACAGGCCAGAAACATACAAACAAGTGGGATGCCTTTGGGCATGCTCCTGTCTCCTAGCAGAACCAGGGGTCCTGGACACGAATTTGAACTCCTTCCCCAAAGTACTGCCATTTTCCCTTGAACTCACCTTCAAATCTTCTGAGTCATCTTTGACTCATCTCTTGCCTTCAGCCCCCACATTCTGACAGCTGACAAGTCTGGTGGATTTTTCCTTTAAAACGTTCTTTCTCTCTGTGCTTAGGGTCCTGCCCTGATCCAGGCCCTCAGGGCCCCACACCATTTCCACTTCCAGCTGGGTCTTGCTGGGTTTATCTATTCTACATTCCCGTTTTCATCTGCCCACTTCCCAGTGCAGAAAACCCCTGGGCTCCCAGGACACTGAGCCTGTAGTCCCTCTCTTGGTATTCAAATCCCAGGGCCTGGCTGACCCCACCTCTGCCTGCAACACACACCTTCCTTGGGAGGCCCCCTCCTGTGCCCATCTCCATGCCTGATCTTGGTGCTCTCAGACCTGGAATGCTGGGCACCCACATGTCACCAAGGCACCTCCAGCCCTGCCCACAACCCACCTGAGTTCCCCAAGGCAGCCTAATGGGGCACCATGGTCAGACCTGACCAGGGGACCTGGTAATTTAAGAACATGGCAGAGAAATAGATACGGAGAAAAGGGAGGTAGGGGTGGGGTGTGCACCAAGAATATGTGGCTGCATTGTTTTCTGGTTTTGTTCCAGCCTCACCTCCTCCGAGCTCACAGCAGCTCCATTCTCTCGCCCCTCCCTCCAGCCTCCAGGGGCAGCAGATCCTGCTAAGTGCACTCAGGGCCCCTCAGATTCAACATTACAGCATTCCTTTTCATTCACTCTGATTACTGCAGCAGCCCAAGGGTCTACGGTCTGCCCCCGATCATCTCTTCATGCTGGGTTGTTCTCCAAATGCACCTGGAACCTCTTGCGATGCCCTTCTCCAGGCAAATACGTGTCTGCCAAGCTTGGCTTGGAAATCACCTGCTCTGGCCAAATTCACTCTGGATGCCTCCTCCACAGCTCTTAGTCCCTGGTGTGAATTGAAATTAGACTCTGTCTTTCTCGTCTCAAGACGCAGCACATGGCACACAGCCATCTATGTGTGCTGAATGGATAACTGAATTGCTTTCCAGCGGGACCAAATGGGAACCCTTCGCCCAAAGGCCGTGATAAACCTTTGGCGCCACCCACTGGCCAGCTAATTGGTTGTATATGGGGCCTCCAGTTGGAAATGTCTTTGAAGTTTAGGAATTTCATTTTTTCGTTATTCCCTGTGTATGGGAGAATCAGGAAAGTGAGAATTATGTGACCTCCAGTATAGATCACCATCATTAATGTTTCACCCTGAAAAGTTCATGGCAAAGCTTCTAGCCTTTCATGGAGTGGGAATGAAACTGTGTAAGAGAAGAAAGCAATTTTTTTTTTTCTTGAGACACAGTCTCGCTCTGTCGCCCAGGCTGGAGTGCAGTGGAGTGATCTCAGCTCACTGCAACCTCCACCTCCTGGGTTCAAGTGATTCTCTGCCTCAGCCTCCCGAATAGCTGGGATTATAGGCGCCCACTACCACACCTTGCTAATTTTGTATTTTTAGTAGAGACGGGGTTTCTCCATGTTGGCCAGGCTGGTCTCAAACTCCTGACCTCAGATAAACCGCCCCCCTTGGCCTCCCAAAGTGCTGGGATTACAGGTATGAGCCACCGCGCCCAGCAAAAGCAATTTTTTTTAAAGAAGAAAGAATGGAGGGTTAAAAAAAAAAAAAAGGAAAATTTGAAGCAAGCTGAGTCTTAAGGTAGAGAGAGCCAGGGATTGTGGATTGTGGACAGCCCTCCCTGCTCCTCCCCAAAACCTCCCAGGATCTCCCTTACGACTATAGGGTGGTGGGTACAAAGTGGGGGTGGGTGCAGGCTGGCTCTCCCCTCCACTGCTGCTCCTGTTCTGGTCTTGGCCAATGCAAGAGCAGAGGCCTTTGAGTCCCCCCAAGGGCAACCTCTGGTTCAGCCAGTGGAAGAACAGGCCTAGCTGGTCCGTCCAGTGCCCAGAGGGCTTGTTTATCCTCAGATACCCCTCGAGGTGGGGTGGGTTAAAACTGAAACTAGAGGAGGAATGAGCAGATGTGATGTTCCTGCCTGGTAGGGGAGCTGATAGTTCCTTTGTCTACACTAGCCAGGGATCACCTGGCTGTCAGGAATTGCCTATGTGGCCAATTGACCAGGTAGTGGGTACCCTGATCAGGCCACCTTGTCACGAATGGGTTGTGAGTTTCAGTGCAGACTTCCTTATAGACTCTTGGGCTGGGCCTACCGGTCCTCTATAACCTGGTCCTGTCAGCTTCTGCCCTCATCTCCAAACCCTGCAATAAAAGGCCCTCCCACCCCAGCACCCGGCTAGTTCACACCTCTGCTCTCATGCTGTTCCTCTTCCCTGGAAAATGGCCACTCCTTTAGGAGACAGGTCAACATTATCCCTTCCGGATGCCTTCCCTCCCTGCCACCTCCAGGGAGAGGGAGTGTTGGCTTCTTTATTCCTCCTTGACTGACCTGGGGGCAAGTCTCTTCTCTTTAAGCCTCGGGTTTGTTTTTCTTTTTCTTTTTTTTTGTTTTTTTGAGACAGAGTCTCGCTCTGTCTCCCAAGCTGGAGTGCAGTGGCCTGATCTCGGCTCACTACAACCTCCGCCTCCCGGGTTCAAGCGATTCTCCTGCCTCAGCCTCCCGAGTAGCTGGGACTATAGGCGTCTGCCACCACGCCCGGCTAATTTTTGTATTTTTAGTAGAAATGGGGTTTCACCATATTGGCCAGGTTGGTCTCCAACTCCTGACCTTGTGATCTGCCCGCCTCAGCCTCTCAAAGTGCTGGGATTACAGGCTTAAGCCACTGCACCTGGCCTTTTTTTTTTTTTTTTTTTTTTTGTGACAAAGTCTATCTCTGTTGCCAGGCTGGAGTGCAGTGGTGTGATCTCAGCTCACCACAACCTCCGACTCCCTGGTTCAAGTGATTCTCCTGCCTCCGCCTCCTGAGTAGCTGGGATTACAGTCATGTGCCACCACACCCCGCTAATTTTTATATTTTTAGTAGAGACAGGGTTTCACCATGTTAGCCAGGATGGTCTCGATCTCCTGACTTCATGATCTGCCTGCCTTGGTCCCCCAAAGTGCTCTGTCGCCCAGGCTGGAGTGCAATGGCACGATCTTGGCTCACTGTAACCTCCGCCTCCGGGGTTCAAGTGATACAGTCCTTGAGCCGCTGCACCTGGCCAAGCTTCAGTTTTGTTGTCTGTAAAATGAGGAGTAGGGATGGGACAGTTGGACCAGGTGCCATTTCTATCTTAATGTAGTTCTAAACTCTTTCACTAGAGGACAGAAAAGCTAGGGTAGAAGTGGATTATTAAGTAGAGCTGAGCAAGAATGAGCTGAAACCTCCACACATTGCAAACACCCTGTACCTTCTCCAAAGTTAGAGCAAGCAAGCATTATGCAAATGTTTTATAAACTGATGTGTCCCAGTCCCAATTAATAAGTTGTGGCAAATCATAATGCTAAGTTCATACTTCGAGTGGCTAAGGGATATATAATAGCCAACTAAAAAAATTTCTAAGCTACTTCATAATGTATTATTCCAAGCAGCACTCCAAAGCATACAGCATGCTGCTTATAAATTGAAAACCTTTTCAACAATTTTGTATTTCACTTAAAAATGCAGGAGAGGCTGGGCACGGTGGCTCAAGCCTGTAATCCCAGCACTTTGGGAGGCCGAGGCATGCAGATCACCTGAGGTCAAGAGTTCGAGAGCAGCCTGACCAACATGGAGAAACCCCATCTCTACTAAAAACACAAAATTAGCCAGGTGCGGTGGCGCATGCCTGTAATCCCAGCTACTTGGGAGGCTGAGGCAGGAGAATCACTTGGATCTGGGAGGCAGAGGTTGTGGTGAGCCGAGAGCGCACCATTCACTCCAGCCTGGGCAACAAGAGCGGAACTCCGTCTCAAAAAGAAAAAAAATGCAGGAGAGAGAACTCCCTAACATTGCATTTCAGTCAACATTCAATCTTGTTCCCCACATTAAAACAGCTAGCTAATTAAATGTGACACGTGTGTTTAGGGCTGGTGAAGAACACTCTGCTTTACGAAGGCCAGTGGCTGATGTTCTTACTAAGTGAGAAGGTGGACGCTTCATGCTTGCTTCTGTTTCCCAAGTGTCAGCCCGTTAGTGCTACTGCCCAGCGGCGGGTTTCCTGATGTCCCTCCGTTCTCACAGGGACCCTGGGTTTCCTGTCATTAGTGGTATCTCTTCTAAATTCTGTTTTAAAATTCCAAAAATAAAATTATAATGTAGGCTGGGCATGGTGATTCACGTCTGTAATTCCAGCACTTTGGGAGGCCAAGTTGGGTGGAGAGCTTGAGTCCGGGAGTTCAAGACCAGCCTGGGTGATATAGGGAACTCTCATCTTTACAAAAAATACAAAAATTAGCCAGGCAGTGGTGGCATGCGCCTGTGGTCTCAGCTAACTGGGAGGCTGAGCAGGGAGGATAGCTTGACCCAGGGAGGCAGAGGCTGCAGTAAGCTGAGATTGTGCCACGGCACTCCAGCCTGGGTAGCAGAGCAAAACTCTGTCTCGAAAAAAAAAGAACTATAAATATTCAAAACAATTATTATGTAAAAATTTTCTCTTTAAAACCGAACAGCTGGTAAATCTCCCAGTGGTTTTTGAGGAAGGATAGCAGTGTTAGGAGCGTCAGGCTCACAGTGAATTCTCTCAGGGCTTGGTTCTGTCAGCTATTATTGGGCCACTGCAATGCAGCCTGGGCGACAGAGTGAGACCCTGTCTCAAAAAAACAAAATTTCCAGTCTGGTTTTTTTTTTTTTTTTTTTGAGATGGAGTTTCACTCCTGTTGCCCAGGCTGGAGTGCAATGGCACGATCTCAGCTCCCCACAACCTCCGCCTCCCGGGTTCAAGCGGTTCTCCTGCCTCAGCATCCCGAGTAGTTGGGATTACAGGCATGCACCATCATGCCCGCCTAATTTTGTATTTTTAGTAGAGACAGGGTTTCTCCATGTTGGTCAGGCTGGTCTCAAACTCCCAACCTCAGGTGATCTGCCCGCCTGGGCCTCCCAAACTGCTGGGATTACAGGCGTGAGCCACCATGCCCAGCTCTGATTTTAATTTGCATTTCTTTGATTAGTAATCCTATATTTTCATTATTTACTGGCCATGAGTTTAAATCCCTGCTCTGCTATCACTCTATGTGACTTTGGAGAGACTACTTGACTTCCATGTACTTCAATTTCCTCATCTGTGAAGTTCCTCTCTAAAGAAACTGACCAGCTTCAAAGACGTATAAACTCTGACATGGCGGGACGGGCTCTAATGAAATTCCTGTATCCTTACCCACAAATCACAAAGCTTCTAGTCAGTATTTTAGTACCTCCCATTCTTGTTCAATAAATTACCACGTGCTGGACACAGCCGGCTGGGGGCTGTGGCTCCAGAGATGCTTGAGGGAAGGTCAGTCACCAACTGTCCATCTCCTCCCAGCATTCAAAATTTGGTTCACTTCTCTCCCCTGCTGCTTTCTCCTCTCTCATTCTTTTGTCCTGTGGCTGCATGAGATACACACATATATAATGTTCACTGCCATATTAGCAGGGCTCCAGAAGGAACACAGATGAATGCAAATGTTCCACCCACTGTGTCTAACCAGAGGCCAGAGTGACGTTCTAAGGCACTGAGTGTGACTGTTCCTCCAATGCTCAGCCCCTTCCGTGGTTCACTGTGACTTTTGGGTCAAGCCCAAACTCCTCAGCATAGCCTGCCCAGGCCCCTCCAACACTCCCCCATCATCTCTTGCCACCACCACCCTCCTAGGGTTCAGTCACTCCAAACCCCACTGCCCGCTTCTTCACGCCCCTCCTGCCCACATTCCTCCCCACTTTTGCTTATGCTGTCCTCCGTGAGTGGGTGCTCAAGGCGCAGCTCACAAGCCACCTCTTCTGGGAGCCCAAGGGATTGGATTGTCTTTCTCTTTTCTCCCACAGCACTTTGTCATATATGCGCTATAGCCCTGTATTATGATGATTGTCACATGCACTCCAGGCAGGGACCTGGGACTCTCTTGGACATTGCCTGGGCCTGTAGTGGACCCTCAGTAGATGTCAATGCAGTGGATGGGTAGGCAGGGAATAAACAATAAAGAGAGTGACATTGTTTTAGCTTTCTGTGACTCCAACCACCGGTTGGTTGGATGGATGGTTAACATTAGCTAGAAATGTTTAGGATAGTAATTTTAAACCTTAGTCCACTTACCAGTAGCCTAAGCAATATAAATGGCTGCAGATCCTTGTAGAGGTGTTGCCCTGCACCTTGGCTCTGTCTGAAGGCCAGTGACGCGGTGACAGGGAATGCAGAGACGTGGAAGGGCTGTTTCCAGAGACAGAGTAGAGTGGTGGATCCAGACACCATCAGATGCCAGAGAAACACTTGGGCCTTTTCTTGGTACCAGTTAACAGGTGCCCTGCTGGGAACATAAACACAATCTTCTGGACTTCCAAACCAAACATAACAGAGATAGGGCGGCAGAGGATGAACTTGGACAGCCCCAAGCAGGCATGCCCTGGCTTCCTTAGACTTCCTCTGTGACTGTCAAATGGATTAAAATATGTGATATGTTCTCTTCCTGCAGGAAGTTCAACTTGGGAAATGGACCAGGGTCCCAGTAAGGAGCTGGGCTTCTCTGTGGATGCTGTATGGCCTGATCCCCCACTCCAGCAGTGCTTCTCTGGGTGGCCAGGTGCTCTTGGACTGGGCTAGAGGGCCTGCAGCAAAAACTAGAACTTAGTTGTTATTATTCCAGGCTCCATTCAGACTTATCCTAATGACTCAACCAACTGCAGGAGAGCTGCACTGAAGGGTCTGGAATTCTGGTTGGGTTTCAAAGTTAGTGGCTAAGGGGAAAATTGAATCCAGGGGAAGTGTCCCCCTTGAAAGCCCCTTAGGAAAGTAAGCTAAATGCATCAATGACACGAGTTCCCTGTTCCACACTCTGTATGAAGAAGAGGCTCTGCCACGCATACGACTTGTGAGAGTTTCTCATCAAATGGGAATAGTAATGTCTACTTCCTATGATTATTCTAGAGACTAACTTTAGATAAAATATGGGGAAATATAGTACATAATAAGCACTCAAGGCCGGGAGTGGTGGCTCACGCCTGTAATCCCAACACTTTGGAGGCCAAGGGGAGTGCATTGCTTAAGCCTAGGAGTTTGAGCCTAGCCTGGGCAACATAGTAAGACCCCCCAAAAAAGAAACAAAATAAAAAGAAGTGGGGGGCCAGGTGCAGTGACTCACACATGTAATCCCAGCACTTTGGGAGGCCGAGGTGGGCAGATGACCTGAGGTCAGGAGTTTGAGACTAGCCTGGCCAACATGGTAAAACTCCATCTCTACTGAAAATACAAAAAAATTAGCCAGGCATGGTGGCACATGCCTGTAATCCCACCTACTCAGGAGGCTGAGGCACAAGGATCACTTGAACCCAGGAGACAGAGGTTGCAGTGGGCCAAGATGGTGCCAATATACTCCAGCCTGGGCAGCAGAGCGAGACTCAGTCTCAAAAAAAAAAAAAAAAAAAAAAAAGCAGAAGTGGGAGTTGATTTTTTTTTTTTTTTTTTTCAGATAGGGTCTCGGTTCTAGTGCAGTGGCATGATCATGATTCACTGCAGCCTCAACCTGCTGGGCTTAAGCGAGTCTCCTACCTCCTACCTCTGCTTCTCGAGTAGCTGGGACTACAGCCGCACACTACCATGTCTGGCTAATTTTAAGAAAAATGTTTTGTAGAGGTCAGGTGCATTGGTTCATGCCATAATCCCAGCATTTTGGAAGGCTGAAGCAGATGGACTGCTTGAGTCCAGGAGTTTGAGATGAGCCTGGGCAACATGGTAAAACCCTATCTCGGCTGGGTGTGGTGGCTCATGCCTGTAATCCCAGTACGTTGGGAGGCCGAGGGGGGTGGATCACCTGAGGTCAGGAGTTCGAGACCAGTCTGGCCAACATGGTGAAACCCTGTCTCTACTAAAATACAAAAAATTAGCCGGGTATGGCAGTAGATGCCTGTAATCCCAGATACTTGGGAGGCAGAGGCAGAAGAATTGCTTGAACCTAGGAGGCAAAGGTTGCAGTGAGCCAAGATCGCACCATTGCACTCTAGCCTGGGCAACAAAAGCAAAACTCCGTCTCAAAACAAAAAAAAAAAAACAAAAACCCATCTCTACAAAAAAATATAAAAATTAGCCAGGTGTGGCGGTGTGCACCTGTGGTCTCAGCTAGTTGGGAGGCTGAGGGAGGAGAATTACTTGAACATGGGAGGTGGAGGTTGCAGTGAGCTGAGTTCGGATTACAGGAGGCGGAGGTTGCAGTGAGTTGAGACTGCACCACTGCACCCTGTCCTGGGTGACAGATTGAAATTCTGTCTCAAAAAAAAAAAAAAAGAAATTGTTAATGTGGGTTTGATACTTGGATGAATCTCATCAGCAGCCTTGTTCCAAACAACCTCTTAGGAGCCAATGATACTGATCATGAATGGAGTTGGTTTTTAAAAAAATTATAGATGTATAACAGTTCACATATTTTTGGGGTACATGTGATATATTTTTTTTGAGATGGAGTCTCATTCAGTCTGTTGCCCAGGCTGGAGTGCAACGGCAAGATCTTGGCTCACTGCAACCTCTGCCTCCTGGATGCAAGCGATTCTCCTGCCTCAGCCTCCCGAGTAGCTGGGATTACAGTCATGCGCCACCACGCCCGGCTAATTTTTTTTGTATTTTTAGTAGAGACAGGGTTTCACCATGTTGGCCAGGCTGGTCTCAAACTCCTGACCTCAAGTGATCCGCCTACCTTAGCCTCCCAAAGT
Source organism: Homo sapiens (assembly GCF_000001405.40). Taxonomy (NCBI): domain Eukaryota; kingdom Metazoa; phylum Chordata; class Mammalia; order Primates; family Hominidae; genus Homo; species Homo sapiens. Next base: position 102,104,478 of record NC_000014.9, read on the forward strand.
GCTGGGACTACAGGTGTGAGCCACTGCGCCCGGCCTACACGTGATATTTTGATGCATGTATGTAATGTGCAATGACCAAATCAGGGTAATTGGGATATCCATCTCCTTATTTTTCTTTGTGCTGAGAACACTACAGTTCCTGTCTTGTAACTATTTTGAGACATATAAATTATTAACTGATTTCTCTACTGTACTCTTGAATACCAGAACTTATTCCTTCTAACTGTATTTTTATACCCATTAACCAACTTCGACTCATCTTTCCCTCTCCTTTCCCTTTCCAGCCTCTGATAACCATCATTCTACTCTCTACCTCTTTTTTAGCTCTCACATATGAGTGAGAACATGTTGTATTTGTCTTCCTGTACCTGGCTTATTTCACTTAACATAATGACCTCCCATCTATCCATGTTGCCGCAAATGACAAGATTTCATTCTTGGCTTGGCGCAGTGGCTCACACCTGTAATCCCAGCACTTTGGGAGGCCAAGGTGGGCAGATCACGAGGTCAGGAAATCGAGACCATACTGCCTAACATGGTGAAACCTCATCTCTACTAAAAAAAAAAAAAAAAAAAAAAATTCAGCCGTGTGTGATGGCACGCCCCTGTAGTCCCAGCTACTCAGGAGGCTGAGGCAGGAGAATCGCTTGAACCCGGGAGGTGGAGATTGCAGTGAGTGAGAACGTGCCACTGCACTCCAGCCTGGGCGACAGAGTGAGAGTCTGTCTCAAAAAAAAAAAACAAAAAAAAAACCAAACTTCATTCAACAAACACTGATCTAGTTTACAATGTCCAGGCGCTTTGCTAGGGCTGGGGATTCAAAGAACACCCAGTTCCTCGTCCTGGGAGCTCACTGTTGGAAAGACAGATGCAAGAACATGTACTTGTATACCCTGATGTAAAATAGCCTCAGGGAGTTATGGGGGCACAGTGAGGACGAGAAAAGGCTTCCCAAAGGCAAATGGCGCCTGAACTGAGTAGTAAGGAACAACCTGGGTCAGAGTGGAAGAAGGCATGCCAGATGGAGGGGACCGTGTGTGCAAAGGCACAAAGGTGAGAATCAGCATGGTAGGTGCTAGCGGTGGCTAGAGCACAGCTGGTAGGCATGGAGCTATGCAGGAAGAGGGCTTGCAAGGGAGACAGGGCCTGCATCTGCAAGGTGTGGGCTTGCCTGCCAGTGGGGAGTGTGTTCTCTGTCCACAGGGAAGGTCATTCATTCTGAGATTTGTGTTTTAGGTAGATCTTCATGGCTGTGTTTGGATTTGAGGGTCACAAGTCTGGACACATGGAGACAATTAGAAAGCTTTTGAGACTGGGCATGGTGGCTAATGCCTGTAATCCCAGCACTTTGGGAGGGTGAGATAGGTAGATCACCTGAGGTCAGGAGTTCCAGACCAGCCTGGCCAACATGGTGAAACCCTGTCTCTACTAAAAATACAAAAATCAGCCGGGTGTGGTGGTATGCACATGCGCCTGTAATCCCAGCTGCTCGGGAGGCTGAGGCAGGAGAATTGCTTGAACCCATGAGGCTGAGGTTGCAGTGAGCCAAGATGGTGCCACTGCACTCTAGCCTGGGCGACAGAGTGAGACTCCATCTCAAAAAAAAAAAGCTGTTGAAACGGTTCAGGCAAAGGAGGAGAGAGTTCCGTGAAAGTAGGTGCCTGCAGTGTGGTTCATTTACGTTTACATTGTGTATTGGTAGAGCCTGGCTTTTCCAGTTCTTTGTTCAGAAACAGCTTTCTCAATCAATGGTTCTTGACCACTAAAAGCATCTGTCCACAAAACTATTCATTTACTCCTGGAAGTTTTTCACTATTTTCATAACAATGGATATCAAAATCCATTTTTTGATCAAAGTATTTTGTTAGCTTTTGACTTTCAGTGAGCAGGGAAGAGCCATCATTTAATCAAGAACCTTTTGTTCTGTCAGCTAATATCAAGTAGGGAGCTTCTTTAAAAAGAAATCCTGATTATGCAATCATGAATAATCATGATGAAGATGAAAAGAGGGAAGTAGTAATGGAAACCAGTGTGCCCGCCTGAGCTCCCTGTTGAGCTAATTTTTTTTTTTTTTTTTTTTTTTTTGAGACAGAGTCTCTCTCTGTCGCCCGGGCTGGAGTGCAGTGGCACAACTCAGCTCACTGCAACCTCCGCCTCCCAGGTTCAAGCGATTCTCCTCCCTCAGCCTCCCGAGTAGCTGAGATTACAGGCGCCTGCCACTACGCCCAGCTGAGTTTTGTATTTTTAGTAAAGATGGGGTTTCCCCATGTTGGCAAGGCTGGTCTTGAACTCCTGACCTCAGGTGATCTACCCACCTCGGCCTCCCAAAGTGCAAGGATTACAAGTGTGAGCCGCTGCGCCCACCCTGTTGAGCTAATGTTTTGAGAGGATGGGCAAAATATAGATGAAGGGAAGTATAATCAGAGATGGATCCTGAAGAATGACACAATCCTGAAAAATACTGTCAGGAGGACTGTGCTGTAATTTGCCAGAAATTCTAAGGAAAATAAAAAAGGTCTTTAAAGTTATTCTTAGGGCAAGAAGAACTAAGAAAGCATAGATCTACTGCTTAGGGGATGATATACAGTGATACTGAGAGAAGGCACAAATACTCAAACTTTATAGACAGAAGAACTGTTGTCAATGACAATAATTTCAACTAAGCCTATGGCCAGTTCCTCCTCATATCCTGAGCCCTTTAAGGAGGCGAGGGTGGGGAGTCTGGAAGCAGTAGTGCCCCAACCCTGGCCTGCCGCACATCCTAGAGATTCCTCTCACCACTTCCCTGTTAGAATCCCTGTTTCCTACATCTCATGCTTGCTTCTTTCTTGGTTTAGCCCGTTTTTTTTGGTTTGTTTGTTTTTTTGAGACGTAGTGTTGCTCTATTGCCAGGCTGGAGTGCAGTGGCATGATCTCGGCTCACTGCAACCTCTGCCTCCCGGGTTCAAGCAATTATCCTGCCTCAGCCTCCCAAGTAGCTGGGACTACAGGTGCACGCCACCATGCCTAGCTAATTTTTGAATTTTTAATAGCAATGGGGTTTCACCACGTTGGCCAGGATGGTCTCGATCTCTTGACCTCATGATCCACCTGCCTTGGCCTCCCAAAGTGCTGGGATTATAGGCATGAGCCACCACTCCTAGCCTAGCCCCTGGTTTTGCAGAAGCACATTTTCCACAAGCACAGAGGATATGTAGGGGATATGGCAAGTACTAGCAAGGATGCTGGTGGGTGTGACAGCTGGTGTGGCTGTTCTGGAGAGCCACCTAGCAGTTTCAGTCAAATGAAGAATGTGTGAACGCTCTGTCCCACCAATCCTGTTCCTGAGCACAGACCCAAGGGAAGTTCTGACAAGGATCCATAGGAGGGCACGTATGAAGATGCTCACTGTAATACTGTTTGTGTCTTTGTGTGTATAAAGGCTTCTGGTTTCTGTAATTGTATACCCTATCATTTCACTGAATTCTCTCTTAAATTTTTTTTTTTTTAGAATTGGGGCCTTGAAGCCCAGGTGCAATGGCTCACACCTGTAATACCAGCACTTTGGGACGCCAAAACACGAGCATTGCTTGAGACCATTTTGAGACCAACCTGGGCAACATGGCGAGGCCATGTCTCTACAAAAATTTTAGAAAATTAGCTAAGTGTGGTGGCATGTACCTGTGGACCCAGCTACTTGGGAGGCTGAGGTGGGAGGACTGCTTGAAACTGGGAGGTTGAGGCTGCAGTGAGCCATAATCATGACATTGCACTACAGCGTAAGCAACAGAGCGAGACCTTGTCTCCAAAAAAAAAAAAAAAAAAAAAAAATTGGGCCTCGTTCTGTTGCCCAGGCTGGACTTGGACTCCTGGACTCAAGCAATCCTCATACCTCAAGCTAGGACTACAGCCTTGTGCCATGGTGCCTAGCTTTGAATTCTTTTTTTAAAAATTGTTTTATTAATAGCAGTTTTTTAGTTGATTTTCTTGGGCCTTGTAAATATTGATCCTATCATTAACAAATAGTAAAACTTTTAACTTCTCTTTTCTAATTTTTACACATCTAACTTATAACTTTTTTTTTTTTTTTTTTTTTGAGATGGAGTCTTGCCCTTGTTGCCCATGCTGGAGTGCAATGGCGTGATCTTGGCTTACTGCAGCCTCAACCTCCTGGGTTTGAGCGATTCTCCTGCCTCAGCCTCTGGAGTTGCTGGGATTACAGGTGCCTGCCACCACACCCAGCTAATTTTTTGTATTTTTAGTAGAGACGGAGTTTCACCATGTTGGCCAGGTTGGTCTTGAACTCCTGACCTCATGATCCACCCACCTCGGCCTCCCAAAGTGCTGGGATTACAGGTGTGAGCCACTGAGCCCAGCCCCTCATTTGTAACTCTTATCTGATTGCTTTGGCTAATACTTTCAATACACTGTTGAACAGTAGTGGAGATAGTGGTCATTCTCTTCCTGACTTTAGCAGGGCTATGTGGATTGCATTTCATTTATTTTAATTTTTATTGGACAGCTGAATTTTTTAACTTTTTAAATTAAGGTATAATTTACATAAAGTGCTAAATCCTAAGTGTAATACTTGATACACTTTTACAGCCAACACCCAGCTCAAGATGCAGACTTTCCAGCACCCCAGAGGCTCCCTATGTTTCTTCCCTATCAATATCTCCCTCAAAGATAACCAACATTCTGACACCATTGATTAGTTTTGTCCATTTCTGAACTTCATACAGATGGAATTACACAATACGTACTCTCATGTCTGGCTATGTCCACTCAGCATTAGGTCTGTGGGATTCATCCATGTTGTATGTAACAGTAGTTCCAAGTTGAATATCCCTGATACGGTTTGGCTGTGTCCTCACCCAAATCTCATCTTGAATTGTAACTCCCACAATTCCTACATGTTGTGGGAGGGAGCTGGTGGGAGGTAACCGAATCATGGAGGTGGGTCTTTCCTGTGCTATTCTCATGATAGTGAATAAGGCTCACAAGATCTGATGGTTTTAAAAATGGGAGTTTCCCTGCACAAGCTCTCTCTTTGCCTGCTGCCATACATGTAAGACATGACTTGCTACTCCTTGCCTTCTGCCATGATTGTGAGGCTTCCCCAGCCATGTGGAACTGTAAGACCATTAAACCTATTTTTCTTCCCAGTCTTGGGTATGTCCTTACCAGCAGCATGAAAATGGACTAATACAGTAAATTGTTACCAGCAGAGTGGGGCACTGCTGAAAAGATAACCCAAAACTCTGGAAGCAACTTTGGAACTGGGTAATGATGAAAGGTTAGAACAGTTTGGAGGGCTCAGAAGAAGACAGGAAAATGTAGGAAAGTTTGGAACTTCCTAGAGACTTGTTGGATGGCTTTGACCAAAATGCCGATGATGATATGGACAATGAAATCCAGGCCGAAATGGTCTCAGATGGAGATGAGGAACTTGTTGGGAACTGGAGCAAAGGTGACTCGTTATTTTATTTTTTTTTGAGATGGAGTCCTGCTCTATCATTCAGGCTGGAGTGCAGTGGTGCAATATCAGTTCATTGCAAATTCCGCCTCCTGGGTTCAAGCGATTCTTCTGCCTCAGCCTCCTGAGTAGCTGGGACTACAGGTGCCTGCCACCACGCCTGGCTAATTTTTTGTATTTTTAGTAGAGACAGGGTTTCACCATATTGGCCAGGCTGGTCTCGAACTCCTGACCTTGTGATCCACCTGCCTTGGCCTCCCAAAGTGCTGGGATTACAGGTGTGAGCCACCGCACCCGGCTGACTCATGTTACGTTTTAGCAAAGAGACTGGTGGCATTCTGCTCCTGCCCTGCCCTAAAGATTTGTGGAAATTTGAACTTGAGAGAGATGATTTAGGGTACCTGGTGGAAGAAATTTCTAAGCCACAAAGCATTCAAGAGGTGGCTTGGGTGCTGTTAAAGGCATTCAGTTTTGTTTGTTTGTTTGTTTGTTTGTTTGTTTGTTTTTGAGAGAGTTTCACTCTGTTGCCCAGGCTGGAGTGCAATGGTGTAATCTCGACTCACTGCAACCTCTGCCTCCCGGGTTCAAGCAATTCTCCTGCCTCAGCCTCCCAAGCAGCTGGGATTACAGGCGCCCACCACCATGCCCGGATAATTTTTTTTTTTTTGAGACAGTCTTGCTCTGTGGCCCAGGCTGGGGTGCAGTGGCACGATCTTGGCTCACTGCAAGCTCCGCCTCCCGGGTTCACGCCATTCTCCTGCCTCAGCCTCCCGAGCAGCTCGGACTACAGGTGCCCCCCACCACGCCCGGCTAATTTTTTTCTATTTTTTAGTAGAGATGGGGTTTCACCGTGTTAGCCAGGATGGTCTCGATCTCCTGACCTCGTGATTCACCCGCTTCTGCCTCCCAAAGTGCTAGGATTACAGGCGTGAGCCACTGCGCCCAGCCCAATTTTTTGTATTTTCAGTAGAAATGGGGTTTTGCCACGTTGGCCAGGCTGGTCTCAAACTCCTTACCTCAGGTGATCCACCTGCCTCTGCCTCCCAAAGTGCTGGGATTACAGGCATGAGCCACTGCACCCAGCCAAAGTATTCTGTTTTATAAGGGAAGCAGAGCATAAAAGTTTGGAAAATTTGCAGCCTGGAAATGCACTAGAAAAGAAAATCCCATTTTCTGAGGAGAAATTCAAGCTGGCTGCAGAAATTTGCTTAAGTAACGAGGAGCTGAATGTTAATTTCCCAAGACAATGGGAAAAATGTCTCCTGGGCATATCAGAAGTCTTCACGGCAGCCCCTCCCATCACAGGCTTGGAGGCCTAGAAGGAAAAAATGGTTTTATGGGCCGGGCCCAGGGCCCCCTTGCTCTGTGCAGCCTAGAGACTTGGTGCCCTGAGTCCCAGCCACTCCAGCCATGGCTAAAAGGGGCCAAGGAACAGCTCATTGCTTCACAGGGTGCAAGCCCCAAGCCTTGGCAGTTTCCACATGGTACTGAGCCTGCAGGTGCATGGAAGTCAAGAATTGAGGTTTGGGAACCTCTGCCTAGATTTCCCTTTTCATGTTCCCTAGATACAATGGGGGTACAGGCATTGGGTAAATACACCCCTTCCAAATGGGAGAAACTGGCCCAAAACAAAGCATATCCTTTCACAGCTTCTTGAGAAGGGGCACAAAGAGGGTAAATTGAAACCCTGCATGTCCCACAATATCTTTATTCTAAACTCATACTTGAGTGATATATTGGTTTAGTTATAAGCTGGAATAAATACTTCCTCAGAATTTTGAAGCCATTTCTCAATTGTTCTCTTACATTCAATAAATTTTTACTGAGACTCTAGTACATGCCTGGCACTGCCTCTAGGCACTTGGGATCCATCAATGAACAACAGAGGCAAAGATACATCAAGATAGCATAAAAGAGCTTTTTTTCCTACTTGTGTTATGGTTTTCAGTGGTGGTGTTTACAAGTCAAGCTATTCTGATTACTGATCCCTTTTATATGACATTTCTTCTCTCTGGAAGCTTGTAGGATCTTTTCTATTCCAAGTGTTCTAAAATTTCAAAGTGATGTACCTTGGTATAGATCTATTTTTATCCATTCTGCTGGACACTTGGTGGGCTCATCCCCTCTGTAAACTCATGTTCTTCAGTTCTGGAAATTTTACTTGAAGATTTTGTGGATAATTTCCTCCTACAGTGTTTGGAGTTTGGACCTCTTAGATTCTCTAGGTGGTCTTCTATTATATGCTCTCTCTCTCTTTTTGAGACGGAGTCTCACTCTGTTCCCAGACTGGGGTGCACTGGCACGATCTTGGCTCACTGCAGCCTGTGCCTCCTGGGTTCAAGCAATTCTCCTGCCTCAGCCTCCTGAGCAGCTGGGATTACAGGTGCCCGCCACCACACCCAGCTAATTTTTGTTGTATTTTTAGTAGAGATGGGGTTTCACCATGTTGACCAGGATGGTCTTGATCTCTTGACCTTATGATCTGCCTGTCTCAGCCTCCCAAAGTGCTGGGGTTACGGGCGTGAGCCACCGTGCCTGGCTCTCCCTTTTTTTTTGTTTTAAAAGAGACAGGGTCTTGCTCTGTTGCCTAGCCTGGAGTGCAGTGGTGTGATCATAGTTCACTGTAATCTTGAACTCCTGGGCTCAAGAGATCCTCCCACCTCAGCTTCCTGAGTAGCTGGGACTGGAGGCACACACCACCATGTGCAGCTAAGTTTTAAATTTTTTTGTAGAGATGGAGGTCTCACTATGTTGCCCAAGCTGGTCTTGAGCTCTTGGCCTCAAGGCATCCTCCTGGCTTTACCTCTCAAAGTGCTGGGATTACAGGCGTGAGCCACTGTGCCCAGTTGATTTCAACTTTCTCTTCCAACCCTTCTAGCATTTTAATTTCTGCTGTTAAGTTTTTAATATTCAAGAGGTTTTTTATTTTCCTAAGTTTTTTACAAGAATGCAGACCGTTCTTATTTCATAGATGCAATATCTATTTAAACTACTAATATTAGCACTTGTTGTAAATTCGCATCTCCCTGTACAGCCTGTTTTCTTCAATATTATTTTTTCTGTTCATTTGTGTCATTTGTTTTGTTTGTATTTATTTATTTATTTTTTTGAGATGGAGTCTCACTCTGTTGCCCAGGCTGGAGTGCAGTAGTGCGATCTTGGTTCACTGCGACCTCTGCCTCCCGGGTTCAAGCGATTCTCCTGCCTCAATCTCCCAAGTAGCTGGGACTACAGGTGCCTGCCACCACACCTGGCTAATTCTTGTATTTTTAGTAGAGACACGGTTTCACCATGTTGGCCAGGCTGGTCTCGAACTCCTGACCTCAGGCAATCTGCCCGCCTTGGCCTCCCAAAGTACTGGGATTACAGGTGTGAGCCACCGCGCCCGGCTTGCTTGCTTGCTTGCTTTCTCTCTCTCTCTCTCTTTCTTTCTTTAATTAATTTATTTATTTTTGAGACAGAGTCTCACTACGTCACCCAGGCTGGAGTGAAGTATAGAGTGCAATGTTGTGATCTTGGCTTGCTGTAACCTCCGCCTCCCAGGTTCAAGCAATTCTCCTGCCTCAGCCTCCCGAGTAGCTGGGATTACAGGTGTGGTATGCCCCACCATGCCTGGCTAATTTTTGTATTTTTAGTGGAGACGGGATTTCACCATGTTGGCTAGGCTGGAACTCCTGACCTCAAGTGATCTGCCTGCTTTGGCCTCCCAGAGTGCTGGGATACAAGCGTGAGCCACCGCACCAGGCATACTCATTTATTTTATTTTTTTATTTTTATTTATTTATTTGTTTATTTTGAGACGGAGTCTCGCTCTGTCGCCCAGGCTGGAGTACAGTGGCATGATCTTGACTCACTGCAAGCTCTGGCTCCCAGGTTCACGCCATTCTCCTGCCTCAGCCTCTGGAATAGCTGGGACTACAAGCGCCTGCCACCATGCCCCGCTAATTTTTTCTATTTTTAGTTGAGACGAGGTTTCACCATGTTAGCCAGGATGGTCTCGATCTCCTGACCTCGTGATCTGCCCACCTTGGCCTCCCAAAGTGCAGGGATTACAGGCGTGAGCCACTGCACCCCGCCCCCATTTATTTTATTTATTTATTTTTTGTTACAGAGTCTCACTCTGTCATGCAGAGTCATGATCTCATGTCTCCCAGGCTCAAGAGTCTCATGCCTCAGTCATCCGAGTAGCTGGGACTACAGGCGTGCGCTAGCACACTGGGCTAATTTTTATATTTTTAGTAGAGATGGGGTTCACCATGTTGCATAGGCTGGTCTTGAACTCCTGACCTCAAGTGATCCGCCCACCTCGGCCTCCCAAAGTGCTGAGATTGCTGGGATTACAGGTGTGAGCCACTGCACCTGGCCATGTCATTTATTTTGATCTCTAAGTCACGTTTAGAGGCTTTTCTCAGATGTATGATAATCCTTGGATGTCTGCTTATGACTAAGAGTAGAGGACTAAAAAGCCATTTGGAAGATCTGAGCACATGGTTTACAGGATTTTTAGACTTTGAGATTCACTGCAGGGTATTCTACATGGGCAATTTGTTGGGAAACCTCTTAAACCTATATCCTGGGGATTGTCAGATTCTCCAGAAAAGAGTCTTCTAAAATTTCTGCATGGAGAGTAAAGATTTGGGTGCCAGTGTTTTGAAAGCCCAGTGGAGAGAAAAGGCAGGGGATTATTCCAGCATTCAGTAATCACACACTCACGTAATCCCCATTTTCAAGAGACTACTCTTGCCTTAATTTGGCCTAGTATTCCCTGTATAGAAATTCTTTGTTTTAGGCCGGACCCGGTTGCTGACTGTAATCCCGGCACTTTGGGAGGCTGAGGCGGGCAGATCGCCTGAGGTCAGGAGTTTGGGACCAGCCTGGCCAACATGTTGGAACCTCATCTCTACTAGAACTAAAAAAATTGGCCAGGCATGGTGGCTCACGCCTGTAATCCCAGCACTTTGGGAGGCTGAAGTGGGTGGATCATGAGGTCAGGGGATTTAGACCATCCTGGCTAACACGGTGAAACCCCGTCTCTACTAAAAATACAACAACAACAACAAAATTAGCTGGGTGTAGTGGCGGGCGCCTGTAGTCCCACCTGCTACTCGGGAAGCTGAGGCAGGAGAATGGCGTGAACCCAGAGGGCAGAGCTTGCAGTGAGCCGAGATGGCGCCACTGCACTCCAGCCTGGGCCACAGAGCAAGAAAAAAAAAAAAATTAGCTGGGTGTGGTGGTGCATGCCTGTAGCCCCAGCTACTAGGGAGGCTGAGACAAGAGGATCCCTTGAACCCGGGAGGTAGAGTGAGCCAAAATCATACCACTGTATTCCAGTCTGGGTGACAGAGCAAGATTCCATCTCATAAAACAAACAAACAAACAAACAAACAAAACAACTCTGTGTTTTACTTTTACAAAAAATAAACCTTAGACTTCTGCTAGGATGGGAGAAGGAATCTAGGAATCTAGATTTGCAAGGATTTATGTAAGATAAACTCCAAGAAGTGAGATTGCTGGATTGAAGAGTACGTACATTTTAGATTTTGATTAGTTATTGCCAAATTGTTCTCTGTTGCGCTTGTAACAGTTTTACACCAACAGCAATAATATGCATATTTGTTTCCTAATACCTTGTAAACAGTTATCAAACTTTTTGACTGTGAAAATATTTAGCCAGGTACAGTGGTTCACGCCTGTAATCCCAGTACTGTGGCAGGCTGAGGTGGGATCAGTTGAGCCCAGGAGGTCAAGGCTGCAGTGAGCCATGATTGTGACCCTCCACTCCAGCCTGGGTGACAGAGCAAGACCCTGTCTTAAAAAGAAAAAAAAGAAAAATTTATCTGATTCTAAAAAAAATTTTTTAGAGATGGGGTCTCCCTATGTTGTCTAGGCTAGCCTAGAACTTCTGGGCTCAACTGAAGCTCCTGCCTCAGCCTCCTGAGTGGGTGGGATATAGGCACCTGCCACTGAGCCCAGCTTAACTGTTATTTTAATTTGTATTTTTCTTAAGTTTAAGACCGAGCATCTTTTTTTTTTTTTTGAGATGGAGTCTTGCTCTGTCGCCCAGGCTAGAGTGCAGTGGTGCCATCTCGTCTCACTGCAAGCTCTGCCTCCCGGGTTCACACCATTCTCCTGCCTCAGCCTCCTAAGTAGTTGAGACTACAGGTGCCCGCCACCACGCCCAACTAATTTTTTTTGTATTTTTAGTAGAGACAGGGTTTCAACGTGTTAGCCAGGATGGTCTCGATCTCCTGACCTCGTGATCCACCAACCTTGGCCTCCCAAAGTGCTGGGATTAGAGGCATGAGCCACTGTGCCCGGCCAAGACCGAGCATCTTTTAATGGTGGAGAGAGTTGTGTTTCTGTTTTGTTCCTGTTTGCTCAGATCCTTTGTCCATTAGATTTTTAGCCTTTCTTTTATTGATTTCTAGGAGTCCTTTATTCTTTTTCCAGTTTGTTGTTTGTTGATCTTGCTTATCATGGCAGTGGCCACTGCACCAGCCACAGCGGGGAGGTGCAAGCAGTGGCGGCAGGGGCAGCTGCGGGAGCAGGAATGGTGGCAGTGGGTCCCCTGTGCTCCACGTTCCCGAGGCAGGTGACTGTGCTGCCCCCACCCTTGCATGGTCAGGTGAGACCTGTTCCCAGGCCTGGAGCCTCTGCTGCTCTGGACCCTGGCCCCGTGTCACCACTCTAGCCTACTGCCACTGCGGAGAGGGCATGGGGAGGAGGTAGAGCTGTGCCTGGGGCAGTTCCATGAACCACAGAGCCAGCAGGAGCCAGGGACAAGCTGGACCCTCCCCAACACTCCCTGCCCTCCACAGAACCCACCACCCTGGGCGCTGCCACAATGGGGCTGGGCACAGAGAAGCAGTTGGGCATGGGGTGGGCAGGCAGAAAGGGGCCCATTGAGGACCTGGAGCCCCTGCCCCAGGCTGCCTGCAAGCTCCATGCAGTGGTGGGAGCCCCACCCTCCCAGGTGTAGGATCTGGGCATCTCTGCACTCTGTGCCCTCAGGGCACAGGCTTGGGGGTGTCTGCTTCTGCTGCCTGGCCTCTCCCCACTCCTGGCACCCACTCCGATCTCAGAGTGGCATGGGGGTTGAGCCTGGGCGCTGTCCCAGCCTGGCTGGGTGTGCACCCGCTCAGTGCAGCACTAACATGTCAACCTCCCTCTTTGGACTTTTGGTAATGAGGAGCATGGGAGAGACGCCAAGGGGGGTGCTAAGGGCAGCTCGGCACTGGCCTGCAGGCACCCCTCAGCAGGAACAGCCTGGGTGCCGTGAAAAGTTGTAGGAAGTAGACCGGCTCCAGGGTGGAAAGGGGTGGGTCCCCAGTGAAGCACCACCTTCAGGCCAGGGAGGGCCTGAAGGCTGGGGGCCAGGTTGCCAGTCCCATGGACTGGAGTGGGAATTTGTGGTGCCTTTTCCAGGCCCACTTATGGCCACCCATGGACCAATCAGTGTGCACTTCCTCCCCTCTGAGGCCCATAAAAGCCCAGGACTCAGCCAGAGCAGAGCTGAAGACAGGATGACCAGCTGCAGAGATGAGCTACCCTCCACGCTAGGAGCTAAACACTCCTCGGGATGACCTGCTTAGCAGAGAGGAGCTACCCTCTTTGCTAGGAGCTGAACACCCCCCAGCTGCAGAAAGGAGCTACCTCCTCCAGGTCTCCTCGGGGCGGTTCTACCACTCAATAAAGCTCCTCTTCATCTTGCTCACCCTTCACTTGTCTGCATACCTCATTCTTCTTGTTCACAGGACAAAAACTCAGGACCCACCGAATGGCGAAACTAAAAGAACTGTAACACAAACAGGGTTAAAACATGCCCACTGCTCACCACGTTGCGGGCGAAGAGAAGGAGAGAAGAGCTGTGGCCCTTTGGGAAGCCCAGACCTGGGAGACCTGGGAGCTCCCTGAGCCAGGGTTTTGAGTCTCTCTTTGGGGCCCTGCAGTTCCTGGTGTCTCCAAGCTTCTAGGCACCACTGCATTCCCCAGTGCCAGCTGGGGAAGCTGCTTGCGATGTCCCTGGTCCAGCTGCAGCCTTGTAGAGAGCCATTGCCTGTGCTGGCACCTGGAGCTGCCTGCTCCATGGCAGCAGCTGGCATGTCTGACTGCACAGTGGCTGGACTCCACGCTCGTTCATACACCCCTCACTGCTCCATGCCTGACTTACAGACTCCCCTGGAGGCATAGGATCCAGGCTGGTAGCATGAGCCAAGCACAGCCTGCCAGGCTGAATGGGCAGAATGAGCCCAGTGAGCCCAAGCAAAATTCAGACAAGGGTGCCACCAGCCACAGAGGTTTCTAGCCAGAAAAATGATAACCCCTAAGGTCCTGCAACACTTATAGTGGTTTATCAGATAAAAAACCACTTTTTAATGTGATCACGATTTATTTTATGGCTTTCAAATTTTGTGTCATATTAGAAAGAATGTCCATACTCTGAGATTAAAAATGTCTCCCCTTCATTACTTCTATTACTTATTTTTTTTTTTAATTGAGATGGGGTCTATGTTGCCCAGTCTGGTCTTGGACTCCTGGATTCAAGCGATCTGCCCACCTCAGCCTCCCAAAGTGCAGGGATTATAGGTGTGAGCCACCATGCCCGGTCACTTTTTGTTTTTTATATTTTAATCTTTCATCCACTTTCCTAGATGATTACCCAGCAATCCTAATCCTATTTATTGAACATTCATCTTTTACCTACAGATTTTAAATAATATTAATAACATTTTAAAAATCACATACAAAATTCTTAGGTGTATTTGAGTTTGTTTCTGGATTTCTCATTCTGTTCTATACATGCCTGTGCAACAACTACATGTTTTGTTATATATTTTAATATTTGACAGAGCTGATTCCCCTGCCTACCCCTCCCCATACATTCTTTTTAGAATTCCTCTGACTCTTCTTGCTTTTCCTTCCTTTTTTTTTTTTTTTTTGAGACAAAGTCTCATTTCTATCATTCCGGCTGGAGTGTAGTGGTGCAATCTCGGCTCACTGCAACCTCCACCTCCCAGGCTCAAGTGATTCTCCCACCTCAGCCCCCCAAGTAGCTGGGACTACAGGCACCTGACACCACACCCATCTAATTTTTGTATTTTTAGTAGAGATGAGGTTTCACTATGTTGCCCATGCTGGTTTCAAACTCCTGAGCTCAAGCGATCCACCCTCCTCGCCTCCCAAAGAGCTGGGATTACAGGTGTGAGCCACTGCGCCCAGCCTCTGTTCTTGCTTTTTTACTTTTTCCACTTGAACTTTGAAGTAATATTGCCTAGTATCCAAACTATCCAAACTTAGTTTGTAATTTAATGAAATCACATAAAATTTATAGACTAACTTAGGAAGAACACCTTTATGATGTTGAGTTTTTCTACTCAAGAACATGGTGTGCCTTTCCATGTATTTAATTGTTCTTCTGAGTCCTTCAATAGCATTTTAAAATTTTCATCATAAAGATCTAGCACAGTTCTTATTAAGTATATTCTTAGGGGTTTTATCTTATTCATAATTATTGCATATGGAAACTTCTATCATATCTACCAACTAGTTGTGGTTTGTTGTTTGTTTGTTTTTTTGAGACGGAGTCTCACTCATCACCCAGGCTGGAGAACAGTGGTGCGATCTCAGTTCACTGCAACTTCCGCCTCCCAGGTTCAAGCAATTCTCCTGCCTCACCCTCCGGAGTAGCTGGGATTACAAGCACGTGCCACCATGCCTGGCTAATTTTTGTATTTTCAGTAGAGACAGGGTTTCACCATGTTGGCCAGGGTGGTCTCGATCTCCTGACCTTGTGCTCCGCCCGCCTCAGCCTCCTAAAGTGCTGGGATTACAGGTGTGAGCCACCACACCCGGCCGTTTTCCTCTTCTTTATGCATTTTGAAGACTAGAATTCATAGCAGTAATCCGTGGAATGATATTTTGTTTTGAGGGAGTGTCTATATGATCCATAAAGTTGTATGCAAAATTTGGTATGCATATACATTTGGGTTGGAGAATGAAATTAAAAGCTTTCCTGAAGTTTCCTAAGGGGTATGTTATGCTATAAAAACTTAAGAATCACTTATCACACCAAAAAGATATTAAGCTTTATGTTATTAAATCAAGTTAAAAAGTAATAATTATAGGGCTACTTAGTTTTATTAGAATACAGACTGGGTGTGGTGGCTCATGCCTGTAATCCTAGCACTTTGGGAGGCTGAAGCAGGAGGGTTGCTTGAACCCAGGAGTTCGAGACCAGCCTGGGAAACACAGTGGGACCCCATCTCTGCAAAAGATAATTCGCTAGGCATGGTGGCATGTGCCTGTAATTCCACCTACTCAGGAGGCTGAGGTGGGAGGATCACTTGAGCTTGGGAGGATGAGGGTACAGTGAGCTGTGATCATGCCACTGCACTCTATCCTGGGTGATGAAGCGAGACCCTGTCCCACCCTCCCCCACGAAAAGAATACAGATGATTATGGGAGTCATTTACATTTAAAGACTTTTGTTTGATTACCATATATTTATATAGTACATTACCATTTACAAAGAGATTTTATATATTTTGTCTTTTGAACTTTTGACACACATAAGAAATACGTATTACTCTAACTTTAACACAAGAAAATAGATTTAGAGAGGTTACTCTCTAAAAAGTGAAAGTGTTAGTAAGTAATGAAGTCAGTTCTCAAACTCAGAGTTTAATAAAACCTATTTTGTTATAGGTATATACAAATTTTACCTTTTTAGGCCGGGTGCGATGGCTCACACCTGTAATCCCAGCACTTTGGGAGGCTGAGGCGGGCCGATTACCTCAGGTCAGGAGTTCAAGACCAGCCTGGCCAACATGGTGAAACCCTATCTCTACTAAAAATACAAAAATTAGCGTGGCGGTGGGCGCCTATAATCCCAGCTACTCAGGAGGCAGAGGCAGGAGGATCGCTTGAACTCAGGAGGTGGAAGTTGCAGTGAGCTGAGATTGCACCACTGCACTCCAGCCTGGGCAACAAGAGCTAGACTCAGTCTCAAAAAAAAAAAATTTCTGCTTTTCAGAAAATGAAATATTATACATACTAATCTGCAACATACACACACACACACACACACACATACACACACACACACACACACGTAAAGTTGAGACAGGGTCTTGCTCTGTGGCCCAGGCTGGAGTGCAATGGTGTGATCATGACTCACTGCAGCTTCAACCCCCTGGGCTTAAATGATTGATGCTCCTGCCTCAGCCTTCCAAAGTGCTAGGATACAGGTGTGAGCCACCACACCAGGCCTGTATTTTTCATTTAATATATTTTGGATATGTTTTCATGTCAGTATATGTAAGTTTATGAATTCATTGTTTAACAGCTGTAAAGTATGTCATTTCCATAATTTATTTATTGAATTCTCTATTGATGGGTACTTAGATTATTGCCAATTTTTCACTATTAAGAACAATGCTTTGGTGAAAATCCTTATACACATAATCTTTGTACATTTATGCGGGTAAATTCCTAGAACTTGAGTTGAGTCAAATCACATAACTACAATAAGTATTTTGACAGAAATGATCAAATTGCCCTCCAAATAAATAACAGCAACTTGCATTCTCACTAATGGAAAATCAAAATGCCTGTTTTTTTTCTCACCAAGTATGTGAACCCATCCTGTTTCTTAATACTTGTGCCAACATTAACATCTGTGCTAACACTATTATCAATTTTATATTGATAATTGATATTTTCCAATGTGATAGTAAAAAATAGTTTCAATTTGCATTTCTTTAGTTATTAGAAAACAATGAGCACCCTGGAGTGGGGAAATTCTTTCTAGGCATGACAGGAAACTCAGAAGTCATCAACAAAAATCCTAATGAATGCAACTTTTGTGAATTGCTTGCTTATGTCCTTTGCCTATTTTTTTCTACTGGGTTTTCTTTCTAATTGCTCGAAATAAGTTTTTATTATTAAGGATGTTAATCCCTTGCCATATGTGTTGTGAATATTTTTTCCAAGGTTGTTGTCTTTTCATATGGTGTCTTGTGCCATGCAAGACATAAAATAAAAATATCCTATGGCTTCTGAATTTTGGGCTATGTTTAGAAAAGCTTTCCTCACTTCAAGATTATAAATATATTTATTCAAGTCATTTCTTTCTCTTATGGTTATTTTTTATATTAAAATCTTTGCTCTATCTGGAGTTTATTTTGGAGTGAGGAGGGAAGTAGGAATCCAATTTTAAAATTATAAATGGTTAGTTGGTTGTTCCAATACCTCTTCTTAAATTAATCCTGCCATCTCTATCATATGTCCATTTTTATTGGGGTCTAATTCTGTACTTATTCCATTTTAGGAAAAGGATCTGTTTAAAGACTTTTTTTTTTTTTTTTTTTGACGGAGTCTCGCTCTGTCGCCCAGGCTGGAGTGCAGTGGTGTGATCTTGGCTCAGTGCAAGCTCCACCTCCCAGGTTCACAACATTCTCCTACCTCAGCCTCCCGAGTAGCTGGGACTACAGGTGCCCACAACCACACCCGGCTAATTTTGTTGTGTTTTTAGTAGAGACGGGGTTTCACTGTGTTAGCCAGGATGGTCTTGATCTCCTGATCTTGTGATCCACCTGCCTCGGCCTCCCAAAGTGTTGGGATTATAGGCGTGAGCCACTGTGCCCAGCTTAAGAGGTTTTATAATACATATTAATATTTGGGAGGCAAGTCCCCCCACTCCACTCCTGCCATTACTCTTCTTTTTCTTTTTTTTATTTTTTATATATATTTTTTGAGACAGAGTCTCACTCTGTTGCCCAGGCTGGAGCGCAAGGGTTCGATCTCAGCTCACTGCAACCTCTGCCTCCTGGGTTCGAGCGATTCTCCTGTTTCAGCCTCCCGAGTAGCTGGGATTACAGGTGCCTGCCACCATGCCCAGCTGATTTTTGTATTTTTAGTAGAGACGGGGTTTCACCACGTTGGCCAGGCTGGTCTCGAACTCCTGACCTCAGGTGATCCACCCGCCTCAGCCTCCCTAAGTGCTGGGATTATAGGCATGAGCCACTGCGCCCAGCCAATACTCTTCTTTTTCATAGTGATTCTTAAATGCTTATTCCAAATGAAACTTAGAATAATTCTGACAAACTGTAAATAAAATTCTGTTGATTTTGATTTGGCCTGAATTCAACTTACACACTGATCCAGACAGAACTGTCATTTTGGCCAGGCACAGTGGCTCATGCCTGTAATCCCAGTATTTTGGGAGGCCAAGGTGGGTGGATCACCTGAGGTCAGGAGTTCGAGACCAGCTTGACCAAGATGGTGAAACCCCATTTCTACTAAAAATACAAAAAATTAGCCGAGCGTGGTGGTAGGCCCCTGTAATCCCAGCTACTTGAGAGGGTTAGGCAGAATTGCTTTAACCTGGGAGGCAGTAGTGAGCCAAGATCACAACCACTGCACTCCAGTCTGGGCAACAGAGCGAGACTCGGTCTAAAAAAAGAAAGACAAAAAACAAAAACAAAAACAAAAAACCCTGTCATTTCTACAATGTTGAGTCTTGTTACCTAAGAATGAGGTGTTTTAATTATTTTGTTTCTTCAGAATTTAAGAGTGCTCTTCAAGTAGTTTCTAAAACCTTGTGGTTTTTTTTTTCTTTTTTTTTTAAGAGATTGCATCTCACTATGTTGTCCAGGCTGGTCTCAAACTCCTAGCCTCAAGGGATCCTCCCGCCTTGGTCTCCTACAGTACTAGGATTACAGGCATAAGCCACTATGTCCAGATAGTTTATGAACATGTTCTAAATATATTCAGAGAAACTGTGTGGTTCATCTCAGGGGGCACCATTCACACTGCAGTCAATGAAATTAAAGGCACCCCCCACTTCCCTGTGAGATGTATACTAGCAACCGTGTTTTTTTTAATTGAGACAGGGTCTCATTCTGCCAACCTAGGCTGGAGTGCAGGGGTGTAAACATGGCTTACTACAGCCTCAACCTCCTGGGCTCAGGCAATGATCCCACCTCAGCCTCCCCAGCAGCTGGGACTACAGGTGTGTGCCACCACACCTGGTTAATCTTTAAATTTTCTGAAGAGATGGCGCCTCCCTCTGTTGCCCAGGCTCCTCATGAACTCCTGGCCTCTGCCTCCCAAAATGCTGGGATTACAGGCGGAAACTACCACGTCCAGCCTATTTATCTTATTTTGTTATTGTGAATGTGACATTTTCTTCCATTATACTTAAATTAGTTACTATTTGACAGAGAAAGTAGAGACAGTTATTGATGTTTGAATGCTAATTTTTTTTTTTTTTTTTTTGAGATGGAGTTCCACTTTGTCTCCCAGGCTGGAGCACAATGGCACGATCTGGGCTCACTGCAACCTCTGCCTCCTGGGTTCAAGTGATTCTCCTGCCTCAGCCTCCCACATAGCTGGGATTACAGGTGCTCGCCACCATGCCCAGCTAATTTTTGTGTTTTTAGTAGAGGTGGGGGTTTCACCATGTTGGCCAGGTTGGTCTTGAACTCCTAACCTCAGGTGATCTGCCCACCCTGGCTTCCCAAAGTGCTGGGATTATAGGTGTGAGCCACTGTGCCTGGCCTGAATGCTACTTTTTAAATCTGCTATATTACATTGTCTATTGTTTCTTTTTTTCTTTTTTAGAGATGGGAGTCTAGCTATATCCCCCAGGCTGGAGTGCAGTGGCACTATCATGATTCACAATGTAAACTTGAACTCCTGGCCTCAAGCAATCCTCCTGCCTCAGCCTCCTGATTAGCTGGAATTACAGGTGTATACCACCATGCTTGGCTTCTTATTGTTTCTTACAGTTCTTCAGTTGATCCTCTTAGATTTCCAACATCTAATCATATATAAATAATAATTTCATTTAAAACTTTTATGTACTATACTGTCACAATATTAAATAATGTGATCATGAATAGAATTTATGTTATGTCTTTTGACCTTAAGTCCAGTGCTCTTTTTTGAGTATATATTCAATCCACTAAATAGTTATTGAGCACCAACAATCTATAAAGCATTGCTATAGATGAGAAAGACATGGTAAAAAGAAAAATCATTCAGTGCCCACATTCATAATCTTTATTTATTTTTTTGAGATGAAGTCTCACTCTGTTGCCTAGGCTGGAGTTCAGTGGTGTGATCACAGCTCACTGAAGCCTCAAACTCCTGGGTTCAAGCGATCCTCCCATCTCAGCCTCCCAAGTAGCTGGGACTATAGCCATGTATCACCATATCTAGTTAATTTTTATTTATTTTTTGTAGAGATGGGGGCTCCTTGTGTTGCCTAGGCTGGTCTCCAACTCCTGGGCTGAAGTGATCCGACTGCCTCAGCCTCCCAAAGTGCTGGGATTACAGGCATGAGCCACTGTGCCCAACCTCATAATCTTTTCTTATCCCAACAAACAGATCTAGAGCCACAATAAAAACCCAGTTGATAATTCTTGCAATGTTAAAACCTATCCAGCAAATTCAATATTCTATCCTACTAAACTGAAATGTGACCATATGCAAAAATTATTCTCCAAGGACAGGAGTGTTTCGTTTTTGTTATTTTTTAGGAAGAGGGAAGCAGAATGAGCTGGGACTAAGGAAGTGAGTGAACAATGGGCATGCTAAGTAGATATTTACCTGAAAGCCAAATACATAAAATAAACAAGGGGCTGAATCTCCCCCGCTCAGAAAGCTAGAAGCAGAGCTTTCTGAAAGCATGAGTAATGTGACCTAAGGCAGAGTTTAACCTCAGGGGGAAGGTATAAGAAAAGAAAGCATGCATGAGCATATTTTTAAGTCTGTGAACTGCAATCGTGTGTAGCGAACAACCTAGTGAGATGAGACAGCAATGTAATAAATGTCATAATAAAGTTAAGTATTAACATAAGGTGCTAAAAGAGAATCTTTCTCAAAGGTGAGTCACTCATTTGGCAAGTGTGTATTGAGTACCTATTGAATGTCAGGCCCCAATCTACACACGACATGCCAAACAAAAATAGGCAGGATCCCTATTATAAGCTTACGGTCTACTGAGGGAGGTGGCTTTTATTTAAGAAAACATATAAATATGTGTGTGTATGATGTATATATTATTAGAAATTGTGCTAAGTGCTATACGGGAAATAATTCCATGAGAAAATAAGGTGACATAACTTACATTTGGGGCCTCAGGGAAAGCCTCTCTGAGAAGGCAGCCTTTAAGTTGAAAAGTGAGGGATGAATAAGCAGAGAGCATACCAGGCAGGAGTGATTTTTGGAGTGAAGTCTTCTGGGATGAGCGGCCTTCTATTCCCTCTGATGAACAGAGAGGAAAGGGAATCTCACTTATGCAAAAGCATGAAAGCACAGGTGTGACAGGTATGAGGAACTACAAGTTACCATAGCTCAGTAAGGGGACACGTGGACATGGAAACACCAGGAAAAGAGAAAAACAAAACGCAAAAATATGAAGAAGATGGAAGAGGAACAAACTAGAAATCCAATTCAGTATGTGTTGATTATTTACTATGTGCTTAGCAATATCTTAGGGGATTCTTAAAGCGGAAAAAGAATGGCTCCTCCTCTCAAGAAACTCGGAGTCTAAATGGGTAGATACTGACTGCATCCTCGACTAGATTCTTTTTTTTTTTCTTTTTTGAGACGGAGTCTCGCTCTGTTCCCAGGCTGGAGTGCAGTGGCGCAACCACGACTCACTGCAAGCTCCGCCTCCCGGGTTCACGCCATTCTCTTGCCTCAGCCTCAAGAGTAGCTGAGACTACAGGCGCCCGCCACCACGCCCGGCTAACTTTGTTTTTGTACTTTTAGTAGAGATGGGGTTTCACGGTGTTAGCCAGAATGGTCTCGATCTCCTGACCTCGTGATCTGCCCGCCTAGGCCTCCCAAAGTCCTGGGACTACAGGCGTGAGCCACTGCGCCCGGCCGACTAGATTCTTTTAATATCATAAACTGTGTTTTTGTTTTCCCAATCAGTAACTCCTAAAATGAATTTTTAAATTAACAAATGAATCTTACTTCCTGCCACAGGCCCCAGCTACTACTTTACAGCAATCTATGGCTAAAAATCACTGTTTTACTGGCTGCTTCTCAAAAGGCCAATAATGCTGATGAGGCTCTTCAGAGAGTGAGAAGTACTTTTTTTTTTTTTTTAAATCACCTCTTCATAGCCTCCTCCCAATAAGTACTTATAATTATATATAAGTAACAAGTTAATTTTTTCTTTACATATAGCATACTAGCTCTTTAAAAAATCTCATCTTTCCTGTTTCAGGATCTCAGATAGAAAAAAGTTAGGAACTGTTATTGAGGCTATTAAGCTTGAACGTCCTTGCTCTAATCTTTGCAAAGATAAAACCCACAATGCTCATTAAGCTGCTTGGATAAGCTGTTGTTTTACTTCTTACTGGAGGAGCTTAACAATGAAAAACAAAGCTAGCATGAGTTCTATCTACAAAAAGTGATGTCCTAATTTGAATTCAGTTCTAACATACTGTAATAATTCAATTAGTTCTGTGACTGAGGCAGAATGTCCCAGCCTTATGACAGTTCTCTTATTTTCTTCCTGTATTTTCCCTTTATTACTATGGTTTGGAACCCACATTTCAGTCTTATCCCTAGAGTCTAAGATAATTAAAATAGCACACATGGAGTTATATTTATTTGAGGGGGTAGGAGACAGCTGTGACTCTTTCAAGGCTGGGACTGGAGACAGTAAGCAATAGGCAGAGGTGTTTTGTTTTATTATATATATACACATACATTTTTTGAGTCAAGGTCTTGTTCTGTGGCCCAGGCTGGAATGCAGTGTTATGAACACAGCTCACTGCAGCCTCAACTTTCTGGGCTCAAGCGATCCTCCCAACTCAGCCTCCCGAGTAGCTGGGACTACAAGTGTGTGTTGCCACGCCTGGCTAACCTTATTTTTATAGAGACAGGGCCTTGCTATGTTGCCAGGTTGGTTGTGACCTCTTGGGCTCTAGCTATCCTCTTGCCTCGGCCTCCCAAAGTGCTGGGATTATAGGTGTGAGCCACCACACCAGCCATGTTTTGTTTTTAATTGGAGAAAGAAGCAATTCTATTAACAATTACCAACACACTGCCAAACTCTCAAGCAGAAATGAACATTGGTTCTTCTGTGCTGCTCTCTTCTTTGCTCAGCAGGCTCATACTACATGGGAGGAGGCAGTGCAGTGTGGGAGTCTGCCCAGGAGAAACAGTAACTTGCTGCTGGAGCAGGGTGTCCTAGAGGAGACCAGGAATTTGTTACAAGAACATGGTGGAGAAATTGATCTTGAAAAGAAGAGGTGGCTGGGCACGGTGGCTCACACTTGTAATGCCAGCACTTTGGGAGGCCGAGGTGGGTGGATCACTTGAGGTCAGCAATTCAAGACCAGCCTGACCAACATGGTGAAACCCCGTCTCTACCCAAAATACAAAAATTAGGATGGGCGCAGTGGCTCACGCCTGTAATCCCAGAACTTTGGGAGGCCGAGGTGGGTGGATCACCTGAGGTCAGGGGTTCGAGACCAGCCTGGCCAACATGATGAAACCCCATCTCTACTGAAAACACAAAAAATTAGCTGGGCATGGTGGCGGGCGCCTGTAATCCCAGCTACTCGGGAGGCTGAGGCAGGAGATTGCTTGAACCCAGGAGGCAGAGGTTGCAGTAAGCCAAGATCGCACCATTGCACTCTAGCCTGGGCAGTAAGAGCAAAACTCCGTCTCGGAAAAAAAAAAAAAAAAAAAAAATTAGCCGGGTGTGATGGTGCATGCCTGTAGTACCAGCTACTCAGGAAGCTGAGACAGTGAATTGCTTGAACCCAGGAGGCGGAGGTTACAGGGAGCTGAGATCATGCCACTGCATTCCAGCGTGAGCCATATAGCGACACTCCATCTTAAGAAAAAAGAAAGAAAAGAAGAGAAGAGGTACTTCTTCTTTTAACCTAGAAGAATAAGAATGGGTTCAGATAGAGATAAGAAGGGAGGTATAAGTTGGAAGGTAAGAAATGAGAAAGGTTTATGCCTTACGGTGATTCCCAAGTTTTCTTGGTTCTCAGAGCCCTTAGTGTTTCAGAATTTCTTTATGGCGCTCCCTGGACCAATAGAAAAATCTAACAGTTCCATTTACCAGGTACAGTTCAAACAACCTAATAAGTAGTTATGCCTGGATAATTTAGCAGCTGTTTGAAAAATAAATTGAGCACTATAGATAGAGTGGCTCTAGTTTTGATTTTTTTTTTTTTTTTTTTTTGAGACGGAGTCTCACTCTGTCGCCCAGGCTGGAATGCAGTGGGGCAATCTCAGCTCACTGCAACCTCTGCCTCCAGGGTTCAAGCAATTCTCCTGTCAGCCTCCCGAGATTACTACAGGGGATTACTACAGGCATGTGCCACCACGCCCACCTGGCTAGGTTTGATTTTTTTTAACTGCACATATAATTCACCCAACGACTATTATTCAGTGGTTTCTGGTATATTCAGAACTGTGCAATTATCACCTCTAAAAGAAACCCTGGGCTCATTAGCAGTCACGACTCCTTCCCTGTCATTTCCCCATCCCTAGGCTACCACAAATCTACTTTCTGTCTCTATACTACATTCCTTTTTTTTTTTTTTTTGAGTTGGAGTCTTGCTGTGTCGCCCAGCCTAAAGTGCAGTGGCTTGATCTCAGCTCACTGCAGCCTCCGCCTCCCGGGTTCAAGCAATTCTCCTGCCTCAGCCTCTCGAGTAGCTAGAATTACAGGTGCACGCCACCATTCCCAGCTAATTTTTGTATTTTTTTAGTAGAGACGAGGTTTCACCGTGTTGGCTAGGCTGGTCTCGAACCCCTGACCATGTGATCTGCCTGCCTTGGCCTCCCAAAGTGCTGGGATTACAGGCGTGAGCCACCACGCCCGACAACTACATTCCTTTCTATCATAGCTGATTAATATTCCATTGTATGGATATACCACATTTTGTTTATCCATTCATTAGTTGATGGGCATTTGGTTTGTTTCCACTTTTTGGCTATTTTGAATAATGCCGCTGTGAACATTCACGTATAAGTTTTTGTGTGAAATTTTTTTTTTGTTTTGTTTTGTTTTGAGATGGAGTCTCGCTCTGTCGCCCAGGCTGAAGTGCAATGGTGTGATCTCGGCTCACTGCAACCTCCGCCTCCTGGGTTCAAGCGATTCTCCTGCCTCAGCCTCCTGAGTAGCTGGGATTACAGGCCCGCACCACCACACCTGGCTAATTTTTGTATTTTTAGTACAGACGCAATTTCACCACGTTGGTGAGGCTGGTCTCGAACTCCTGACCTCATGATCCACCTGCCTCGGCCTCCCAAAACGCTGGGATTACAGACATGAGCCACTGCGCCCGGCCGTGTGAATATGTTTTGATTTCTCTTGGGTATATACATACGATTGGAATTGCTGGGTCCTATGGTAACTGTTGAAACTTTTACGGAACTGCCAGACTATTTTCCATATTGGCTATATTACTTTTCCTTCCTATCTGCAGTACATGGGGGTTTAAATTTCTCCACATTCTCACCAACACTTGTTATTGTTTATCTTTTTGATTATAGCCATCCTAGTGTATATGAAGTGACATCTCCTTGTGGTTTTAATTTGCATTTCCCTGATGGCTAATAATGTTGTGAATCTTTTCACGTGCTCCCTGGCCATTTGTGTAACTTTGCAGAAATGTCTATTCAGATCCTTTGTCCATTCTCTTTTTTTGACAGGGTCTTGCTCTGTTGCTCAGGCTGGTGTGCAGTGGTGTGATCATAGCTCCAGTTTTATAGTTTTAATTCTTACATTTAGGTCTTTAATTCATTCTGAGTTAATTTTTGTTTTTTTGAGACAGGGTCTCCCTCTGTTGCCCAGGCTGGAGTGTAGTGGTGCAATCACAGCTCACTGTAGCCTCAACCTCCTGGGCTCAAGTGATCCTCCTGCCTGAGCCTCCTAGGATTGCTAGAATACACCACCACGCTAATTTTTAAATTTTTTTTGTAGAGACAAGGTCTCACCATATTGCCCAGGCTGGTCTTGAACTTCTGGGTTCAAGTGATCCTCCTGCCTCAGCCTCCCAAGGTATTGGGATTACAGGCATAAGCCACCATGCCCAGCCTATCCAGGCTTTAAATACTACCTATCTGCTGATAACTGCAGAATACAGATGGGCAGCTCAGACCTCTTTCCAGACTTGATTATTCAACTGCCTTCTGGACATTCCCTGTGAATGCCTGATATCTCATACCCAACATGTGAAAAACGGAATTCCTGATCTTCCTTTCAAAACATGCTCTTCCTCAGCCTTCCTCATCTCTGTTAATGGCATTTCCATCGTCCAGTTGCTTATGCCTACGTTGGAGTCATTCCTGACTCCTTCATTTCTCCCACAAGCCACATCCCATCTGCTGGGAAATCCTATCGGCTTTACCTTCAGAGTATATGTAGGATTCTGTAGCCTCTTTTCATCTCAGTTGCTACCTACCTCTGGCACCTGTGGCCTGGATTACTACAGTTAGCTTCCTTAGTGACCTTCCTGTTCTACTCTTGCTTCCTTAAATCTATTCTCAAACCAGCAAACAAATAAATTCTTAAACCCTGCAATGGTTTCCCTGCTCACTCTGCTCCAGCCATAATGGCTTCTTACTGTTCCCTGAACACACTAGGCACACTTCCGCCTCGGGGTCTCTGCTCTAGTTTTTTCCTGTGCTTGGTCCACTCTTTTCCCAGTTCTTCCCATGGCCCACCTCCTTACTTCTTTCAAGTCTTTACAGAAATGTCACTGTCTCAAAGAGCCTTATTTTGACCAACATATTTGAAACTGCAAATTACCTGACATATTCTCAATCTCTCTTACCCTGACCTACTTCTTCTTCCTAGTGCTGATCACTACATGATGTACTTAGTTGTGCTCATTGCCTTTCTGTTATTGCTTATCCTTTGTTTTCTCCCTGTAAGAATATGGAATCCATGAGTGAGGAATTCCTGTTTACTGATGCATCCCAAAAGTTACAACAATGTAGCATATGTAGTCACTCAAAAATGTGAGAATACAGGCTGGCTGTGGTGGCTCATACCTGTAATCACAACACTTCGTGAGGCTAAGGCAGGAGGATCACTTGAGCCTAGGAGTTCAAGACCAGCCTGGGCAACATAGTGAGGCTGTCTTCATAAAAAATTTAAAAATGGCCGGGTATGGCGGCTCACGCCTGTAATCTCAGCACTTTGGGAGGCCGAGACGGGCAGATCACGAGGTCAAGAGATTGAGACCATCCTGGCCAACATGGTGAAACCCCATCTCTACTAAAAATACAAAAATTAGCTGGGCGTGGTGGCACATGCCTGTAGTCCCAGCTACTCAGGAGGCTGAGGTAGGAGAACAGCTTGAACCCGGGTGGTGGAGGTTGCAGTGAGTGGAGACCGTACCACTGCATTCCAGCCTGGCAAAAGAGCAAGACTCAGTCTCAAAAAAAATAAATAAGTAAATAAAAATAAAACTTAGCTGGGCATGGTGGTACGTTCCTGTAGTCCCAGCTACTCAGGAGGCTGGGACAGGAGGATGGCTTGAGCCTGGAAGGTTGAGGCTGCAATGAGCCGGGCCTGTACCACTGTACTTCCAGACCAGGCAACATAGTGAGACCCTGTCTCTAAAAAAAGGAAAAAGAAAAAAAATTGAGACAACAGAGAATTTTAACAAGGTTATTCCTACGCTTAAGTGTGCATACAATCTGGCTAAAAGGTAGCATATATGTAAAAAACATAAATATCAATACAAGGGGCTGGGCGTGGTGGCTCATGCCTGTAATCTCAGCACTCTGGGAGGCCGAGGTGGGCAGATCACTTGAGGTCAGGAGTTCGAGACCAACCTGGCCAAATGGCAAAGCCCTGTCTCTACTAAAAATACAAAAGAATTTAGCTGGCGTGGTGGTGCGCACCTGTAATCCCAGCTACTCAGGAGGCTGAGGCAGGAGAATTGGTTGAACCCGGGAGGTGGAGGTTGCAGTGAGCTGAGATTGTGCCACTGCACTCCAGCCTGGGCCACAGGGCCAGACTCTGTCTCAAAAAAAAAAATAAAAAAGGGAGCCGGCGGTGGGGGCGGGCTGGGCGCAGTGGCTCACGCCTGTAATCCCAGCACTTTGGGAGGCCAAGGCAGGTAGATCACCTGAGGTCAGGAGTTCAAGACCAGCCTGGCCAACATGGTGAAACCCCATCTCTACTAAAAACACAAAAATTAGCCAAGCATGGTAGTAGGCGCCTGTAGTCCCAGCTACCCAGGAGGCTGAGGCAGGAGAATCGCTTGAACCCAGGAGGTGGAGGTTGCAGTGAGCTGAGATCATGCCATTGCACTCCAGCCTGGGCAACAAGAGCAAAACTCCATCACAAAACAAAACAAAACAATAGAAGATAATTAACACATGCTGATAAGACTCTAATGATATAATGAATATGTACACAAAATTTTGAACACAATTATAGGGAGTTCAAACATTCCCTGAAGCCAACTATGGGTCCTGAGTTGAGAATCTTTGGTTTCAAATATGGTTTTATTACCCAGGGCTTGGTGAGAATGGGATTTAAACTAGTTCTTTTTTTTTTTTTTTGAGATGGAGTTTCACTCTTGTTGCCCAGGCTGGAGTGCAATGGCGTGATCTCGGCTCACTGCAACCTCCGCCTCCCAGGTTCAAGTGATTCTCCTGCCTCAGCCCCCCTAGTAGCTGGGATTACAGGCATATGGCACCACGCCTGGCTAATTTTGTATTTTCAGTAGAGACGGGGTTTCTCCATGTCAGTCAGGCTGGTCTCGAACTCCTGACCTCAGATGATCCGCCCGCCTCAGCCTCCCAAAGTGCTGGGATTACAGGCATGAGCCACGGCGCCCAGCCTAAACTAGTTCTTAAAGAATACACTATGAAGGAGAAAGAGGGGCAGTTGGGGGAAGGTCATCTCTAGCAAGGGACATAGCTAAGGATGACAGCAGGTTGGGCATGGTGCCTCATGCCTTGAATTTTGGGAGGCAGAGGTGGGTTGATTGCTTGAGCCCAGGAGTTTGGGACCTGCCTGGCCAACATGGTGAAACCACATCTCTACTAAAAATACAAAAATTAGCCGTGCATGGTGGCGGGCGCCTGTAGTCCCAGCTACTTGGGACGCTGAGGCAGGAGAATTGCTTCAACCTGGGAGACAGAGGTTGCAGTGAGCCGAGATTACGCCACTGCACTCCAGCCTGGGCAACAGAGTGAGACCTGTCTCAAAAAAAAAAAAACCCCGTCTCTATAAAAAATACAAAAATTAGCTGGGCACGGTGGCACATGCCTGCAGTCCCAGCTACTTGGGAGGTTTGCCAGGGCCTAGGAGGTGGAGGTTGCAGAGAGCCGACATGGAGCCACTACTCAAACCTGGGCGACAGAGCAAGGCTCTGTCTCAAAAAAAAAAAAAAAAAAAAAAAGGATGACAGTAGAAACGTTAGACTGGAATGGAGAATTTATGCAGTAGGTAAGAAACAGGCTGAGAAGTGCTGGTGTATCGTGTCAGGAATTGGTGGGTTCTTGGTCTCACTGACTTCAAGAATGAAGCCGCGGACCCTCGCAGTGAGTGTTACAACTCTTAAGGTGGCGCGTCTGGAGTTTGTTCCTTCTGATGTTCGGTTGTGTTCAGAGTTTCTTCCTTCTGATGGGTTCGTGGTCTCACTGGCTCAGGAGTGAAGCTGCAGACCTTCACGGTGAGTATTACAGCTCCTAAGGCAGCACGTCTGGAGTTGTTCGTTCCTCCCGGTGGGCTCGTGGTCTTGCTGGCTTCAGGAGTGAAGCTGCAAATCTTCGCGGTGAGTGTTACAGCTCATAAAAGCAGTGTGGACCCAAAGAGTGAGCAGTAGCAAGATTTATTGCAAAGGGAGAAAGAACAAAGCTTCTACAGTGCGGAAGTGAACCCGAGCGGGTTGCCAATGCTAGCTCGGGCAGCCTGCTTTTATTCTCTTATCTGGCCCCACCCACATCCTGCTGATTGGTAGAGCCGAGTGGCCTGTTTTGTCAGGCCGCTGATTGGTGCGTTTACAATCCCTGAGCTACATACAAAGGTTCTCCACGTCCCCATCAGATTAGTTAGATACAGAGTTTCCACACAGGTTCTCCAAGGCCCCACCAGAGCAGCTAGATACAGAGTGTCGACTGGTGCATTCACAAACCTTGAGCTAAACACAGGGTGCTGATTGGTGTGTTTACAAACCTTGAGCTAGATACAGAGTGCCGATTGGTGTATTTACAATCCCTGAGCTAGACATAAAAGTTCTCCAAGGCCCCACCAGAGCAGCTAGATACAGAGTGTGGATTGGTGCACTCACAAACCTTGAGCTAAACACAGGGTGCTGATTGGTGTGTTTACAAACCTTGAGCTAGATACAGAGTGCCGACTGGTGTATTTACAATCCCTGAGCTAGACATAAAGGTTCTCCAAGGCCCCACCAGAGTAGCTAGATACAGAGTGTGGATTGGTGCACTCACAAACCTTGAGCTAAACACAGGGTGCTGATTGGTGTGAGCCCAGCTGCCTTCACCTAGTGGATCCCGCACCGGGGCTGCAGGTGGAGCTGCCTGCCAGTCCTGCGCCGTGCGCTCGCATTCCTCAGCCCTTGGGTGGTCGATGGGACTGGGCGCCGTGGAGCAGGAGGTGGTGCTCGTCGGGGAGGCTCCGGCCGCACAGGAACCAATGGAGTGGGTGGGAGGCTCAGGCATGGGGGCTGCAGGTCCCGGAGCCCTGCCCCGCGGGAAGGCAGCTAAGGCCCGGCGAGAAATCGAGCACAGCGCCGGTGGGCCGGCACTGCTGGGGGACCCAGTACACCTCCGCAGCCACTGGCCCGGGTGCTAAGTCCCTCATTGCCCGGGGCCAGCAGGGCTGGCTGGCTACTCCAAGTGCGGGGCCCGCCAAGCCCACGCCCACCCGGAACTCCAGCTGGCCCGCAAGAGCCGCACGCAGCCCCGGTTCCCGCTCTCGCCTCTCCCTGCACACCTCCCTGCAAGCTGAGGGAGTGGGCTCCAGCCTTGGCCAGCCCAGAAAGGGGCTCCCACAGTGCAGTGGGGGGCTGAAGGGCTCCTCAAATGCCACCAAAGTGGGAGCCCAGGCAGGGGAGGCGCCGAGAGCAAGCCAGGGCTCTGAGGACTGCCAGCACGTTGTAACCTCTCAGTATGACTTAAATTGTGTGGGTATTTCAAATAATTGAAAGTTTTTGGACAAAAGAATATGTAATGTCTAAAGCACTGTTTTTAGAAAATTATTTTGGTAGTTGTTTAGAAGGAATTAATGCACAAAACCATCATAATGATTCAAGTTTGAAATGAAAAAATAATTCATAAGGTTTAGAAACTGATGAATTTATTTAGAAATACCCGGTTTGGGCCGGGCGCGGTGGCTCACGCTTGTAATCCCAGCATTTTGGGAGGGCAAGGTGGGCGGATCACGAGGTCAGGAGTTCGAGACCAGCCTGACCAACATGGCGAAACCCCGTCTCTGCTAAAAATACAAAAAAATTGGCCAGGCCTGGTGGCACATGCCTGTAGTCCCAGCTACTCGGGAGGCTGAGGCAGAAGACTCGCTTGAACCCGGGAGGCAGAGGTTACGGTGAGCCGAGATCATGCCACTGCACTCCAGCCTGGGCGACAGAGTGAGACTCGTCTCAAAAAAAAAAAAAAAAAAAAAAAGAAATACCCGGTTTGGGCCGGGCGCGGTGGCTCACGCCTATAATCCCAGCACTTCCGGAGGCCGAGGCTGGTGGATCACCTGAGGTCAGGAGTTCAAGACCAGCCTGGCCAACATGGTTAAAATCTGTCTCTACTAAAAAATACAAAAATTAGCCAGGTGTGGTGGCAGGTGCCTTAATCCCAGCTATTTGGGAGGCAGAGGCAGGAGAATCGTTTGAATCCGGGAGGCAGAGGTTGCAGTGAGTCGAGATTGAGCCATTGCACTCAAGCCTGGGGGACAAGAGCGAGACTTCTCTTAAAAAAAAAAAAGGAAACAAAAAAAAAAGAAATACCTGGTTTGAGGCCGGGCGCGGTGGCTCACGCCTGTAATCCTAGCACTCTGGGAAGCTGAGGTGGGTGGATCACCTGAGGTCAGGAGTTCGAGACCAGCCTGGCCAACGTGGTGAAACCCCGTCTCTACTAAAAATACAAAAATTAGCTGGGTGTGGTGGCATGCGCCTGTAATCCCAGCTATTCGGGAGACTGGGGCAGGAGAATTGCTTGAACTTGGGAGGCGGAGAGCTGAGACTGTGCCACTGCACTCCAGCCTGCGGAGAGCTGAGACTGTGCCACTGCACTCCAGCCTGGGCAACAGAGTGAGACTCCATCTCAAAAAAAAAATTTTTTTTTAAATTCCCGGTTTGAAATTGAAAATCAGAAATAAAATTAGGTCAGGCCCATTTATTTATTTATCTATTTATTTATTTATTTCCTGAGATGGAGTCTCGCTCTGTTGCCCAGGCTGGAGTGCAGTGGTGCCATCTCGGCTCATTGCAACCTCCACCTCCCGGGTTCAAGCAATTCTCTTGCCTCAGCCTCCCGAGCAGCTGGGATTACAGGCATGTGTCACCACGCCTGGCTAATTTTTGTACTTTTAGTAGAGATGGGATTTCACCATGTTGGCCAGGCGGTCTCAAACTCCTGACCTCGTGATCTGCCCGCCTCGGCCTCCCAAAGTGATGGGATTACAGGTGTGAGCCAACACGCCCAGCCATTCAGGCCTAGTTATTTAGATTTGGGTGTTGCTTATTGAATCTTTGAATATGGAGGAAAAGTTATGAGATAAAAAGAATAAAAATAGAGACTATTCAAAGGCTATGCATGGGACTGGGCACTGTGGCTCATGCCTGTAATACCAGCACTTTGGGAGGCCAAGGTGGGTGGATCAGCAGGTCAAGAGATCAAGACCATCCTGGCCAACATGGTGAAACCCCATCTCTACTAAAAATACAAAAATTAGCTGGGCGTGGTGGTGCACATCTGTAGTCCCAGCTACTCGGGAGGCTGAAGCAGGAGAATCGCTTGAACCTGGGAGGCAGAGGTTGCAGTGAGCCAAGATTGCACCACTGCACTCCAGCATGGCGACAGCGAGACTCCATCTAAGAAAAAAAAAACAAAACTAAACCAAAGGCTATGCATGAGACAAAGTGAACAGTTTATTACTGTGATTATAATAAAATGTTGAATTTATATAGGGTAAAATCTTGATAGAATGCTTGAATTATATAGGTATTATGGGAAATACAATGTTATGGTTAATTGAAGAATAATACAAAATTTTGTTTTAACTTTTGCTCGCTGGGTTTTTTTCCCCCCCCAAAAATTATACTTTTTTTCCTCTTGATAATTAGGAAACACAGATAAATTATTTTTAGATGATTCAAGATGCCACTATCCTTCAAGTTGATTATTGTAAAATACGTGTTTTCAATGTAAAATAACACAGTTATGGAGTTTGGGATATAGCCATGGTAACGACAGAACATACCCTGGTGTTTTAAGATTAGGGAAAGTCGGATAACATCAAAACAATTCTAAGAAAAAATTTTAAGTATTTTTCAGGCTCTATTAATTAAGAAGTACTTCAGTGCTTTTTTTTCTTTTTTTTTTCCAACACTACAAAGGCTAAAGATGTTATTATCAAATGTATTACTACATCATTGGCACAGTTTCTATTGGTATCTACTTGCTTTTTAATACGGAAGATGTTTATGATTTACACTCCTCCTACTTTAGAAATTCTCTCCATTCACTTCTTTTGTGCCCCTCCAGATATAATCTGAACTTCCAGGAATAGATCATTCTTGGTGTTACAAATGTTGGCTTCCCCCCTCCCTGGAATTCTATTAGAATGTTTCTGTCACTTTAGAAGCTTTCTTATTCTGGTGTAACATGCCAAGAAACCCAGGTATAAAATAGTGATTGTTGAATCTTACTTTGACACGTGTGCCCGTCCTTATAAATCTAGACCCTGTACATTACATGCATACAACTATCCCTATGGATCTACTAGTAAATAATCTCACAGACTCCACCTGAGGCTTCTGGAAAAAAAAACAATTACCTTAAATTTTATTAAGAGCTCTTCGTAACCTACTGAGCAAGATCAGTGAATCCTAAAAAGATTCAGTCCCCGGTTCCCAAAGCGCTTCCCCGCCCCGTGTTTCTGAACAGCTGGAGAGGACAAACCTCCGCTAAGAAGCGGAGGCCGCCAGTGCTCATCACACGCAGGAATTAGGATATCTGGCTTGAGAACACCTATGCTGTACCACATTCTTCTCTCCCCCTACCCCGCCTGAAATAAAACATAGTGAAGCGTAAATCTTGAGTCCCTTGGTACCTTCTCAGAAACGGCGGCGAGGAGGCTTCAGAGGGGCTTCCTGGGCGGGGATCCAGACGGTCGCGCGGGTATTCAGCACTCTGGGCGGGACAGTCCCTGTCCCGAAGGGAGGGCCCAGGAGGGGTGGAGCCGTCCCCGCCCGAACACGGGGGCATCCGCGCTCCCCGTAGGGTACCCCGCGTGCTGGCTCCGAAGCGGTGGCCGTCGGGGTGGCGCTCTTCCTCCGCTCTTTGGGGTCCCGGCGCCCCTCAGGGCAGGGCGGGAGACCGCTGAGGAGGCACCCTCAAGTTCACCTCAGGCTCATGACACCAGCCCCGCCGCGGTTCCCCCTGACCGGCTTTCCGCTGGCCCTGGCGGCTGCGGAACGGTCAACTAGACCCCACTAGCTGAAGCCGGCATCACCTGGGAAGCAGCCATGCCGCCCGGAGGCCACACCCGGGGGA
Organism: Homo sapiens; assembly: GCF_000001405.40. Lineage (NCBI taxonomy): Eukaryota > Metazoa > Chordata > Mammalia > Primates > Hominidae > Homo > Homo sapiens. The sequence continues at coordinate 102,139,693 of NC_000014.9, forward strand.
GGAGCCTGCGGACGCCCAGTCGGGTGGAGCACGCCAGGTGAGCACGCCTGCGCAGTCGGGCCGTAAACAAGCCCACCCCTTCCCTTTGGCCCGCCCTCGCAGGGCTGGCCCGCGGGTGGGAGGGGCGAGAAGGAAGAGGCAGGGGGTGGGGGAAGAGGGAGCACCAGGAACAGCGCCTGCGCGGTGGGCGTGATCCGGGCACTTAGGGCAGGATGAACGCTGCTTTCCAAGATGGCGACGGAGGGAGGAGGGAAGGAGATGAACGAGATTAAGACCCAATTCACCACCCGGGAAGGTCTGTACAAGCTGCTGCCGCACTCGGAGTACAGCCGGCCCAACCGGGTGCCCTTCAACTCGCAGGGATCCAACCCTGTCCGCGTCTCCTTCGTAAACCTCAACGACCAGTCTGGCAACGGCGACCGCCTCTGCTTCAATGTGGGCCGGGAGCTGTACTTCTATATCTACAAGGGGGTCCGCAAGGTACCGACCCGGGCGTCACCGGAGCCAGCCAGCGGCGTAGGCAGAGGCCGGGAGCAGGGCGGTGACAGTGGGGCCAGGGTGACCGAGAGGGGTGGCCGTCGCTCTTACTTTTGAGTGGGCCGGTAACTCCACTGGGGTACTCCTGAGGAGAGGGGATTCAGGAGTAAGGAGGGTGGTGGCGGTGGCGTTTCGAAGGGGTGGGGGCAGTGGAAAGGGACCGTGGGGCGCGGGGGTTCTGGCTGGGAGGCTCCCGGGGGAGCCGGCTGCGTCCCCTCCAGCCTGGTCCATCAGGCTCTGACATGGCCAGGGAGCGGGCCTGCGAGTCCCCGGAAGAGGTGAGGTGGCCGTCTTGTCTGCTTCGATTGCCTCGCCTCCCTGGAGGGTTGGAAGTCTCGCCCTGGGTTAGAGAACAGGGACGCAAGACGGCTTAACAAGATCTCTGTAAGGCGGAACCGGGGCCGGGAAGCGGAGCATTGAGACTAGGTCAGAAAGAACCTGCTCGGCACGCAGGGCTACTCCACCTGCTGCCGCACTGACACTTCCTAGGAGCCTCTCCTGGTGTTAACATTTCTATTTCCAAAAACATCCGCGGGAGGACGGCTGTCACTGTCTCCGCCGTGGGGACCTTCTGAAAGATTGTTAAGGAGAGTCATCTTGTCCCTTGTAGTATGCGAAGGGCTGAGTACTACAGTTGAAATGATGTTTCCAGTGAACTAAGCTGGTTCAGAGGGGTTGTGTGAGAGTGCCCAGATTAATCTTGTCCAACAAGTCAGACTGTGTCCCAAACAGGGAGTGATATGCTTTAAAAGCTGCTTTAAAGGGACCATCCTTCTTGGCGGGCGAGTTACCGGTAATTCTGTGAAACATGTAAGCATCCTTTAAAAGTATCTCTTTAAAAGCAGCCATTTATTAGAGTTTTTCTTTCATTGGCTATGTAACTATGTTTTCACTGAGAATTGCTTATTTTTGAGATTGTAGTCTTTGACTTGATGTCATGGAAGAGTGAGGAAATTAATGCATCCCACAGCACCTCCAAATAGGACAAGGTGATAAAAGATTAAGTCGTAAATGCATGTTAGCATGAAAATAAATTGTTCATATTGAAGAGTGAACATTCTTCAGGATTTAATATAGCCAGATCCAGTACAGGATTTTCGCTTGTTACAAGAGCTAGGGAAATGACAGTGGTATCTAAATGTAGCAAAGTTGTTTCTTTGATTCAGGGTGAATCTTTTTTTCTTAGTCTTTATGATAATAAGTGTACCACTGTATTTAGGGTATGCTGTTGGAAGTTATTAAGGGTAAATCGCTTGACCTTTTTTTTTTCCTCGTTTGGAATTGCAAAAGCTCGAAGTAGTCTTCAGTCTAGGGGCTGAAGTTTTACTCCTACTCCCAACTTTGTCACTGACTTGTTTGGGTGACCTTGGATAAGTTATTTAACTTCTATTTGCACCTCTTTAAAAAGGGAATGTTACAGTGCACGTTGTAATTAATAATATAATAATCATAATGAACTTTAAGGCCCTGAAACACTCAGTAGATGTAAAATATAGTTAAATACTGACTGTCAAATAAGAAGCTGCTGTCTTGACATTGATAATCAGAGTGAAAGGACCAATTTTGTCTCAGGAAATTAAGTTTAGAATTTTAAGTTATAAAAATTTATATTTATATAAAAATACGATGTGCTTAAAAACTAAATTCACTAACTAGCAATTATTAATGTAGGAATTACTTAAAAATTTTTTTTTCTTTGAAATGTTATGACTTCTGAAGCATCCTAATGGCAGACCTTATCTGGATCTGGTAGCCCTGTTTTACATCATAAAGACAGGTTTCTTGCCTGGAAGTATCATTACAATAGTGTTCTCTTTTAGTGGGACGCTATTCCCTGAAGGGTAAAAGGAGGCAAGGTTTTTAAAACCACACCAAAAAATTATTTTAAACAAGATAAATGTGAAATACGTAAATTGCCCTTACCTGCATAATTTGAGTGTTTTAACGCTTTTTGGGTAAAATTTCATTTTCATGTGGTAGTATCTTGTAGATACATTTGCATTGTGTTGCAGATGTTTCTACTCTCTTTTAATTGTAACTTAAACATTTTTTTCCATGAATGAGTTGGCATTTATTTGTTGTTATTTCTGAGTATAAGTGACTTTTTATGACTATTTTCTGATTTAAAATATAGGAAATACATTTTCCTTAATTGGAAAACCAAAATTTACTTTTTAGAGTTAGTAGTTACAAACATATTTTTGACAGTTGGCTATTAAACATGTTTTTGTTTTTGTTTTTAGAGACAGGATCTCATCCTGTTGCCTAGGCTGGAGTGCGGTGGCGTGCTCATCGTTCACTACAGCCTCAAACTCCTGGGCTCAAATGATCTTCCCACTTCAGCCTTCCTAGTGGCTGGAACTACAGGTGTGCACCACCCTGGCTAATTAAAAAAAAAAATGTTTTTTAGAGATGGAGGTCTTGCCGTGTTGCCCAGGCTGGTCTTGAACTCCTGGCCTCAAGCGATCCTCCCACCTCAGCCTGCTAAAGTGCTGAGATTATAGGTGTGACCCACCATGCCCAGCGCACAGTTGGCTGTTTTGACTTTTTTTTTTTTTTTTTTTTTTTGGTCCTTTGAGGCGTGTAAAATTTTACAATAATTATTTGGATTATTCAGAAGATCTAATTTAGATGAGTAAATTCAACTTAAGTCTGTGTGTAAAATGAGTAGAAAATAGGTCTTTTAAAGAACTTAACTCATTAATTACGTGCTACCATTCCTGAGAGGAAACATGGGGTCCTGGGGAAATGGAGTAGGTGAGGAAGTAGTCTAACGTTCATGCTGAGGAGTGCAATCTTGATCCTTTTAAAAGGTTTACAGGTCAGTGTCTGGAGCTAGAAGGAACTTTAGAGTTTGTTATTTCACCCTCCTCAGAGCGAACCAAGGCCAGAGAGGGGATGCAAACCTGTTAGAATTTTTTCTCATAGTAAGGAAAATGAAGCACAGCTGAGTCTAAACCAGCTTAGAAGAGACTGATCCACCTTTTTGATCACAGGGATATTATATACTCCGAGCACTTCAGAATCTACCCCGGCATTTTGCCATATATTATTTTATTAAATTCTTGAGGTAGATTAAAACATCTTTTCACAATCGAGGAAGTTTAGAGTGGGGTTTCTTGTGTGAGGAGATGTAGTTTTGCAAATTTATTTAAAGACAGTATTAACATTGATTTAATACTGACACTAATCATTTTACCAGATTTGAGTGACTACTGTGATAGTAATAATACCAGGCAAGGTGATGTGAGGTATTCAGAGCTAAATAAGACCCTGTCCCTCTCCCCAAAAGACTTTCAACTACTAGCTTTTAAACATCTTTTTTTTTTTTTTGAGACAAAGTCTAGCTCTGTCACCCAGGGTGGAGTGCAGTGGCACAATCTCGGCTCACTGCAACCTCTGCCTCCTAGGTTCAAGCGATTCTCCTCCCTCAGCCTCCCGAGCAGCTGGGACTACAGGTGCGTACCACCACGCCCAGCTAATTTTTGTATTTTTGGTAGAGATGGGGTTTCATCATATTGGCCAGGCTGGTCTCGAACTCCTGACCTCGTGATCCACCCTCCTCGGCCTTCCAAAGTGCTGGGATTACAGGCGTGAGCCACTGCGCCCGGCCGTAAACATCTTTATTACATACTTTGTTCTCCTTTTTTAAAAAAAGAGATTGTGGTCGGGTGCAGTGGCTCATACCTGTAATCCCAGCACTTTGGGAGACTGAGGTGGGAGGATCGCTTGAGCCCAGGAGTTTGAGACCAGCCTGGATAATATATCAATACCCTGTGTCCACAAAAAAATAATAAAAAAAAAATTAGCTGGCCATGGTGGTATGTGCCTGTAGTCACAGCTACTTGGGAAGCGAGGAGGGCTCTTGAGCCGAAGAGTTAAGGTTACAGTGAGCTATGATTGTGCCACTGTACCCCAACCTGGGCAACAGAATGAGACCCTTTCTTTAAAACAACAAAAAAGGGGAGTGGGGCTATGCGCCATGGCTCACACCTGTAATCTCAGCGCTTTGGGAGGCCGAGGCAGGTAGATGACCTGAGGTCAGGAGTTTGAGACCAGCCTGGCCAACATGGTAAAACCCCATCTCTACTAAAAATACAAAATTAGCTGGGCGTGGTGGTGCTTGCCTATAGTCCCAGCTACTCGGGAGGCCGAGGCAGGAGAATCACTTGAACCCTGGAGTCGGAGGTTGCAGTGAGCCAAGATCATACCACCGCACTCCAGCCTGGGCGACAGAGCTAGACTCTGTCTCAAAAAAAAAAAAAAAAGATTGTTTTAGGATGTAGGATAAAAGATGCCAAAGGTAAGGTAGCTGGGCTTATTGGACCAATCCTCTCATTTTATGGACATCTGTTTTTACATAAATATGAATGGCCTCCATTCAGATCTCAGCTTAACCATCACTTCCTCAGGAAATTTTTCTTTGAATCCCCATGGTGTATCAGTTTTACCCTATTACATGTTTTTTTGTTTTGTTTTTTTTTTTGTTTTTGAGACAGAATCTTGCTCTGTTGCCCAGGCTGGAGTGCAGTGATGTGATCTTGGCTCACTGCAACCTCTGCCGCCCGGGCCCAAGTGATTCTTGGGCTACTCCCGAGTAGCTGGGATTACAGGCATGTGCCACCATGCCCAGCTCATTTTTGTATTTTAATAGAGACGGGGTTTTGCCATGTTGGCCAGGCTGGTCTTGAACTCCTGGCCTCAAGTGATTCACCTGCCTCAGCCTCCCAAAGCACTGGGATTACAGGCTCTATGTTCTTAGAGCATCTTGTGCTTTGCCTTCCTAGCACTTTTCTGAATTTGTAATTCTGTGTGATGATCCAACTGTGCCTTCTATAAAACAAAGCTCCCTTAGAATAGGGACATTATCTTTCCTGCTCTCCATCTTCTCAATGCACAGTGCAGTGTCCAGTTTAGAGTTAGGCCCTTGCTGTGTACTTGTTGAGTGAATGACTGAGTAAAGCCATGTCTGTCTATACCAAACTTGAAAGAGATCTTTAGAAGATGAAAAACCTATTCAGTTTTGGGCCCAAAAGTAACTTGGGTATTTTTTAATAGCTCATATCTTTTAAAAGACATTTAAAAATATTGCTAGTAGGTAAAAAATTTAACCTTCTTAAAATAGGGAAATCGTGTAAGAGACAATGAAGTAATAGTAAACAAATGACACAGATTACTTTTGATCTACTTCTGTCAAACCATGTCACCTACAAGATCCATGTACAACTTTTAAAAACTGTTCTCAGGCCAGGAGTGGTGGCTCATACCTATAATCCTAACACTTTTGGGAGGCCAAGGCGGGAGGATTGCAGGGGTCCAGCCTGGGCAACACAGTGAAACCTCGTGTGGGTTCGAGACCAGCCTGGACAACATAGTGAAACCCTGTCTCTACAAGGGTGGGCGTGGTGTCATGTGCCTCTAGTCCCACCTACTTGGAAGGCTGAGGTAGAAGGGTCACTTGAACTGGGGAGGTTGAGGCTGCAGTGAGCTGTAATCGTGCCACTGCACTCCAGCCCGGGCAAGAGAGTGAGAGCCTGTTTCAAAAAAACAAAACAATCAATAATAAACAAAAACTATACTCAGAATTACTTAACATTCAAGCCAAAGAACCTTCCTACCTTCCCACATCTTAAGATTCCAGGTCACAAATGTACTGCCCAGAGAAGTTACTGAAGTGGTAACTACAGGAGGTAGGAAGTAGATTTAGAGGATTCTAAGGTTTTTCCATCTCTAAAGCTTATATGATTCTGTACTCAGTTGTTTTTTTTTTTTTTAAATGGAAATGGATTCATCATTCTATTGGGGAGGTATCTTCATCTCTTTGATTCATTGCCTACTTGATTTGGAATTGAGAGGGGTGGGGTGTTTGGGAAAGCAAGCTGAAAACATTGTGATTTCTAGGTATTTATGCTGGAAGAGTTTTTTTGTTTGTTTGTTTGTTTGTTTGTTTTTGAGACGAAGTCTTGCTCTGTCGCCCAGGCTGGAGTGCAGTGGCTTGATCTTGGCTCACTGTGACCTCTGGCACCCGGGTTTTAAGCGATTCTCCTGCCTCAGCCTCCGAAGTAGCTGGGATTACAGGCACTTGCCACCATGCCCAGCTAATTTTTGTATATTTAGTAGAGACAGGGTTTCAGCATCTTGGCCAGGCTGGTCTTGAACTCCTGACCTTGTGATCCACCCGTCTCGGCCTCTCAAAGTGCTGGGATTACAGGTGTGAATCACCATGCCCGGCTAGAAGAGCTTTATGTTCATGATGCTGAGATGAAGTTGGGGCCAGAAGAAGAGTCAGTTGATAAAAGCTAAAGTATTTTTAGATCCTGATTAAAGAAGAAGGTAATGGGTTGACTTGAGAGAGAATGAGCGTTCTGTTATGGGAATGCTCATATGGGAAATGTTCTGTCTCTTTGTCAAAAACTGCAGGACCACCTGTTGGTGACATTGGAGGAATTCCTGCTTTGTGTGGGAGGGTGAACTAGATGCCTTTAAAAAAAATTTCCCCCCCACAGACTTGTTTTAGATATTTTACTGCTTCAGAGAGGGTCATGTTCACACCATTCTCCCCTTTTGTAATTTTTCACACCTCCCTGGCTCCCCTTTTATAATTTAGAAAGAGGTTTAGAAGTCTGTAACTTTTTGTATTAGATTTACTTTGAGAAATCTTGTACTTAATTTAGTAGGTCACAGAGGGTTGCTGAATGACTGGAAACTTGTGTTTCTTTTCCATTAAGGGCTATTTGCTGACTTCTGAAATATTGATGATTTATTTGACTTTAGAATTTTGCATACTGAGGGGAAAGCATCTTAATGTATCATTTAAAGCAGGAGATACTTTCATACTATACCTGGGTTCTCTTGGCTTTGAAGAGGAGGGTGGTCATGAGATATTGAAAGATTGCATGGGTGGCTTGTAATCCCAGCACTTTGGGAGGCTGAGGCGGGTGGATCATCTGGGGTTAGGAGTTCAAGACCAGCCTGGCCAACACGGGGAAACCACATCTCTACTAAAAATACAAAAATTAGCCAAGTATGGTGGCGCATGCCTGTAATCCCAGCTACTCAGGAGGCAGGAGAATCACTTGAACCCAGGAGGTGGAGGTTGCAGTGAGCCAAGATCGTGCCAGTGCACTCCAGCCTGGGCAACAAAGCGAGACCTTCCCAAAAAAGGAGGACTTCATGGGTAGATATGAGCAATGGTGAGAAGCACCTGGAATATGTCATGGAAGTCCGTGAGATAGTCATGAATGCCATTCTTTCAGCAAATATTCATGGAGTATGCCTACCAGATATGAGGTACTGTTTTAGATGCTGGGTGTAGTCAGAGTCTCTGCCCTCAAGAAATGTGTCACTTATACGATATTTATTATCATTGACTTAATATAGTGACTTAAGGGTAAAGTGCTTTGATGGCAAACTTGAGCTTGAGCAAGCATCAAAACATGGTGGATTTTGTCACTGAGTGGTTTGGCTGTATGGCTAAAGAACCTTGTTTTATTTTATTTTAGTTTTAGTTTTAGTTTTGGAGACAGAGTCTCACTCTATTCCCCAGGCTGGAGTGCAATGGCATGATCTTGGTTCACTGCAACCTCTGCCTCCCGGGTTCAAGCCATTCGCAGGCCTCAGCCTCCCGAGTAACTGGGATTACAGGCACCTGCCACCACACCCAGCTAATTTTTGTCTTTTTAGTAGAGACGGGGTTTCCCCATGTTGGCCAGGCTGGCCTTGAACTCCTGACCTCAGGTGATCCACCTGCCTGGGCCTCCCAAAGTGCTGGGATTACAGGCGTGGGCTACTACGCCTGGCCAAGAACCTTGTTTTAAAAATAGGAAGATTTTTGTCGTCTGGAATTTAGTATCTCAGAGAATAATTCTGTTTGTTTCTCAGTGAGGTTAGTTTGTGCAGTAATATGAAATGTGATCTTGTTTGGTTATTCAGGAGAAGACCTTAAAAATAGAAGTAACCTTAATTGGTAGACATTTCTAATTGGTAGACTTCAGTTTTAATTTTCAGGACACTTGAAATTGACAGCATCAGTGACAAGTTACCTTGGCTCTTGCCCTTAATCCCAGTATTTTAGGAGACCGAGGCAGGAGGATTGGTTGAGCCCCAGGAGTTTGAGACCAGCCAGGGCAACATAGTGAGAGCTCATCTCTACAAGAAAAAATTAGCCAGGTGTGGTGGTGCACGCCTGTGGCCCCAGCTATTCAGGTGGCTTAGGTGGGAGAATTGCTGGAGCCTGGGAGGTTGAGGCTGCAGTGAGCGGAAATTGTGCCACTGGACTCCAGCCTGGGTGACAGAGCTGAGACTCTGTCTCAAAAAAAAAAAAAAATCATAATCCTCATTCATCAAGCATTTATTGATGACTGGTATATACAAGGCACTGCTGTCTATTGTGGCGGATGTGAAGTGTATTTAACACTCCTGTCTTTAAAGAGTTTGGCTTTGTGTGTGTGTGTGTGTGTGTGTGTGTGTGTGTGTGTGTTTGGAACAGGGTCTCACTGTGTCACCTAGGCTGGAGGGCAGTGGCACAATCATAGCTCACTGCAGCTTCAACCTCCTGGGCTCAAGTGATCCTCCCGCCTCAGCCTCCTGAGTAATTGGGACTACAGGCATGTGCCACTGTGCCTGGATAATTTTTAAAAAATTTTTTGTAGGCCAGGCGCGGTGGCTCACGCTTGTAATCCCTGCACTTTGGGAGGCCGAGGCGGGCGGATCACGAGGTCAGGAGTTTGAGACCGTCCTGGCTAACACAGCGACACCCCCTCTCTACTAAAAATACAAAAAAATTTAGCTGGGTGTGGTGGCGGGTGCCTGTAGTCGCAGCTACTCGGAAGGCTGAGGCAGGAGAATACTTGAACCCGGGAGGTGGCGCTTGCAGTGAGCTGAGATCGTGCCACTGCACTCCAGCCTGGGCGACAGAGTGAGACTCTCTCAAAACAAAACAAACAAACAAAAAATACATACATAAATACATTTTTTTCTTTTGTAGAGACTGGGTCTTGCTGTGTTGCCTAGTCTGACCTTGAACTCCTGGGCTCAAGTGATGCTTTTGCCTTGTGCTCCCAAAGTGCTGGGATTACAGATGTGAGCCATTGTTCCCGGCTGATTTTGTATTTATCATTATAATACAAAGTAGAGGATATGTGCTCTGCATGTGGCATAGCAATGTAAGTATCAAGTGGAATTAAGGAGTAAAGGTGAAGTGGAAAAGTATTTCTCTGCCTAGTAGAAGAATATTGCATTGGGTTTCAAATAGATAATTTGCCCTAAAATGTTGTGTGCAGATCATATTTTTTATAAATTTTTAAATTTGTTGCCTTGTATTTCTAATTTCAGAAATGCTTTATTTTTATTTCTGATTGAGCGTAAGATGTCCACTGCTCTTTTAGCATTTTTCTCAACTTTTCAGCTTCTCTGCCAGTTGGTAATTTGTAAATTGAGAAATATTTTGTGTCATCAATTCTATTTTATTTATTTATTTATTTGAGACGGAGTCTCACTCTGTCGCCCAGGCTGGAGTGCAGTGGCTCGATCTCAGCACACTGCAACCTCTGCCTCCTGGGTTCAAGCAGTTCTCTGCCTCAGACTCCAGAGTGGCTGGGACTGCAGGCACATGCCACCACGCCCGGCTAATTTTTGTATTTTTTAGTAGAGATGGGGTTTCACTGTATTGGCCAGGCTGGTCTCTTAACTCCTCACCTCGTGATCCACCCGCCTTGGCCTCCCAAAGTGCTGGGATTACAGGCATGAGCCACCGCACCCAGACGTCGATTCTATTTTGTAGTAGATTTTTAAAAAGTAGATATATTATTCTAAAAACATGCCAAATCAGTTTGTGTTACAGCTTATCTTGCTTTGTATCAATAGGAAAATAGCTTAAATATATAGGTTTTATAAGAAAGAAGCAAGAATCATTCATGAGGAAGGAATTTATAAGGATTTTATATTTACAAAGTAAGAATCAGGCCTGGCATAGGATTACATCACGCCTGTAATCCTAGCACGTTGGGAGGCTGAGGTGGGAGGATTTCTTGAGGCTAGGAGTTGGAAACAAGCCTGGACAACATAGTGAGACCCCATCTCTACAAAAATTAAAAATTAGCTGAGTGTGGTGGTGTGCGCCTGTAGTCCCAGCTACTCGGGGCCGAGGTAAGAGGATTGCTTGAGCCCAGGGTGGGGAGGTCGAGGCTGCACTGTGATTGAGCCACTGCACTCCAGCCTCAGCGACAGAATGAGACCATCTCAAAAAAAAGTAAGAATAATTCAGTAAGAGGGAATATTTTAACATCTTAGTTACCGCATTGTAGATTATTGCTCTGCCATGAAGCTGTTTTTTTCTTTAGTTGACTCACAGCCAGCTTACCCTTTTACTACCCTTTTTTGTTCTGCTACAGTAAAACTTGTACAGGTGCTCATTCTCTTTACTTACTTGGATCTCTGCTTTAGAGCTCTGTCTTGCCTTAATATTTCATTTAATAAATATTTGAGTAGTTTTTGTGTGAAAAGCAGTATGCCAGACTTTGGGAAATCAAAGAAGTATGAGGTATGGGCCCTGACCTTAAGAGTATCATCTAACCAAGGACGGACATGATATTCACACACTCATTCTAAGAGGACTTACTGAGTGCCTGCTCTATATTGTTAAGAATCTCTGCTGTCAAAGAGTTCACAGTCCAATGGAATAATCAAGGGCTTATTCATTCAACTAACATTTATTGGACCTGTGGATCCAAAGATAAATAAGACATAGTCCCTGGCCCAAAGTGCCTACAGTCTAGTGGTGAGACAGATAAGTAAACCAGCAATGATAAGGCAGCTGCTAAAAGGCATTCAGAACTGAACATTGCCTATTAATAGGTGCTGTGTACAGTTGGTGAGAGGATAAATGCATAACTCTTTAAAGTTTATAGCCTTTTTATTTTCTCTTCAAAACCATCCATTGGGGAATTTTTTTTTTTTTTTTTTTTTTTTTGTCATTGGAGAGATTGTAGTGTGTCCACGGATAATGAAGGGCTACAGTAGAGCCTGATGTTAAACCCAAGGCCTGTGCCTAGGCCTCTTACACGAGCTTTTCTGTCAAAAAACGAACTATGACTGATACTGATGTGATTCCTGAGAGTGGGAAATAGTAGGCTAAAAAGTAATTAGGAGGTGTTTTTTTGTTTTTGTTTTTGTTTTTGTTTTTTTGAGACAGGGTCTCACTTTGTAGCCCAGGCTGGAGTGCAGTGGCTCAATCATAGCTCACTGCAGCCTTGAACTCCTGGGCTGAAGCCATCCTCCCACCTTAGCCTCCCATGTAGCTGGGACTACAGGTGTGCACCACCACGCCTGGCTAATTTTTTTTTTGGTAGAGACGAGGTCTTGCTGTGTTGTCTGGGTTGGTCTTGCCTGGGTTCAAACGATCTTCCTTCCTTGGCCTCCCAAAATGTTGGGATTATAGGCATGAACCACCATGCTGGGCCAGGAAATATTTTATAGAAGAGATATGACATGGGTACTCTTTTCTTTTCCTTTTTCTTTTTTTTTTTAATGAAACAAGATTTCACTTTGTCACCTAGGCTGGAGTGCAGTGACACAATCATGGCTCACTGCAGCCTCAACCTTCTGGGCCCAAATAATCCTCCTGCCTCAGCCTTCCAAGTAGCTGAGTCTATAGGAGCATGCTACCACCCACACCCACCTGGCTAATTTTTACTTTTTTTGTTTTTGGACACAGGGTCGGTCTCGCTCTGTTGCCCAGGCTGGAGTGCACTGGCACGATCTCAACTCACTGCAACCTCCGCTTCCTGGGATCAAGGGGTCTTCCCACTTCAGCCTCCTGAGTATCTGGGACTATAGGCACCATGCCCGGCTAATTTCTGTATTTTTTTATAGAGACAGGGTTTCACCATGTTGCCCAGGCTGGTCTTGGACTCCTGACCTGATATCATCCTCCCATCACAGCCTCCCACAGTGGTAGGATTATAGGTGTGAGCCACTGAACCCTGGCCCATGAGTACTCTTTTTCTTCCTCTCGGATATAAAGAAATGATCTGAACATCCCTGGAAGTATTGATAAGAAAGACAGCAAGATTTAAGAGATCACATAATAATAGTAATAGCTGACATTATTAATAACATATTAATCATGTTAATAATAGTGTGGATTATGGATAATTATGGATATTGTGCTAACAGATTATGCAGGGTCTCTCTTTTTTTTTTTTTGAGACAGAGTCTTGCTCTGTCACCAGGCTGGAGTACAGTGGGGTGATCTCGGCTCACTGCAGCCTCCGCCTCCCAGGTTCAAGCAACTCTCCTGCCTCAGACTCCCGAGTAGCTGGGACTATAGGCGTGTGCCACCATGCCCGGCCAATTTTCGTATTTTTACTACAGACGGGGTTTCACCATGTTGGTCAGGATGGCCTGGATCTCTTGCCCTCATATGATCCACCTGCCTCAGCCTTCCAAAGTGCTGGGATTATAGGCGTGAGCCACCGTACCTGGCCCCATGATCTCGTTAAATCTTTGCAAATAATCTTATAAAGTAGACACTATTAGTATCCTTATTTTACAGGTGAGAAAATGAGATTTGTAGCAACTGGATACTTTGCATAGGTTATAAAACTAATAAGCCATTGTCCTGGGGTTTGAATCCAGTTCTGTTCAACCCTAGAACCAGAGTGCTTAACAATAAGCTAGGGACTTATATTGTCAGTAAGCACAGGACTAGGAGTCTCATTGGGAGCTCTGGTCCCTGCCCAAATCTCATGTTGATTAGTAATCCCTAGTATTGGAGGTGGGGCCTGGTGGGAGGTGATTAGATCAAGGGGTGGATTTCTCAGGAATGGTTTAGCACCATCTACTTGGTGCTGCCCTCACGCTAGTGAGTACGAGTTCTCTCCAGAACTGGCTGTTTAAAAGTGTGTGTGGCACTTCCTTGTCTCCCTCTTGCACCTTCTTTCTCCATGTGAAGTGCCTGCCCCCCCTTCACCTTCTGCCATGATTGAAAGCTTCTTGAGGCCTCACTAGAAGCTGAGTAGATGGCAGCACTATGCTTCCTGTAGAGGTTGCAGAACCATGAGCCAGTGAAACCTCTTTCTTTTTTTTTTTTTTTTTGAGATGGAGTCTTGCTCTGTCACCCAGGCTGGAGTGCAGCAGTGTGATCTCGGCTCACTGCAAGCTCCGCCTCCTGGGTTCACGCCATTCTCCTGCCTCAGCCTCTGGAGTAGCTGGGATTACAGGCGCCCACCACCACGCCTGGCTAATTTTTTGTATTTTTAGTAGAGATGGGGTTTCACCATGTTAGCCAGGATGGTCTCGATTTCCTAACCTCATGATCTGCCCGCCTCAGCCTCCAAAAGTGCTGGGATTACAGGCGTGAGCCACCGCGCCCGGCCACCTCTTTCTTTATAAATTACCCAGTCTCAGGTATTTCCTTGTAGCAATGGAAGAACAGCCTAATACACTGCTAGATGAGATTTGCTAGTACAACTTGTGCCCTCCCTAGAACCTCTTTATACTAACTGCTTCCTCTACTAGGAATGCTCACCTCCCTTATTTTATGCATTGCTGGCTCCTTCTTGCTGTTTAGATCACAGCTGAAATGTCACCATCCATCAGAGAACCTACTCTTGACCATCGATTTGTGGTAGCTATTGGCCACCTTCAGTAATATCACTCTTTTAAATACCCTTTGTCTGGGTACAGTGGCTCATGCCTATAATCCCAGCACTTTGGGATGCTGAAGCAGGAGGATTGCTTGAGGCCCAGAGTTTGAGACCTTGTCTCACTATGTTAAAAATTTTTTTAAATGAGCTAGATGTGGTAGCACGCACCTGTAGTTCCAGGGGAGACTGAGATGGGAGGATCTCTTGAGCATAGGAGTTTGAGGTTGCAGTGAGCTGTGCTCATGCTACTGCATTCCAGCCTGTGTTACAGAGCAAGACCCTGTCTCAAAAAAAGAAAAAATCTTTCATATACTACTTACTACTGGTTGTCTTAGTCTCTCAGACTACTGTAACACAATACCATAGATTAGGTAGCCTGTAAAGAACAGAAGTGTATTTCTCACAGTTCTGGAGTCTGGGAAGTCAAGATGAAGGTGTTGGCGGATTCATTATCTGGTGAGGGCTCTCTTTCTGGTTGGTGTCTACTCACTGTGTCCTCACATGGTGGAGGGGGAAGGCAGCTCTGTGGGACCTCTTTTATAAGGGCACCAGTCCCATCCATGGGAGCCACACCACCATGATCTAATCACCCAGAAGCCCCTACCTCCTGATATTATCACATTGCTGATGAGGTTTCAACAAATGAATTTTGAGGGGACACAAACATTCAGACCATAGCACTGGTATTGTCATGTTTACTTATGTATGCATTTGTCTGTCTCTTTCACCTTCCTTATTGAACATAAGCTTCCTGAGAGCATGAATAAGCCTTTCTGTCTTATTCATCATTGTATCCCCTGTTCGGTACCTAGAACAGTGCTTGGCATGTTGCAGGCACTGAAATATTTATTGAATGAATAAATGAGTGTATACTTTGTTGCCTTTTTGTTTGTATGCTATCCTTGATTATTGGTGAGAATGATAACTTCACAGTCTATAAAGCATTTACATAGAGCACTTTAGTTGAGCTTTATGGGAGGTAAGGTCAGGCAGTCATTTATTGTTATTGTTCCTACTTTATGGAAGAAGAAATGGATTCAAGGACATAGATAATAATTGATAGGATTATTAATAATTGATAGGACAAAGACTTGTGACTTTGTCCAGCTTTTACTCCCTGCATTAACCTGAAGCTGCCATCCCAGCAGTTCTGAGTTTAAAATAGACCAACTCATGTTTGGAGCCTTTTTAGAGGTTGAGATTGCTCCAACAGTGCATATTTTGCCTTTTGTACGATGATCTGTGTGACTTTGAGCAGGTTGTTTAACCTCTCAGAGCCTCGGGTTTCATTTTTTGTAAATAGAGATGAGAATATCTGTCCTGCCTACTTCACTGTTTTTTTAGGATTAGTGAGATAATTATATAAACACTCTTTCAGAAATGGTAAGGTACTGTCAAATGTAAGATATTTCTTTTAGTTATACAAGGATATACCAAAGGGCTGCAACTGACTCATTCTACTATCTCTCACATGTGACTTGCTAATTGACTGCTGTTTTCTTTCATCTGGAGCCCTGCAAGGATAAGGGGGAACTGGGTAAGAATGGGGAAAGGAGAGCAGCCTTAGAGAGACCAGAGAGAGATTACTGGGAGAGCAGTGTGGGAATTTTCAAAGGTTGAAGAGACTCTGGGGAGAAGGGAAAGCAGATATAGGAGCTCAGCATTTTCCATCCCTTTGTAGATGTGCAGACTATGTCTGCTCTATTAGACAGCATTGACTCATTAGGGCTCCTTAGCCTGACTAGAATTTAGAGGGTAGCCTGAATGGGAAAAATATTTCACTTTAAAAAATTTATTTATTTATTTTACTAACTTCTGACATTTAACATGTTCCTCAGTTATGAATATAGACATCACAATAATAATGGGACCTGTGGCAATTATCAATGAAAATCACAGACATTTTTTCCTTTTTTTTTTTTGAGAGGGTCTCCCTGTCACCCAGGCTGGAGTGCAGTGGTGTGATGTGGGCTCACTGCAACCTCCATCCCCGGGCTCAAATGATCTTCCCACCTGACTTTCTCAGGTAGATGGGTCTACATGAAGCTTGGCTAATTTTTAATTTTTTTTTTTTTTTTTTGTGGAGACAAAGTCTCACTATATTATAGCCTAGGCTGGTGTTGAATTCCTGGGCTCATGCGAACCTCCCACCTCGGCCTCCCAAAGCATTGGGATTAGAGGCATGAGGCAGAGGCAGCACTCCCTGCCCACAGATGTTTTCATATCACATTGTGGTTGTTGCATGTGTGTCAAATATCATTTACATCCATCACTACTTTGAAATTACCATTAGATCTTTTTTTTTTTTTTGAGACGGAGTCTTGGTCTGTGCCCCAGGCTGGAGTGCAGTGGCATGATCTCGGCTCACTGCAAGCTCCACCTCCCGGGTTCACGCCATTCTCCTGCCTCAGCCTCCCGAGTAGCTGGGACTACAGGCACCCACCCCCACGTCCAGCTCATTTTTTTGTGTTTTTAGCAGAGATGGGGTTTCGCCGTGTTAGCCAGGATGGTCTCGATCTCCTGACCTCGTGATCTGCCCGCCTCGGCCTCCCAAAGTGCTGGGATTGCAGGCGTGAGCCACTGCGCCTGGCCCCATTAGATCTTGTTATTCAATATGTAATTAAGAAATTTTTGAAAAGTTATAGTTATTTAGTATAATACAACTGTACTTTAATGTAGAATTTTTTTTTTTTGGAAACCGGGTCTCACTGCAGCCTTGACTTCCTGGGCTCAAGTGACCCTTCTGCTCTGGCCTCCCAGAGTCCTGGGATTATAGGTCTGAGCCACCATGCCTGGCCATAGATTTCTTTTATAGATTTATGCATTTAAAAACTATTGGGGCCAGGTGCGGTGGCTCATGCCTGTAATCCTAGCACTTTGGAAGGCTGAGGTGGGCGGATTATCTGAGGCAGGAATTCGAGACCAGCCTGACCAACATGGTGAAACCCCTTCTTAAAATACAAAAACTAGCTGGGCGTGGTAACAGGCACCTGTAATCACAGAAACTTGGGAGGCTAAGGCAGGAGAATTGCTTGAACCTGGGAGGCGGAGGTTGAGTGAGCGGAGATCCGCGCCGTTGCACTCCATCTTGGGTGATAGAGCAAGACTCCGTCTCAAAATAAAAAATAAATAAAATAAAAATTATTGGGGCTGAGGTGGGAGGATTGTTTGAGGCCAAGAGTTTGAGGCCAGCCTGGGCAACACTGTGAGACCCCCATCTCTGCAAAAAATTTTTAAAAATTATCGGGCATTGTGGCACGTGCCTGTTGTCCCAGCTACAAGAGGCTGAGGTGGGAGGATCACTTGAACCCAGGAGGTTGAGGCTGCAGTGAGTCATGGTCACACCACTGCACTCCAGCCTGGGCAACAGAAACCCTGTCTCTAAAACAACAAAAAACAGTTGTAAGGAGTCCATGGCACAGAAAGTTTAAGCACCCTGATTTAGGTAAGTCTTCCCTTAACTTCTTTAGTATCTCATGTGTGATTGAATATAAGAAGGGTGACTAGTTTCTTATGTCCTGTGAAGTGTAACTTTTAGCTCCATGAAGAGCTCTCTTGTGGTACTTTCACTCAGCAGTTGCTCATCTAGAATTCTAAGCTGGCCATGCTTTTTGCTTCATTTTTCTTCTTCCTGATCATTCTTGCTGCCCTAACTAGAGGGCAGAATACAAGAACCACTCCACAAGGTGGACTCTGTTCCATTTGGTTCAGATAGTAGGTGATGACAGTGTAATATTTGTCTCAATTGCAGCAGGAACTTTAGAGAAGATTTAATAAGGTGTCATTTGAATTCAGATGGTGGGTCAGCTGAAAGGGGAGGGGATTCTAAACCAAGAGAACTAGAAGTTCAAGGCCTAAGGATGTGGCAGCTGCTGGCTCCTTCTGGGAGTGTGAGCTGCAGTGTGAGGGCTGAAGCTTGTGCAAGGCTTGGGGAGGGTAGGATTATCTTCCTTAGTGGTGGTCATTTAAATGTTGGCCTCTTTTAGAATTCTTAGTATGATTTAAAAAGTGTGTCTTAAAATGTATTTTCTTTTGGTGCTAGTTCCAAAGTAATGTACTACATTAGTGTATTGTCCTCCTTTAGGGCTGAAGTCATCAGATTGTATCAGTGCTGTCTCGGGGTGCTATCGCTTCCCTTCCTTTCTCAATGTTTTCAGCCCCTGCCTCACTGCCACTGTCTCAAGCATTACCCCTGTTCCAGTGCAGTGAGCAATCATTATAACGCCCCTCGTATACACACTCGATCCCAGTCTTGGCTAAAGTGAATCCTCTGCCTACTGCACATCTGCACGTGTGCCCTGCATGTGGTTGAAGGATAGCACATCTGTGCTGCCTACACTCCCCTAAGATTCAGAACCATCACCTTGGAGGGGTGCATGGTGCTGACAAGCAGTTGCACCACACTGACCCCACCCTTCTAGATGACAATTTTTTTTTTTAAGATGGAGTCTCACTCTTGTTGCCCAGGCTGGAGTGCAATGGCGTGATCTTGGCTCACTGCAACCTCTGCCTCCTGGGTTCAAGCGATTCCCCTGCCTCAGCCTCCTGAGTAGCTGAGATTACAGGCATGTACCACCACGCCTGGCTAATTTTTGTATTTTAAATAGAGACGGGGTTTCACCATGTTGGTCAGGCTGGTCTCAAACTCCTGACCTTATGATCCGCCCACCTTGGCCTCCCAAAGTGTTGAGATTACAGGCATTAGCCACTGTGCCCAGCCTAGATGACAATTTTACAACTTTGTCCTCAGATCTTCAATAACCTACTTCCCTATCCTTATTCTTAGTTGATGACTGTACTTCTTATTTCACTTAGAACAATTAAACAGTCAAAAGAGAATTTCTCCAGATTTCTACCCTCACATCTCAGCTTCTGTCTGTACCGGATGCCTTCCCTTCTATTTTTAAGGAAGAGCTCTGCCCCTGTCTAAAGTCACCTCCCCGACTCGTTCGCTAAATCCCACCTCATTTTGGCTAATCGGTATTCTCTGTTTCCTACAAACGTGTCGCTGTTTCTCTCATTTTAAAACAGTTGTCAGGGGGAGAGACTCTTTCTGACACCCACTCATTTTCTTTCTTTTTTTTTAAGGCAGGGTCTCTCTCAGTCACCCAGACTGTAGTGTAGTAATGTGATCAAAGCTCACCGCAACCTTTAACTCCTGGCCTCAAGCGATCCTCCCACCTCACACTCCCAAGTAGCTGGGACTAAAAGGGTGCACCACCACACCCCTGGCTAATTTTTACATTTTTTGTAGAGATGGAGTCTCACTATGTTACCCAGGCTGGTCTTGAACTCCTGGGCTCCAGTGGTCCTGCTTCATCCTCCCAAAGTGCTGGGATGACAGGCATGAGCCACCGCACCCAGCCCACCCACTCATTTTCTATGGGTCATGTGCCTCCAGTTGCTGCTGGCCCATTTCTCAGCTACTTCTTAGAGCAAAGCACCTCTAGTTGTTTAAATTGTCTCAGCCCTCAAAGTGTGATCCACAGAGCTACATCAGCATCATCAGCGGTCACCTGGGAGCCTGTTGGAAGTGCAGAATATTGGCCCCATTTACTGAATTAAATCTGCATTCTAAGACAATCCTCAAGTGTTTCAGGTACACACTAAAGTTGAAGAGGCACTGGTCTTTACTAGCTTTCTTTGATTGTTTCACCGCCTCTTAAAACTTAATCCAGCTGGGTGCGGTGGCGCACGCCGGTAATCCCAACACTTTGGGAGGCTGAGGTGGGCAGATTGCTTTATCTCAGGAGTTCCAGACCAGCCTGGGCAAAACAGACCTCATCTCTATTAAAATTTTTTGAAAAGATCAACGAGGAGTGGTGACCTGTGCCTGTAGTCCCAGCTACTTGGAAAGCTGAGGTGGGAGGATCATTTGAGCTGGGGAGACAGAGGTTGTAGTGAACCGAGATCAAGCCACTGCACTCCAGCCTAGGCAACAGAGGAAGAGCCTGTCTCCAAAAAAATAAAAACCTTGATCCAGTTTTGGGAGGCTGAGGTGGGAGGATCACTTAAGACCAGGAATTTGAGACCAGCCTGGGCAACATTGTGAGACCCTGTCTTTACAAAAAATTTAAAAACTAGCCAGGCATGGTGGTACACATCTGTAGTCCTGCTACTTGGGAGGCTGAGGCGATAGGATGGCTTAAGCCCAGGAATTCAACGCTTCAGTGAGCTATGATCATACCACTGCACTCCACCCTGAGTAACAGAGCGAAACCCTGTCTCTAAAAACAAACAAAAAACTTGAATGCGCTCAAATTATTTCTTCTTGCTATCTGTTTTAAGTGTACAATTGAATGATTTTTAGTAATTTATTGAGTTGTACAATTATCACTGTAGTCTAGTTTTAGAACAGGAGAGATTGGTTTTAAAATTTAATTTTATATTTCAGTTATGCAGAACATTTACATGGTTGCAGCATATAGAACAAGGTTATATTCAGAGAGGTCTGTCTTCTAGTCCTGTCCTCCTTCCCCCTCCTAGCTCCCTTCCTCTAACTATAGATAATATTTTATTTGTTTTTGACTTATTCTTTTGTTGTTACACGAATAAGACAACATTTGAGCAGAGATGGGAAGGAATTGAGGGAACATACTGTGTATGGTATTTTACATCTTGTTTTTTCTGCTTAATGATCTATATTGGAGATCTTTCCATTTTAGTAAAAGAGAGCTTCACTCTTTCTTGTCATTGCTTTGTACTCCATGCTGTGGATGTACCATAATTTATTTGACGACATCACTCTTGATTGATTGATGATCCCTTTAAAAAATATGAATAATGGCCGGGCGCGGTGGCTCACGCCCATAATCCCAGCACTTTGGGAGGCTGAGGCAGGTGGATCACAAGGTCAGGAGATCAAGACCATCCTGGCTAACACGGTGAAACCCCGTCTCTACTAAATATATAAAAAAAAAAAATTAGCCAGGTGTAGTGGCAGGCACCTGTATTCCCAGCTACTTGGGAGGCTGAGGCAGGAGAATGGCGTGAACCCAGCGAGTGGAGCTTGCAGTGAGCCGAGATCGCGCCACTGCATTCCAGCCTGGGTGACAGGGCAAGACTCTGTCTCAAAAAAAAAAAAAAAAAAAAGAATAATGCTGCAGTGAATAACCTCACATGTATGATAAATTTCCAGAGGAGGATCATTTCCTCACATGTATGATAAATTTCCACATGTATGATAAATTTAACCTCACATGTATGATAAATTTCCAGTGGATACACTGGGTCAAAGCATAACTGCATATATATATATATATATATATTTTTTTTTTTTTTTTTTTTTTTTTTGAGGCAGAGTCTCACTCAGTCGCCCAGGCTAGAGTGCCGTGGCACAATCTTGGCTCACTGCAACCTCCGCCTCCCGGGTTCAAGCAGTCCTCCTGCCTCAGCCTCCCAAGTAGCTGGAATTACAGGTGCCTAGCACCATGCTCAGCTATTTTTTTTTTTTTTTAAGACAGGATCTCTCTCTGTCACCCAGGCTGGAGTGCAGCGGTGCGATCATGGCTTACTGTAGCTTCAGCCTCCTGGTCTCAAGCAACTCTTTGACCTCAGCCTCCTGAGTAGCTGGGACTACAGGCTCGAGCCACTGTGCTCGTTTAATTTTTGTGTTTTTTGTATAGACAGGGTTTCGCCATATTGCCCATGCTGGGTTCACTAGTGTGTTTTAGCATTTAGCATACTTAGGAATGTTGTGGTTTACAAGTAACAGGAAACCCATTCAAACTGTTTAAATTTTAAAGGGGTGTATTGGTGTATGTCACTGAAAATTCCACAGGTACAGTGGGCTTCAGGCATGGTTTGATTGGGATGCCAGCTCCGTTTTGCTGAGATTCCATTGGTTCTGCTTTCTACCGTGTTTCAGCCCGGTTTAGGTGGCAAAACAGTGGTGGAAATGTTAGGCTTCACATCACCGTACCACATAGACCAAAATGAGAGCTAATATCCAGGATGAGAATGAACAGCTCTTCTAATCAGGCTGTCATAAAAATAAGGAAGCTTATTTTATAGAAGCCTTTACCAAACCTCCTTCTTTGACTTGTTGTTCCAAATTGGATTAACCAGCCCATTCCTGCGGCCAAGGAAATACGCACTGGTTAACCCAGTCTTTACTAACCCATACCTTTAGCAAAGAGATTGGATTACCCAACAACTTGATTGCTCTGGAGACTACTTTGGAGTTGGGGTATGAGATAGTAGATAGGAGAATGATCTGTAAGTAGATATTGGATAAGCGAGTAAGAAATGCAAACTACACTGAGGTCTTGCACTGGTCTAGGTTTTGGGACCCAGATGTAATAGACATAGTTCTTTTCTCGAGACAAGCTCATAGGAGAACCGGTACAGCAGGGAATACAACACACTGGAATTGGCACATTGAGTGCACCTTTGACTGCATTGTACTGTTTCGTGGTTTAAACCTGTCTTTCCTTTGCCCTTGCTGTTTGACTACTATGATTGAGCTGCCACCTTTTCACACAATATTGGAATTTTTTGTTTGAATCTCTGTTTACCCTACTGGACTGTGAATCTTGAGGGAAGAAACCATATCTTATTGATCATATCAATAAGTGCCTGTACGTAGTAGGCACATTATGTTCATTTTTAAGTTGAACAAAATTGGAACTAATTTGTTGAAATTATAGTCCTCCAACAAGGACTCACTTGAATACATCAGATAATCTTTCTTTCTTTTTCTCTCTCTCTCTTTCTTTCTTTTTCTTTCTTTCTCTTGCTCTCTCACGCTCTCTCGCCCTCTCACACTCTCTCGCTCTGTTGCCCAGGCTGGAGTGCAGTGTGATCTCAGCTCACTGCAACCTCTGCCTCCTGGGCTCAAGCCAGCCTCCCACAGTCTCCCAAACAGTTGTGACTACAGGTGTGTATCACCATGCCCAGCTAATTTTTGTGTTTTTTTGTAGAGACAGGGTTTTGCCGTGTAGCCCAGGCTGGTCTTGAATTACTGGACTCAAGGTATCTGCCTGCCTCAGCCTCCCAAAGTGCTGGGATTACAGGCGTGAGCCACCTTGCCAGGCCCTTAGATAATCTTTCAAAATCCCTTTCACAAGCCAAAATTATCTGCTGGTGACTGGAACTCACAGACAGAGGCTTGCTAGCCCTTTTGCATTGATTGAGAGGCTTTTCAAAATTAATCATTGCTATGATTTCAATATCTGTTCCCACCAAAACTCATTTTAGGATTTAATTGACATGGGGCCTTTAAGGGCTGATGAGATCATGAAGGCTCTGCCCTTACGAATGGATTAATGCCATTATTGAGGGAGTGGGTTAGTTATTATGAGACTGGGTTTGACATAAAAACAAGTTGGCCAATTTCCTGTCTCTGTGTTGGGCACTTGCTTCTGCTTCTGCCATGGGATGACTTCCACCAGATACCAGCGCCATATTCTTGGAGTACCCAGCCATCAGAACCGTGAGCCAAATAAACTTGTTTATAAATTACTCAGTCTGGCCAGGTGCAGTGGCTCACGCCTGTAATCCCAGCACTTTGTGAGGCCGAGGCGGGCGGATCACCTGAGGTCAGGAGTTGGAGACCAGCCTGGCCAACATGGCGAAACCGTGTCTCTACCAAAAATACAAAAATTAGCCAGGCGTGGTGGCGTGTGCCTGTAATCCCGGCTACCCAGGAGGCTGAGGCAGGAGAATTGCTGGAACCCAGTGGGCAGAGGCTACAGTGAGCCAAGATTGCGCCGCTGCACTCCAGCCTGGGTGACAGAGCAAGACTCTGTCTCAAAAAAAAAAAAAAAAAAAAAAATTAGTCTGTGGTATTCTGTTAATAGCAGCAGAAAATGGAGTAAGACAGTCACAACCTCCAATCTTATGTTGTTAGAATTCTTTTGGGATAACCCAGAAGGAAGCTTTACATAGTGTCTTCATTGCCTGAAACTAGCTTTGTTTGGAAGTTTTGCTTTCCCTATCCTGGTGTCCTGGAGAAAATGCTTGCACTCTCCCTTCCAGAAGCAGGTGGCTTTGCTGCTGTCTCTACTTCTTTCCCATTAGTTGCAAGAATTACACTACTCCTTACATTGCCTTTTTCCTCCCTTTAAATTATAGAATCGGTGTACACGTAGTTAGCAAGACTGAAGGCATTATTAGCTCAGCTAATTTAAAAATGATGGCTGTTGTGCTCAGGGCTTTCCTTGATGTGGCAGCAGTCTGACTTTGCCAGGGAGCTCAGAGAGTATCTCACAAGTTGAGCTGGAAAGGGCTTCACAGAACCCTGACTGATACACTGGAAGTGCCACATTAGACCAGGCTTTGGTCCATTTGCCACTCCTGGCATCCCTTTGGAGCCTCTACCCTTAGACTCATGACACCTTTCTCTCTCTTCCTCATGGCCATATATTGACTTCCCAGCCACTTTTAATCATTGAAGACTCCAGTGCCTGACTCACAGCCTTCCTTTCCACTCCAGTTCCCGCCATCATCTTGGGTGGTTTCATCTTCATCACATGACCCAGGAAGTACCTTGGTGCTAGCTTTCTTGGCTTCCATGTCCACCCTACTAATCTCCTCTAGTCCACCTCTGGCACTCTCTCCCACAGTGACATGCGGGATCTTGTCATCAGCTGAAATGGTTTAGCTCCAAAATCGCTAATTCAGATAGAAACAGCCTTCTACTGCAATATGGCCTTGCTTCTCACTGCTCTAATTTCTCCAGGATACTGATGACTCAACTTCATGTTGCCAGATCCATTGGACACCGCTTGGCCCACAACTTCCTTGACCTCTCAGCAGCATTTGACACAATTGATCATCTTCTCTTTATTGAAACATTCTTTGTCTTGACATTTTAACCTCAACTTTTTTTTATACATTTTTGACCCACTCAGTACTTCACCTCCTTTGCTAGTTCTTTCTACTCTACCTAGAATTTAACTATCGGATTTCTTTAATTGCTCAGTCCTCTTCCCTTTTCTTTTCCATTATAAGTTTCTGCTATATCAGAAGTCATATTTCCTTTTTGTTCCTAAAATTGTTTCTTGTGCCTTTTCTCCATCACCAAAGGAAAAACTATTTATTGCAATAAATTAATACAGCAGGTATTCCTGTGAAAGCGCAAGTTAGTTTGTTAGGGCAATTAAAACTTCTACGACATATGCTCCGGCAGAGTTCCGTCTCTGCCACTGGCAGCTTAAGATCTGCCTTCTTGAGAGTGGTTTTTGCCAGTTCCTTTTCCCACTCAGTTGCCTTTTGCTTTCTGGACCACCTGTTTCCAGTCGTGGGTGTGGTCATTTTTGGGTGGAACTGTGGCTCTCCCCTCCTCAGCTCCAGTCATGGGTGTGGTGATATTTGGGTGGAACTGTGGCTCTCCCTCCTCAGCTCCAGAGCTCCTGTGCACTGTCATTTTTCTGCTGCTGCTTGGGTGGCTGCTGGGTTCAGTCACCAGCTTTAGCTTCACCCCTTCATTCATATTTTAATTTTTTTCTTGAACAGACTTATAAGAGTTTGTCAATTAAAATTTTTTTCAAAGAGTCAGCTAGTATCTGCTTTCTGTTTTGTGAATGTCATCTTTATTTCCTTTCTTTAGGTTTACTCTGTTCTTTTTCTAGCTTACTGAATTGAAAACGTGTTCATCCTTTCTTGCTTTTTAATGGTGGCTCAAGGCTGTAACATTCCCTCTAAGTGTTGTTTGAGGAGCTTCTTGTATGTTAGCTGTGTGGGTATAATCATTGTGGTATTAAATAATAGTCTTCAGCATGTCAAGACCTAATTTTTTGTTTCTTTTTCTTTTCTTTTCTTTTTTTTTTTTTTTTTGGAGACAGGGTCTCACTCTGTTGCTCAGGCTGGAGTGCAGTGGTTCGATCACAACTGTCTGCAGCCTTGACCTCCCAGGCTCAGGTGATCCTCCCACCTCAGCCTCCCAAGTAGCTGGGACTACAGGCACGTGCCACCATGCCTAGCTAATTTTTTATTTTTTTTTAGTAGAGACAGGGTTTCATCATATTGCCCAGGCTGGTCTCCAACTCCTGGGCTCAAGCAGTCTGCCTGCCTCGGCCTCCTGAAGTGCTGGGATTACCGGCATGAGCCACTGGACCAGGCCTAGTTTGTTATTTCCATTTTTATTCTCTCCTTAATCTTTGAGTTCTAAGCAAGTGATTTTCTTTTTTTTAAAGACAGGGTCTCACTTGGTCACCCAGGCTGGAGTACAGTGACATCATCACGGCTCACTGCAACCTTCGCCTCTTGGGCTCAAGTGATTCCCCCATCCCCCACCCCCCTTCTCACCCCCAGATTGGACTATAGGCGTGTACCACCACGCCTGGCAGAGACCGGGTTTTGCCGTTGCCCAAGCTGATCTCGAACTCCTGAGCTCAAGCGATCTGCCCGTCTCAGCCTCCCCTAAGCAAGCATTTTTAAGTTTCTATGCTGTTTAATTTTTTTTAACTGATTAATTTATTTGCATTGTGTGGTCATGGAATATGTTTTTATGATATTGGTTGTTTGAGATTTGGTGAGTCTTTCTTTGTAACCTAGTTAAACCATTCCATATCTTTTTAAAAGGATGTATATTCCTTATCTGTTAGGCTGAAGGTGACATATATCTGTGCATGCATGTTTGATGAAGTTTGTAATACTGTTCACATGTCCATATCATTACTATTTTTATGACTGCCCCTCTTATTTATCAGTTTCTGATAGATGTGTTATAAATATCTCATTGTGATTCTGGACTTGACAGTTTCTCTTTGCCAGTTTTGCTTTATATTAAATTCAAAATTGTTAGTCTGTGCATTGTTCTTTGTGTTGGTATACTATACTCTTCATTATCTCTATTTGTTTTTGCCCTAATTTTGTTTTGAGGATTGGACAGTTTATTTTGGTTACTATTTGCATGGAATGTCTTTATATGCCTTACTGTCTTGTCACTCATGAGACTGTCTTTTCCTTTACCTCACTCCCTCCACCTACTTTCACTCTATCACTAATTCCTATTGATTTTCTCTCTGAAGTATATATCTTGACTACATCTGCTTTTGTTTTCACTGCCCTCACTCATCTCACCTGGGCACTGTACAGCCTCTGACTGGTCTCCTGGTCCACTGTTGCTCCCTCTAATCTATTCTCTGGAGAGCAGTCAGTGATCTTTAAAAATGTGAATCGGATTGTCACTCCCAGGCTTGAAAATCTTTCAGTGGTTCCTGTTGCTTTTAGCATGAAAGACTAAATTCCTAACACAGCGTACAAGCCCTGCATGAAACTACCCCTTGCCTACCTTATCAGTCACTCTTCCCTTCATTATATCTTTCTGACTTGCTGGCTTCCTTTTAATTCCTCTCACAAACCTTAACCTTTTTTGACATAGATTCTTCTTCTTATTTATTTATTTATTTGACACAGGGTCTTGCTTTGTCTTCCAGGCTGGAGTGCAGTGCTGCAGTCATAGCCCACCGGTAACCTCAAACTCCTTGGGCTTAAGCTATCCTCCTGCCTTAGCCTTCCAAGTAGCTAGGACTGTGGACATGTGCCGCCACACTCGGCTAATTTTTTTCTTTCTTATTTTTTTAGAGACAAGCTCTCGCCATGTTGCCCAGGCTGGTCTCTAATTCCTGGCCTCAAGCTGTCCTCCTGCCTTGGCCTCCAGAGCACTGGGATAATAGTTGTGAGCCACCGTGCCCAGCCTAGATTCTTCTTAATATACTGTTTCCTTTGCCTGGAATGTGCTTCTATTCCTCACTCTCTGCCCCTTCATCTGTTTAACTCCTACTCCTTGAAATCTTAGCTCATATGTAATTTTGTCCAAGCGTTTTACCCTGACCTTCAGACTAGATCCGGTCTCCCTGTTACCGTCTACCAAGTCGCCTCTCTAATGCATGCCACGGTAGTAATTAAATAAGAAATTGAAATGTAATGTCTCTTTACTCCCTACCCACCAAACTAGATTGCAGACTATTGAGGGCTGATTTTATCTGATTGATTGCTGAACTCCTGTCTATTCTGCATGCTAGCTCAGTGCCTTTGATGCATTATAGGTACTTCATAAATATTTGAATGAATGGATAAATATACAAGGGACTTTGTCATTTACTTATTGACAGTGGGCAGACTGCTATGGTAAGCATATTGTATGCAGTAGGTATTTGGTTAAATATTTTCAATGAACAGTTGTTCGCCTGATCTTTCTCATCTGTGTTTGGTGACATGATATATTTAAAGAACAGCAGGTGGTTATTTGTACCCCTCATTTCTCTCTACTGTATTTCTCTCTTCCCCCCACTTCCCATACATCTCCCATATCTTACCATAGCACTGGTAACAAACAGGTACAGGCATGAAAGAAAGACCTGAGAAATCTGCCTAGTTTAGGAGCTTTTTTAGAAGGCAAGCCTGTTAATCATTCAAATCACTAAATCAATTTGCTGTGTGGGAATTTTTTCTTAATTGGCAGCAGTAAAAAGGAAAAATTTTTCCCCCCAAAGATAAAAATAGAGTAGTTTATTGTAGAAAATTGGAAAACTCAAGGAAGAAAAAAACTCCATATCCCACAGCTGTTAGTAATTTGGTATTTTTACCTGTCAGTCTTTTTTTTTTGGTGTTCAGTTATATATTTTAAGCATAATTTAGGTCCCTAGTACCGAGTATTATGCCTGGCACGGTGTAGGTGCTCAGTAGTTAGAGAATGAACCCAAGTATGTGTTTTTTCAATTTTAAAATGGCTGCAGCTTCCCAGTTTGGTATGTAGATGAGCATTGCTTTTTTTTGATGGTGTTCATAACCTGTTTTAGAGTAGTTGAACTTTATATGAAGGTGTGACTTTTAAAAAATGAGCCCATTAGATCATTGTAAAAAGTTGTTTGGGTTAAATATTTTTGGAGTCACCTGTGAGTTCTTTTTTTCACGATCTACTTCCAGTCCTTTCAGTAGAGCCTGTTGACTCTGCCTCTAAATATATCCAGAATCTGAACACTTCTGCTTCTACCACTACCACCCTAGTTTAAGGAAGCAGCGTCTCTCACTTGGATTATTACAGAGGTCTCCAACTGGCTGCCCACCTCTATCCTTGCCTCTTACAGTCTGTTCTCCTGATGTCAGCCAGAGTGATCGTTTAAACAGTATAGGTCAGATCATATTCTTCGCTGCTTAAAACTTTCTAATGTGTTTCTATAGCGCTTAGAATAAGATCTGAATTGCTTTTGATACAGTGCTTTTCCCCTCCCCGATTCCCCAGTGTGATTTGCTGCCACCTCCTCCTCATTTATTCCATCCATTGCATTCCATGAAGAGCAGCTGCACCCCTCCCCGTCCCACCCGTGGAGCCAATGGTACACGCTCTGCTTAGAATCCTTAGCCCCTCTGCTTAGAATCCCCTCCCCAGTGGCCATGGCGCTGGCTCCCTCACTTCTTCAGGTCTCTGCCCAAATGTGGTTCTGTGAAAGAAGCTTTCTCTTAGCCCTGCCCAGAAAGGCACTGCCATCACCTTTCCACCTCAGTCGTTCCACTCCCCTTTCCTGACTGATTGTTCTTCATGTTCCTTGCTGATGTTCATTTTGTTGCCTGCTTACTGACTAGTCCCACCTAAAATCTACAAGAGGAGGGCTTTATCTGTCTTTGTTGGTGAGATACCAGGATCTAAAATGGTGCCTGAAGCATATAGAATTCAATAAATATTGGATGAATGGATAGTGGATATTCTCAAGTAACTTTTTTTTTTGAGGTGAAGTCTCACTCTTGTCTCCCAGGCTGGAGTGCAATGGCGTAATGCTCACTGCAAGCTCTGCCTCCCGGGTTCAAGTGGTCCTCCTGCCTCAGCCTCCCGAGTAGCTGGGATTACAGGCGCCTGCCACTACACCCGGCTTATTTTTGTATTTTTAGTAGAGACAGGGTTTCACCATGTTGGCCAGGCTGGTCTCGAACTCTTGACCTCAGGTGATCCACCCGACTCGGCCTCCCAAAGTGCTGGGATTACAGGAGTGAGCCACCGCGCCCGGCCTTTCTCAAGTAACTTAGTGAGAAAGTCTGCATTGGGAATTAGGTATTGTGACGTCTCATAGGCCTATTTTATTTTTTAATAGGTAATACGTTCACATGGTTCAAAATTCAAAGAGCATGCAATGAAGTCTCTCACACTTTGCCCTCCAGTGCCACCCTGTCCCCCTCCTCTGAAGTAACCAGTATTAAGTTCTTGTATGTATTTCCAGAGATAGCCAATGTTTTAATACACAAAATTACAGATATAGTTTTCCTCCTTTATAAAAATGCAAACTTTAGCATCTGCACTGTTTTACACCTTGTTTTGATTTGTATACTTCGGAGATTGTTCTTTGTCAATAAAGACATTATTGTGTAAAAGCATCTTTAATGCCTGTACAATATCCCATTGTGTACATTTATCATAATTCTTCTTTTGATGGACATTGATGTTTCTAGTCTTTACACGCTATACTGCAATAAATCACTTTGTACATACATCATTTTGCCTTGTTGCTAGTATATCTGAGGAATAAATTCCTGTGAGGAATTGCTGGGTGAAAAGGATATGTGCATTTGTAATTTTAGAGACATAGTCAAATCGCCTTCTAAAAATTGTACCAATTTTTACTTGTGGCATAGTGTATTGTTATTTTGATCTTTGCTAATTTGACAGATGAAAGATGGTATAACACTAGAGTTTTCTGGTGTTTCTTGTGCTATGAATTAAGCATTGTTTTGTATATTTAAGAGCCATCTGTATTTTCTATGAGTTGTTCATGTCCTGAACCCGCTTTTCTACTAGGATTCTGGTCTTTAAAAAAAAAAAAATTAAGTTGGTAGGAGATCTCTTTTATGATTATTTATTTTTAATTTTTAAATTTTTTTAGAGATGGGATCTCACTGTGTTGCCCAGGCTGGTCTGCGATCGTTCCACCTCAGCCTCTGAGCAGCTGAGACTATAGGCATGCACCACCATGCCCAGCTTTTTATATAAATTAGCCCTTAATCTGTGATCTGAGGGACAGACATTTTGTTCCATTTGTCAGTTGTCTTCTGATTTTGCTCATGGTAGTTTTTTCCTACATAGAAATTTGCTTTTTTTCCCTTTATTTTTCTTCTTCCTCCTCCTTGGGAAATTTCATTTTTGTTTTAATAATTATTATTATTTTTTGACATGGAGTCTAGCTCTGTCACCCAGGCTAGAGTGCAGTGGCGCGATCTCAGCTCACTGCAACCTCTGTCTCCCAGCAATTCTGTCTCAGGCTCCTGAGTAGCTGGGATTACAGGCATGCGCCACCATGCCTGGCTAATTTTTGTATTTTTAGTAGTGACGGTGTTTCACCATGTTGGTCAGGCTGGTCTCAAACTCCTGACCTTGTGATCTGCCTGCCTTGGCCTCCCAAAGTGCTGGAATTACAGGTGCAAGCCACTGCGCCTGGCCTCTCTCTTTTTTTTTTTTTTTTTTTTTTTTAGGAGACAGGGTCTTGCTCTGTTACCCAAGCTGGAGTACAGTAGTATAATCATAGCTCATTGTGACCTCAAGCTCTTTGGCTCAAGGGATTCTCCCACCTCAGTCTGGTGAGTAGCTGGGACTACAGGCATGAGCCACACTGTTGGCCTCTTCTTGTACCTCTGAGGTTTCATTTCTTACATATGATTTCTTTTTGATACTGCTGAGATTTATTCTGGTATAAATTGTGAGGTGAGATTTCACCCCATGTTTTAAAAAACAATTTTAGGATTTCTTGATCTTTTATGTCTTGTCTGGAGAGTAATTTGTCAGCTGTTTTCTGCTAAACTGTGAGTGGTGTAAGACCAGTTAGCTATGCCCTGTGTACTTTTCAGTTTAAGACATAGTTGCCTGTATCTTCCCAAAGATCTTATCTTTCGTTGACTTAAAAATAACGGTGGAAATACAGCCTATTGGGGAGTATTGTGTTAAAACAAATTTTATAGAATTTTCAGTTGGTAAAGATTGATAAGATTAGTAATAATAGGTAATTATGCATTATATTTAAGGAATATGTTTAGTACATTATATAATGCTAACGAAATAGGGATTTTTCTGTTTTTTATTTTTGTTTTTTTGTTTGTTTTCCTTTTTTTTTTTTAATTTTTATTTTTATTGATCATTCTTGGGTGTTTCTCACAGAGAGGGATTTGGCAGGGTCATATGTGGAGGGAAGGTCAGCAGATAAACAAGTGAACAAAGGTCTCTGGTTTTCCTAGGCAGAGGACCCTGAGGCCTTCCGCAGTGTTTGTGTCCCTGGGTACTTGAGATTAGGGAGTGGTGATGACTCTTAACGAGCATGCTGCCTTCAAGCATCTGTTTAACAAAGCACATCTTGCACCACCCTTAATCCATTTAACCCTGAGTGGACACAGCACATGTTTCAGAGAGCACAGGGTTGGGGGGTAAGGTCACAGATCAACAGGATCCCAAGGCAGAAGAATTTTTCTTAGTACAGAACAAAATGAAAAGTCTCCCATGTCTGCTTCTTTCCACACAGACACAGCAACCATCCGATTTCTCAATCTTTTCCCCACCTTTCCCCGCTTTCTATTCCACAAAACCACCATTGTCATCATGGCCCGTTCTCAATGAGCTGTTGGGCACACCTCCCAGACGGGGTGGTGGCCGGGCAGAGGGGCTCCTCACTTCCCAGTAGGGGCGGCCGGGCAGAGGCGCCCCTCACCTCCCGGACGGGGCGGCTGGCCGGGCGGGGGGCTGACCCCCCACCTCCCTCCCGGACGGGGCGGCTGGCCGGGCAGAGGGGCTCCTCACTTCCCAGTAGGGGCGGCCTGGCAGAGGCGCCCCTCACCTCCCGGACGGGGCGGCTGGCCGGGCAGGGGGCTGACCCCCCCACCTCCCTCCCGGACGGGGCGGCTGGCCTGGCGGGGGCTGACCCCCACCTCCCTCCCGGACGGGGCGGCTGCCGGGCGGAGACGCTCCTCACTTCCCAGACGGGGTGGCTGCTGGGCGGAGGGGCTCCTCACTTCTCAGACGGGGCGGCTGCCGGGCGGAGGGTCTCCTCACTTCTCAGACGGGGCGGTTGCCAGGCGGAGGGTCTCCTCCTTTCTCAGATGGGGCGGCTGGGCAGCGACGCTCCTCACCTCCCAGACGGGGTCGCGACTGGGCAGAGGCGCTCCTCACATCCCAGACGGGGCGGCGGGGCAAAGGCACTCCCCACATCTCAGACGATGGGCGGCCGGGCAGAGACGCTCCTCACTTCCTAGATGGGATGGCAGCCGGGAAGAGGCGCTCCTCACTTCCTAGATGGGATGGCCTGTTTTTTATTTTTATTTTTTATTTTTATTTTTTTGGAGGCAGCCTTATTCTGTCGCGCAGGCTGGAGTGCAGTGGTACCATCTCAGCTCACTGCAACCTTCACCTCCTGGGTTCAAGTGATTCTTCTGCCTCAGCCTCACGAGCAGTTGGAACTACAGGCTTGTGCCACCATGCCTGGCCAGTTTTTTGTATTTTTAGTAGAGATGAGGTCTCACCATGTTGCCCAGGCTGGTCTCAAACTCCTGAGCTCAGACAATCCACCCACCTTGGCCTCCCAAAGTGCTGGGATTACAGGTGTGTGCCACCGCGCCCGGCCTGTTTTTTTCTTTTTTTAAAATTATTATTATTATTATTATTATTATTATTATTATTATTATTATTATTTTTATCAATAGGTTTTTGGGGAACAGGAGGTATTTGGTTACATGGATAAATTCTTCAGTGGTGATTTCCTAGATTTTGGTGCAGCCATCACCTGAGCGGTGTACACTGTACCCAATGTGTAGTCTTTTATCCCTCATCCCCCTCCCACCCTTCCCCCTGCGTCCCCAAAGTTCATTATATCATTCTTGTGCTTTTGCATCCTCATAGCTTAGCTCCCACTTACAAGTGAGAACGTATGATGTTTGGTTTTCCATTCCTGAGTTACTTCACTTAGAATAACTAGCCGGGCGAGGTGATTCACGCCTGTAATCCCAGCACTTTGGGAGGCCAAGGCGGGCAGATCATGAGGTCAGGAGATCGAGACCATCCTGGCTAACATGCTGAAACCCCATCTCTACTAAAAATTCAAAAAATTAGCTGGGCGTGGTGGCGGGCGCCTGTAGTCTCAGCTACTCGGGAGGCTGAGGCAGGAGAATGGTGTGAACCCGGGAGGCGGAGCTTGCAGTGAGCTGAGATCGCGCCATTGCACTCCAGCCTGGGCAACAGAGTGAGACTCCATCTCAAAAAAAAAAAAAAAAGAATAATGGTCTCCAGCTTCATCCAGGTTGCTTGGAATGCCATGATTATTATTATTATTGTTACATTTTCTTTATCCACCTGATTGATGGGCATTTGTGGTGGTTCCATATTTTTGCAATTGTGAATTCTGCTGCTATAAATATGCATGTGCAAGTGTCTTTTTCATGTAATGACTTCTTTTCCTCTGGGTAGATACCCTGTGGTGGGATTGCTGGATCAAATGGAAGATCTACTTTTAGTTCTTTAAGGAATCTCCATGCTGTTTTCCATAGCGGTTGTACTAGTTTACATTCCCACCAGCCATGTAAAAGTGCTCGCTTTTCACCACATCCACACCAGCATCTGTTATTTTTATTTATTTATTATTATTATTTTTTGAGACAGAGTCTTGCTCTGTCACCCAGGCTAGAGTGCAATGGCACAATCTCGGCTCACTGCAACCTCCACCTCCTGGGTTCAAGCGATTCTCCTGTCTCAGCCTCCCGAGTAGCTGGGACTACAGGCGCCCGCCACCATGCCTGGCTAATTTTTTGTATTTTTAGTAGAGACGGGGTTTCACCATATTAGCCAGGATGATCTCGATCTCCTGACCTCATGATCCACCCACCTTAGCCTCCCAAAGTGCTGGGACTACAGGCGTGAGCCACCATGCCCAGCATTTTTTGTTTTTTAATTATGGCCATTGCTACAGGAGTAAGGTTGTATCATATTGTGGTTTTGATTTTCATTTCCCTGATAATTAGTGATGTTTAGCATTTTTTCATATGTTTACTGTCAATTTGTATATCTTCTTTTGAGAATTGTCTATTCATGTCCTTAGCCCACTTTTTGATGGGATTATTATTATTAATTATTTTCTTGCTGATTTGTTTTAGTTTCTTATAGATTCTAGATATTAGTCCTTTGCTGGATGCACAGTTTGTGAAGATTTTCTCTGCAACCCTGTGGGTTGTTTACTCTGCTGATTATTTCTTTTGCTGTGCAGAAGTTTTTTCATTTAATTAAGTCCCATGTATTTATTTTTGTTGCATTTGCTTTTGGGTTCTTGGTCATGAAATCTTTGCCTAAGCCAATGCCTAGAAGGATTTTTCCGGTATTATCTTCTAGAATTTTTATGGTTTCAGGTTAGATTTAAGTCTTTGATTCATCTTGAGTTGATTTTTGTATAAGGTGAGAGATGAGGATCCAATTTTATTCTTCTACATGTGGCTTACCAATTATCCCAGCACCATTCATTGAATAGGGTGTCTTTTCCCCACTTTATGTTTTTGTTTGCTTTGTTGAAGATCAGTTGGCTGTAAGTATTTGGGTTTATTTCTGGATTCTCTGTTATGTTCCGTTGGTCTGTGTATCTGTTTTTATACCAGTACTATGCTGTTTTGGTGACTATAGCCATATAGTATAGTGTGAAGCCAGGTAATATGATGCCCCCAGATTTTTTTCTTTTTTGCTTTGTCTTGCTTTGGCTATGTGGGCTCTTTTTTGTTTTCATATGAATTTTAGGATGGTTTTTCCTAGTTTGGTGAAGAATGATGATGGTATTTTGATGGGAATTGCATTGAATTTATAGATTGCTTTTGGCAGTGAGGTCATTTTCACAATACTGATTTTACGCATCCATGGCATGGGATGTGTTTTCATTTGTGTCATCTGTGATTTCTTTTAGCAGTGTCTTGTAGTTTTCCTTGTAGAGGTCTTTCATGTCAATGGTTAGATATATTCCTAAGTATTTTATTTTATTTTTTTGCAGTTATTGTAAAAGGGGTTAAGTTCTTGATTTGATTCTCAGCTTGGTCGCTGTTGGTATATAGCAGAGCCACTAACTTGTGTACATTGATTTTGTATCCAGAAACTTTACTGAATTCATTTATCAGATCTAGGAGCTTTTGGGATGAGTCTTTAGGGTTTTCTAGGTATATGATTATATATCATCAGCAAACAGCAGCAGTTTGACTTCCTCTTTACTGATTTGGATGCCCTTTATTTCTTTTCTCTTGTCTGATTGCTCTAGCTAGGACTTCCAGAACTATGTTGAATAAAAGTGAAAGTCAGGGCTGGAAACGGTGGCTCACGCCTGTAATCTCAGCACTTTGGGAGGCCGAGGTGGGCAGATCACGAGGTCAGGAGATCGAGAACATCCTGGCTGACATGGTGAAGCCCCATCTCTACTAAAAATACAAAAAAATTAGCCGGGCGTGGTGGCATGCACCTGTAGTCCCAGCTACCTGGGAGGCTGAAGCAGGAGAATCGCTTGAACCCAGGAGGCAGAGGTTGCAGTGAGCCAAGATCGCGCCACTGTACTCCAGCCTGGGCGACAGAGCGAGACTCCATCTCAAAAAAAATCAAGTGTAAGTGGGGCCGGGCGTGGTGGCTCACGCCTGTAATCCCAGCACTTTGGGAGGCCAAGGCGGGCGGATCATGAGGTCAAGAAATCGAGACTATCCTGGCTAACATGGTGAAACCCCGTCTCTACTAAAAACGCAAAAATTCGTGCCCGGCTGAGGATTTTTACATCTCCGTTCGTCAGGGATATTGGTCTGTAGTTTTCTTTCCCTTTTTTTTTTTGGTTATATTCTTTCTGGTTTTGGGTATTAGGGTGATACTGGCTTCATAGAATGATTTAGGGAGGACTCCCTCTTTCTCTATCTTTTGTAATAGTTTCAGTAGGATTGGTGCCAATTTTTTTTTTTTGAAACGGAGTCTTGCTCTGTCTCCCAGGCTGGAGTGCAGTGGCGCCATCTCGGCTTATTGCAAGCTCCGCCTCCCGGGTTCATTCTCCTGCCTCAGCCTCCTGAGTAGCTGGGACTAGAGGCGCCTGCCATCACGCCCGGCTAATTATTTGTATTATTATTATTTTTTTTAGTAGAGATTGGGTCAGGCTGGTCCTGCACTCCCAACCTCAGGTGATCCGCCTGCCTTGGCCTCCCAAAGTGCTGGGATTACAGGCGTAAGCCACCGTGCCCCACCTTGCAGTTACCATTTCTACCATGTGGCTAACTTGCCCGAGATTTGTAATGGTTCACTTTACTGATGACATCAAATCCAAGCTAAGCCTAGTAAGTTACCCTGTCAGTGCCTCTTCAAAATCTCTCTATCATCATTTCTCCTGATGAGATTCTCCCATTCAGATATTGAACTAGCTGAGCTGAGACCATTGTTTTCACACACTTGTTTATCTATTTGTCTCACTCTTTTCTCAAGTGCCTTCCCACATATTTCTACTTGCCAATGCCATTGCCCAAGTATTTTACTTCTTACGTTTACAGAAGCTGTGAGACTGCAGGAACTGTGAAAAACATCGGTATTTGTCCCAGTGTTACTAGGCAAAAGGGGCTTGCTGTCCAATGTGCCAGAAGCCTGTACTGTGACACTGGGTTTTTGAGAAAGTTTTCTCAAAACCCAGTGAAGGGAGTCTACTAGCTATGAGAAATATAGCCAGATGAGAATCGAGCCACTGGGTTTTTGAGTATTTTCTCAAAAACCCAGTGTCGTGATATTGGCTTTCTTTTTATTGCAAGTCGACTCACAAGGAGTCAGGAGTTCAGCTCAAATCTGTCTCTCTGTGCTGGCTTTAAGGCAGTAACTTTATTAGAAAAGCTTTAGGGAGTGGATTCTGGGAGTAGCAGGTGATTGATATAAGGAAAGGGGTGGTCTGGAAAGTCTTCAGGCTTCCGCAGTTATCTATTCATGCCTCCTCATGGGTCCCATGTGCAAATTTGGGGGAAGTTAGTATGAACCATGTGGTAGAAATTTAAGCTTGTTCTACACAAACTCCAGTCACCTATATTGATTCCAACCAATTTTAGCCTGTTATGTTTTCTGTCTTACAAGTGGAGGGCATGTCAGTAAGTTGTTTCTTTTCTTATCTGCAATCCTGCAAACTTGAGAATTTCTGTTAGTCATTGGTGTCTTTAACTCTTGGGGTCATGGTTTCACCAGTCCTGAAGGATCCCTGTGCCTTGGCATCCTCATTTTTTATAACATGAGTTTGTATCTTTTGTAGGGTGGTGGAGTTTGAGATCTGTATATATGGGGTTGAATTGTTATGTGGCTAGGTGCAGTGGCTCATGCCTGTAATCCCAGCACTTTGGGAGGCTGAGGTGGGTGGATCGCTTGAGGTCAGGAGTTCGAGACTAGTCTGGCTAACATGGTGAAACCCCGTCTCTACCAAAAATATAAAAATCAGCCAGGTGTGGTGGCATGAGCCTGTAGTCCCAGCTACTTGGGAGGCTGAGGCAGGAGAATTGCTTGAACCCCAGAGGCAGAGGTTGCAGTGAGCCAAGATCGTGCCATTGCACTCCAGCCTGGGCTACAGAGTGCGACTCTGTCTCAAAAAAAAAAAAAAAATTGTTTGGCGTGTGTGTATTCCAGATCCTCAGTGAGTTCCTTGTAGGAATGGACCATGTTTGTGCACCTCTTCTCCCTCTCTTCCCTTACACCAGTGGTTCTCTTAGGCGTGGTCCCTGCCCAGCAGTATCAGCGTCCCCTCAGAACTTGTGGCAATGAAGATTCTGGGCCCCTGCACTTGAACACTGCATCAGGAACTGTGAGAGCAGGCTCAGCAATCTGTGGTGTAACTAGCATGCCAGGTAATTCTGATGGGCTAGTTTGAGAACCACTGCCTTATAGGATCTAGTATTGGTTTACCTCACAGCGAACGAAAACTCAGCTCACTGACTATTTAATTTGTAGACTATACTAATCACTGCTGATTTGTTTCTATCTCATCACAGCTCCCATTTACTGAATAGCTACACTGGGCTAGGCACTGAACTAGGTGCTGTCACATGCATTGTCCCTTATGATCTCACAGATACTTTGCAGAAGAGGGAGTGGCGCGTCCCACTTTATATTATATAGAGATGAGAGAGGGGAATCTCTGAGGGATGTAGTAACTTGCCAAGGCTACACAGCTGGTAAGTGGCAGCCGGAGATTTCAGCAAGGCCTGTCAGACTCCAAAGCCTATGTTCTTTCTAGCACCCCACCCCGCTTTTCATGTAAACTCTTGCTCCCAGAGAATGCGTGTGCCTGTGTGGCTGTCATGTGGTTTTATAATAAATGGTTGTAATACCTGTATTTCTAGATTTCTCTCCTCATATACTTAACCCACCCAATAAGCAGCAACCTTTCAGCTTTTTAAAAAAAGACTATTTTCTATTTAATAATATTCATTTATTTACAATGTGTCAGAATTAGGAGGTATTATAAAAGCGGCCTTTGAGATCATATTCTAACCTCTGTATTTTCACAGGTAGAGCCATCATATGTGCTACTCTATTTTTGTCTCAGAAATTAAACTTTCATTGAGGTGTAAATTGGTATACTACACAGTTCTGACCTCTGAACTTCTAACTTTTTTTTAAAGTATTTTTTTTTTTCTAAAAAAAAAAAAAAGAAAGAAAAAAGAAATGGGGTCTCACTATGTTGCCCAGGCTGGTCTTGAACTCCTGGCCCCAAGCAGTCCTCCCATCTCAGCCTCCCAAAGTGCTAAGATTACAAACATGAGCCACCACACCCTGTCTGTATTTATAACTTAAAAAAATTATGCTACATCAAGTACAGTAAAATCTTAACTGATTGGAAAGAGTAATTTTACTGGTTTAACTTTGCCCTTCCTCACCCCCTTCATTTTCAAATCCCTCCCCTCATATTTGTACATACATTTTCCAACAGGTGGCTAAATATTAACTTTTATTTTTTAAATGCTTTGTAAGGAATCAAATACTTATTTCCACGCTAACTCACTGTAGTTCTTGGTTTGAGTGCATTTAAAAAATGTAAATTGATACTATTAATAATGATAACAGTTACGTCGGGACGGTGGCTCACGCCTGTAATCCCAGCACTTTATGAGGCCGAGGCAGGCGGATCACTTGAGGTCAGGAGTTCAAGACCAGCCTGACCAACATGGTGAAACCCTGTCTCTACTAAAAATACAAAAATTAACCAGGCGTGGTGGCAGGCGCTTGTAATCCCAGCTAGTTGGGAGGCTGAGGCAGGAGAATCACTTGAACCCAGGAGATGGAGGTTTCAGTCAGCTGAGACTGCACTCCAGCCTGGGCGACATAGCAAGACTGTCTCAAAAACAAAACAATAATAATAATAACAGCCAGTACTTACATAGCACTTACTTTGTTCCAGGTATGATTCTGATCACTTTACATATTTTAACTCCTTTAATCCTCGAACGCTGCCTGTAGCAGGGTCACTGTTGTATTAACCCCATTTTCCCATTTTGTGGAAGTGGTGGTATATAAAAGCAAATAGCTTGTTCAAGCTCACAAGACAGAACCTGAAGGCATCTTGGCTCCAGAGTCTCTGCTCTTAACCACTCTTTAGAGTGTCTTGCACGTTTTCAACCAGAGCTTTCTCTATATAACATATCACTTTACACTTTTAAAATAGCATACTATTTATTGCAACTCCTGGGTTCAAGGGATTCTCCTGACTTAGCCTCCGGAGTAGCTGGGATTACTGCTTGGGGTGAAGAATTCTGTAAGAATTTTGTGAGAGCAGGGCAAGTACTCAGGCTTGCTGTGGGCAACAAGAAAAGTGGGGACGTTGTGTTATTTTGGGTCTCTTCATATTTAAAGACAAATCTAGTTGTAGTACTCTACACGGAGGAGAGATCAGATCTTGCTGTGTCACTTTAGAGATTCTCTTTTGGTTTGTAGTCACAGCTGCTGTCTATGAGACCTGCTGCTATTTGGAGCTTTACCCTTTGTCGTAACCATGTGAGGGGCTGGCCTGCATTTCTTAGCTTTCCATATCTTTGTACCCTAGTTTAAAATTGCTGCCTGTTTCCGCCATCCTTGTATTTGCATACAGAATTTTGCATACATCCTTGCTGACTAGAGTTTTTTTGGTGAGTATTTGGCTGCATGGCAAAGGGATGATTTTCCTGAAGGTGGCCAAAAGCTTTGGAAAGAGCTGTGGATGTGGTCTTTGTCATTAGTTCATCAGGACACATTCAGCTTGAAAGCTTTGAATTATCAAGAGGCAAGCAACTCATGTCTTCCAGTACAGTTGCTGTCTCCTGAAGAAGGCTGGCAGCATTCAGAACATAACTTATGAACTTTAACCAGATGAGTGTCATTTGGTTTATCCTAAATTTAATGAGTTTGGGTAAGTCTTCTGTAGTTCATGGCACTGTGTTATAAATAATAGAATAATTTCAGGTTCTGTCTGGTAGTTACTGTCTGATGTAGAAGCAAGAAGACCACAGGTGAGAGGAGAAGGAGACTGAGAAATGAGGGCTTTGGGTTAGATTACCTTAGTGCTCTTCCTAGTTTCCTGGGCATGGTGTACTTACAGTGAATGAGATCAGAGCTCCGAGTTGAGCTGCTGTGTTAATTGGTTGTATGATTTTAGGCAGTTAACTTCTTTGGTCTGAGTTGCAGCATCTTGAGAACAAGTGTGACTTTTTTTTTTTAATGACCATTCACCTGAGGTGACTTTTTAAAGTGCCACTCCAGCTTTATCTATTATCTGATCCCCTGATGTAAGACTTAGATTACATAAGATTTTTCCATATTATAAATATATTACAGAATTATTCACACTGGGAAATGAGTTGCTTCTGTAGTCTACTTCTTTGGGAATAGCTTTATATTTAACTTTTAAGCTAGTAGTTGCAAAATTTTAATTCTATATATTACGTCATATGAGACTGCAGTGCATTATACGAGATCATGAGTGGTAAGCTTAGCATAGAGCATAGCCATAGCATATGTGGAATTGTTGACAAGCGTTAAGTTTTGGATTATGGTTGATTTTAGCCTTCAGTGTGGAGCTTCCTATTCAGTTCTAAGTGGGTTGGCCTGCTAACCTACATTTTAAATACAGCACTGTCCCTTATTGAGACTACAAATACACCTCCTTTCCCTTTCAGTGTAATATTTTTATTTCAGGTTTCAAGATTTTAACTTCTAAATGCTAAAAATATTACTGAATACTTGAAAACAAATTTCACTGTGTAACCCTTTTAGCTGTTTCTTCTGGATTAAGGGTAGTGTAGGATTCAGTTTTCCTAGAATCTTTAGAAGACTGTAAAATTGGTGATAAATTCTCAGTTCAGTTCTTATGAAAAAGATATGGATTCATATTATAAATATATATTAGAGAAAAAATAGGGAGCTAAACTTGGAACAGATTGGATTTCCCAAAGAGGACTCTGGGGAAAGCTATCTTTATTTGCCACTGTAGCAAATTAAGAGCACACAGTGAACTGTTCTAACACTGAATGCCATTTGAAGAGTAAAACAAAAGAACTAGCCATGGCTTCCTCATCTGTTGCCTGAATGGTTGGCTTCTTTAAATAATTTTCCTGGCCTCTCTCCTCTCATTGAGTGATGTCACTGATGCCACAGAAAGATGAGTAATAGACTCCTGTGGTCTTAATTGGTGTGAAACTTTATGATTTGGCCTGT
The DNA here is from genome assembly GCF_000001405.40 of Homo sapiens. Taxonomy (NCBI): domain Eukaryota; kingdom Metazoa; phylum Chordata; class Mammalia; order Primates; family Hominidae; genus Homo; species Homo sapiens. The sequence continues at coordinate 102,182,491 of NC_000014.9, forward strand.
TTGGAATATATTATCATCTGTTGATGATATATCATTCCCATTCATGCATTTGCTCAGTGTTACAGTAAGCTTCCTTTTATTGTGAATTTTACTGTTCATCAAGTCACAGATTTTTCTGTGACCCTAATACCAAGCAATGACATGCTTTTAAACTACTAGAATAATTTTGAAATAGTTTTAGTAGTTTTTTTGGTTATTTTTTTCTATTAAAAAATTATATATAATATATGATTATTGACAAAAAGGCAAAAAATATTATCTAAATATTACCCCCTCTTTTAATGGTAGACACTTTTAATATTTTGGTGAATATCTTTTCAAACTGTTTTCTTTGCAAATATGTACATGTAAATAAATATATGGCCCAAACAGAATTAGACTTTTTTTATTCCATAAAATACATATATATACAGGTGGTGCATACCTGTAATATACAGGTGGTACATACCTGTAATCTCAGCTACTTGGGAGGCTGAGGCAGGGTAATCACATGAACCCAGGAGGTGGAGGTTGCAGGGAGCCGAGATTGCGCTACTGCACTCCAGCCTGGGCAACAGAGCTCTCCGTCTCAGAGAGAGAGAAAAAAAAAGAAAGTTGTGCCATGAACATTTTTTTTAGGTTATTTGAGGATATTCGACATATATGACAAATGACTAACAGCACAAGTGCCAAGTGAGTAGTTGCAGTGATGAACTAATGCTGTTGAACTTCCGATGAAGGCGAGATCAAAGCTTTTCCTCACACTAGTATTTGGAAGATCAGCTCTCTGTTACCCAAATTGATTTGAGGCTGTATTCTTCAGCTCACGCCTGGTTGGATCAGAGATTATTTGAATTACAGAAGCCAAGTCAAGCATTTTGGCCACTTGTTTTAGTAGCTGATCTCCATTAATGTTTAAGATATGTTTAATGTTCTCTCACTCTAGCTCTTTTGCTTCCTGTTTGAAACACAGCAGTGTACTATGTCCAAAATGCTGTCATATGATATACAATTACTGCTACACGTGTTGTTTATTGAAATTTTAGACATTACAGATTCAGTAGCTTGTTCTAGCTGACGCTGGGTGATTGAAAAGGGAGAAACAGCTAGATATGGTTAAAGGTGAAGTTGTAAGCATTATGAACCTTGGGCAGATCACCACCTCTTCCTGGGCCTCAGTTTCTCTGTAGGATGAGGAAATGGAAGTTTGTAGGCCCTCTGCACAACTGGGGACTTAGGGCCGTTTTCACTTAGGATGGGAACTCTTCTACCGATTGTTGCTTATGTTACTCAGCAACTTGAATTGGAAATTTAAAATCATTTATGTGCTCTGCTGAATATAATGAGCCCATGGATGGCCCAAAGGTTAGAACAACAACAGTGTAGTAGTTAGGCAGCACACAGGAATTACTCTCTGCTCTACAATGCTCTGTAATTTACCAGTGTTGTCTCAACACTTTCAGAAAGGCATAGAATTCTATCTTTAAAAAACATTTTTTTCTAAGAATTTGAAATCATCTTTTGCAGAAATGAATGCATCTTGCCTTTTCGTCAGTGTGAGATACTGGTATTCCCTTTAGAATGGGAATACGTATTCCTATACATATTTAACAGAAGGGTTCAATAAAAATAGGTCATTTGAATATGTCAGCATTTTAATGTGATGAGATCTGGTGTTAGTATGTGTGCAAATTGAATTTATCTTGATGTTTATTCATAGCTTTTCTTTAATGAAGAAATCAGTATTTCATTAGCCTAAGGAAGCCTCACAACAGCCATTTGTGGTGACTTGCCTTGCGATAGGAGATCTAACCTTCCGTGGAGTACAGCATCAGAGAATGAAGAGCTGGTAAAGATGTTGCAGTGTAGCTGTTTTTTAAGTTCATCTTTAAGAAGCTACTCTGAAGGAAGAGAAGTAGATTGTAATAGCTAGCAGTTTCTAAATGACAGGCTGCCTTAGGAAAAAGTGACATGTGAGAACAACAGAAGCTTGTTATTTCAGCAGATGCTTGACTGAGGGTGCTAGGCCAGGGAAGATGCTGCCACAGAATGTCCGCCCTCTGCTTGTTCCTGCTTTCCCCTGGTGGCCACCCTCTCCCCACCCGATGCAGAGCTCCAAAGGAGGGGCTTTTGCTGGCCCCTGGGAGAAGCCATCTGATGAGCAGCAAGCAATTCCAGAGATTGTCACTGTGAAATTTTTACTTAACGCATGTTACGCACTTTGTGACTGTGTGTCTCTTCTCATTTTGGGATGACATGAAGGTGATGTTCCACACGTCTTACATCTTGCTATTTGCTGACGTTTGACTTATTGTCTTGCCTGCCTCCCCTCTGTCTAATTCTCTGTGCCGCCTCTCAAAGCCTTGCTGCGGCTAAACGCAGCCCCTTGAACGTGGTTGGCCGGGGCTCATTCCAGGTCAGAGCCCATCAGAAGCGCGCTAGAGACAATGCACCAACGGTTGGTCTTTAGTGAAGGGGATGGGTTTGGAATGCCAAGCAAGTGTGGGCTGTACTAGTATGTTTGAGAATGAAGGAGGAATGGAAACTAAGAAAGAGAAGCTACTGTTTTGTTTTGGAAGATTATACTGGAAGGAAAACCTGCTGAAAGTGGGCTTCCACTGCTGCTGTCCTTCTGCAGGAAATTTAGGGCAGAAAGAAACATCTCTGTTTTTCCTTATGTCTGTTTCTTTGAAGGTATTAATGAATGATGAGAATTTTCAAAGCCCATATGATAAGTAGCAAGTCCTTATGTATTCAGAAGGAAACTAATGTTTCCCGAGTGCCTTTTAAGTGCCAGGGATTCTGCTGGGACTTATATTATTCCATTTTAATAAAATAATTCTGTGAGGCAAATGATTGAAAAGAAGAGGTAGATCTGGAATCTGGGCCACACTGAGAAAGGCTGGAATATTTGAGTCCCACTTCAAGAAGCCTAGGAACATGGAGTTACATGGTGATAGAATCGTAGAACTAGGTGCCACCTCACATGTCTGTTGCATCACCCCAGCAGTAGACGGCGGTGCAGCAGAAGGCACACGGGCTGGAATTTCGATGGCCAGACTCTACCACTGGGTTCCTCTGGGCGGCTGATTCTATTTTCTTGTTTACAAAATGGGAGTGGCAGTTGTACTTACTGCGCAGGTTTGTAGCGAGGTTTCAAAAAACTGATCCATGGAGGTGCTTTGTAAACTGTAAAGTGATGTACTAATATTTACTGATGGAGACTGTTTGCTTTCATGGATGGACACCCAAGAAGGCATTTATTCTTAGCATTTTGGTCAGCAAAAGAATTATCGAGATTGCGCCACTGCAGTCCAGCTGGGCGACAGAGCGAGACTCCATCTCAAAAAAAAAAAAAAAAGCATTATATATTTGCTTTTATATACATTTGGCTGTAGGTCTCTTGGTTTCTATCACTTCACTGTTCTTTTCCTCCATTTTCAGAATTGTTTCCTTTCTGTGACAGATATTCAGTGATAACCTTCTGTGTGCCAGGCCCTCTATTAGATGTTGGAGACAGGGAGGTAAATAACACAGATAAGTTCTTGTCCTTTTTGAAATGAAACACTGAAACTGTACAATTGATTACTGTTTGTTTTTCCTATGGGCATAAGTGACCCAAGCCTAACTGACTTCTTATGTTTCTGACATACATATATTTTAAACAAGTGTTAGGCTCTTTACATACTGTTAATGCCAACTGTTCAGATACGTTGGCTGTAACTACTGAATTGAAGATACTGTGAGAAACATGGATTGTGTGGGTCTTTCCATAAGGTAAACCTGGTTTTGTGGCCCCTTCAAGGGCAGCGGTGGGACTGTGGAATTGGCATCTGTGTGGTGCTGTGCAGCTGATTGTTACTTGAGCGTTAAACTGTTCGCCTACACATGAAGTGTGGGCAGTTGAAGGTGTTTGAAAATCACTGTGTGGTATTTTTGTCATTAGACCCACCCAGTTATTTCCCATTATGTTGAAGAAAATTTTGGTTACATAGTTGAGCTTTGTTCAAAAGGTGAATATCAGCTCTGATTGGCCAAGGTCTCTTTTCATCTTCAGTGCCTCCCCCCACAACACCCCCCTCCGGTTTCACCAGGGTGACAAGCAGATGTGGTCCAGCCCCAGGCCCTGGACTGTGGACTAATCAATCCCTAACAGGCACTAGCAGCCCCAAGCCTGACTAGGTTAAAAGTTCCACCAAGGGCCGGGCGCAGTGGCTCACATCTGTAATCCCAGCACTTTGGGAGGCCGAGGCAGGCGGATCACGAGGTCAGGAGATGGAGACCACCCTGGCTAACATGGTGAAATCCCGTCTCTATTAAAAATAAAAAAAATTAGCCGGGGTGGTGGGGGGCGCCTGTAGTCCCAGCTACTCGGGAGGCTGAGGCAGGAGAATGGCGTGAACCCAGGAGGTGGATCTTGCAGTGAGCCGAGATCGTGCCACTGCACTCCAGCCTGGGGGACAGAACGAGACTCTGTCTCAGGAAAAAAAAAAAAGTTCCACCAAGAAAACCTGCGGAACAGTCTTTGCAGTGTGGTTTATTTTGGATCTCAGGTTTTAAGATAGGCCCCTAGTCGTTCCACTTCTTTTCTAGTAGGTGATCCTTTGTGGCCCTTGGAAGTAATTTCTTGGCCACTTTTGGTCCCTGTTTTGGTTGTCTGAGATGTGGTCAAGAGGAATGATAATAGCACTACAGTCGTTCTCTTCTGATTTTCAAAATGGCTTATGGCAACCTTTGATGTTACTCAGACTGCTCCAGCTAGTTTTGATTAATTCATTCAGGCTGTCAGTGACTCAGCAGCCTCCTGGCTTCTTTCTTGTTTTTAAAAGGAGCTGGACTTTCACAATATATGGAACATAGTTAACATATTGCAGCTAATAAGTGTGGCACATAATGATAGGCATCGGTGAAGGGGTCTGGAAGAATGTCACACATAGGCTGGGGGGGGGCTCAGGAGGACATGACATCTCTGCTTTTGTGAATATGAGGATAGGGGACTTTTTTTGGGTGAAAGAAGGAATGGCAGGAAAGGCAAGGTGTCAGAAGCACAGGCAGCAGCCAAGGGTCTTTGGGGTAATGTATGTGGAGGGGCGGGGGTGATAAGGCCACATTGGGCAGCCTGTGAGTGCTAAGCTGTAGGCCCTGCAGAGCCGTGGCAGTGGTGGAGTGGGAGAGTGACCTAAGGCTTCCCGAAGATGTGTCTGGCAGAGTGTAGGGCGAATTGCATGTGATTGGAAATGGGTGGAAGGAGACTGGCACAGAGCTAGAGAGGCTGAGCTAAGCTGGGGAAACCCAGGCTGGATGAGGGCCCTGAAGCTGTCCTTTGGGCAGGGGTGCCAGGCAGGGGACCCAACAGAGCGCCAAGTATAAAGCTGGTTGGGGTGGGGCTTAAGGATGGGAGGAGTGGACTTAGGAGGTAGAGAGTGCTTTGGGTGTAGGCCAGGTAAGTTTCTGGTCTGCCTGCATTAGGCACTTGGTAGCTGTTAGCTATGCCAGTAAAAGGATCTTTTACTTTTCTGGCAAGACTCTGCAAGACCGGTTCTCTCTTAGGTGATTCTCAGGTGGGGATGGGGAGGGAAGATGTGAAATTTAGGGAAAATAAAACTACCTTTATTACCTACACTATTTCCACCTGATTCATTTAAAATTATGTCTAAGATTATAATTTGACACACATTTTTCAAAAGAGCTCTGAGATATTTTTCATACCACATCAGATGCTTCTGGGCACTGAGGAGTTTTATCAAGTAAAACTTTACCAGGCCTATGTGATGTGACATGGCTGTTGCCTGTGATGCCACAGGCTTCCCAAAGCCCCCTACTGAGGCCCACTAAGTTGGTGGGAACCAGGCTGCAAGCTTTTTGCCTTTGGTGGAATAGCCCCTCTCGGGTTCAAGTCCTTCCTCCACATTTCTGTCCACTCAGCAGCATTCCTGAGGGAAGAGTGGGCAGGCAGGGCTATGGTGAAGGCATGAACTGGAACTGGAGGGCTTCTTTTGCAGACCCTTTGTGGTACTGGAAAGAAATTCCTCAAGGACCTATAGGCTCATTAGTGCCATGCTAAACTGACCCAGCTGACTCTGAATTTCAGTAGTATTGTTCCAGAAAAAAATTCCAGCCAGGCATGGTGACTTACATCTGTAATCCCAGCACTTTGGGAGGCTGAGATGTGAGGGTTCTTGGAGCCTAGGAGTTTGATACCAGCCTGGGCAACATGGCAAGACACTGTCTCTACAGAAAATTAAAAAAAAAAAATTAGTTGGGCATGGTGGCACGCATCTGTGTCCCAGCTACTTGAGAGGCTGAGGCAGGAGAATCAGTTGAGCCCAGGAAGTTGAGGCTGTAGTGAGCTGTATTTGCATCACTGTACTCCAGTCTGGGCAGCAGAGCGAGACCCTGTTTCAAAAAAAAAAAAAAAAAAAAAAATTCCAGAGATCTTAAGGATGAAAAGTCTAAGGAAGGCCAGGTATGATGGCTCATGCCTGTAATCCCACCACTTTGGGAGGCCAAGGCAGGCAGATCACTTGATGTCAGTTCGAGACCAGCCTGGTCAACATGGTTGAAACCCCGTCTCTACAAAAAATACAAAAATTAGCTGGGCGTGGTGGCACGTACCTGTAATCCCAGCTACTCGGGGGGCTGAGGCAGGAGAATCACTTGAACCCGGGAGGCAGAGGTCGCAGTGAGCCCAGATCGCACCACTGCACTCCAGCCTGGGTAATAGAGCGAGACCCTGTCTCAATAATAATAATAGTAATGAAGAAAAAGAAAAAGTCCAAGGAAAAGAGAAGTATTACATTTAAAAATGTTTACTTACTGATCGAGGCTTTGGTAACTAGTTGTTTCTTTAGTAGGAATTTTAAAACTATCACTTAAAATTTTTCTATTAAGTTGAGAACTTAATAAGTATGATGAGACTGTCAAATTATTTGTAATCAGTAACTCCTTATGCAAACTCATGAGCATAATGATAAAATTTAAACTTTCCATAGAAAAAATTAAGAAACAGTTGTGGTTTAATGTATTCTACAAATACTTAGCCTCTGTGCCAGGCTGGATACCTCTGCTGGGGCTGAAGACCAAATACCCGATTCTTAAAATGGATAAGAATGTTTAATAAATTGGTTCTTCTATAAATTCATGTTTATCTGTCAGAATCTGAGTGGAAAAAAACTTACGGTGAAGAACTTAGGTAATTGATAATAATTGGGATGCAAACCATTTTTTGAAATCTCAGTGTGTAGAATCTATCAGAAAGCTGAAAAAAACTAATTTTGTGGAACTATACAGTGGTAACTGTTTAATAAAGTTCTCCTTAAAAGAGTTTTTATTATAATTTTATTTTAATTGATTATAACAGACATAAAACAATTCTGAAATCATATAAGTGATTAAATATTAAATGTTGTGGAATGAATTAAGTACTTGAGAATTCAGATACAGGAGCAGCACAAAGAATGGTTGGGAAAATCCTTGCTGTGGGCGGTGGGACGTGAACTGACGGGCACGATTCCTGGGGAGGTGGGCAAAGGAGACTGTCCCTACCAAGAGGGTGACGTAAGCCAAGAAAGAGGGGCTGTCTGCTCTGGCCATTGCTTATGAGTTGTGTGGAGGGCCAGTGAAGGGTGGAGAGGCAAGATGGTGTAGAGCTGATAAGAGCACAGCCTCATGACCCTGAACTTCCTTCCAGGTCCCTCATCAATGTAATGTGGATACATTAGTACCAGCTTTGAGGGGTGACTAGGATTGGATTGGATGATGATTGTAAAGTTCCTGGTGCAGGCCTGGCACATAGGAAGTGTTGATTAGGCCAGGCGCAGTGGCTCACGCCTGTAATCCCAGCACTTTGGGAGGCCAAGGCAGGTGGATCACCTGAGGTCAGGAGTTTGAGACCAGCCTGGCCAACATGGTGAAACCCTGTCTCTACTAAAAATACCAAAAACAAACAAACAAACAAAAACAAAAAACAAAAAATTAGCCAGGTGTGGTGGCAGGCGCCTTTAATCCCAGCTACTCAGGAGGCCACGGCAAGAGAAACACTTGAACCCGGGAGGCAGAGGTTACAGTGAGCCAAGATCACACCATTGCACTCCAGCCTGGGCAACAAGAGGGAAATTCTGTCTCAAAAAAAAAAGTGTTGACTAGACAGAAGGTGATATTGCTGTTGGGGAGGATGGGGCTGAACCCTGGAGGGCAGGGGTGCTAGGTACTTTTTCCTACATTGACTTGATAGAAATTAGGAGGCCACAGGCCAGGTGTGGTGGCTCACGCCTGTAATCCCAGCACTTTGGGAGGCTGAGGCGGGCAGATCACTTGAGGTCAGGAGTTCGAGACCAGCATGGCCAACATGGTAAAACCCTGTCTCTACTGAAAATACAAAAATTAGCCGGGCATGTTGGTGCATGCCTGTAATCCCAGCTGCTGAGGAGGCTGAGGCACAAGAATTGCTTGAACCTGGAAAGTGGAGGTTACAGTGAGCTGAAGTCATGCCAGTGCACTGTAGCCTTGGCAACAGAGCGAGACTCTATCTCAAAAAAAAAAAAAAAGAAAAAAATTAGGAGACATTTTGATTAGAGATAAGATGTGGCTGGAATTAATGAATAATGGTAGCTACCCAAATACTTCTGTGTGCTCTGTGCTTTCTGTTATCTGCAGCCTTCACCATTGCCTTGCAGGGGAGGGGTGGGCCTTTGATCTCCTATTAGTGAGAGGAAACTTGCACTTTGCCCAAGGCCACTTGGCTACCAAGAGGGAAGGCAGGATTTGAACTTAGGCTTGCCTGGTCTGGGCTCTTTCTCTCGCTACCAGACTGCCCCTGCCTGGGAAGCCATCTGCCAGGGGCTGATGACCCCATGGGGAAGAGGAATAGCTGGCTTGGGTGGTTACTCCTGCTCCTAAAAAGGTATGTGAGCTCAGAGTGCATGTTGGCAGACACCCCATCCCCCGCCCCCCAGAAGAGGAGGAAATAGGATGGTCACTTATCAGTGGAAATTGAGTTAGAACTCAGTGATTAATGGAAAGAGGACAGGCGAGTGGGAGACGGTTGTGCTTGGACATGAAGGCAGGCACTGGGTGACCTGGCCTTTCTCTATCTGGGGTGGGGCTCCAAAAAGCTCTGGCCCAAGAGTGGAGTCCATAGATTTTTCAGAAATACAATTTTTTTTATGGGCACATAACCTAGCAGTCACTTCTGACTTCTTGGTAATTCTTACTTGGTAAAGGTGACATGTTGCCTGGCTGGACTTCTGCTGTTCCCGTTTGGTCAGTGCCACTGGAAAGGGATTGGGGAGGGAGGAGTGACCTTAGGTGAGAGAGATTCTAAGTGTTCCTTGGGGTCAGCCAGGTCTACTTTTGTGTCTTCTAGACAGTGCCACTCACACTAGTGTTGACAGATCAACTTTAAAAAAATTTTAGTCTATGTGGATTGATACTTTTGTAAAATAAAAAGAATTAATAGGAAAAGAAACTGAAAAAGACATACAGAATATAAACTCTAACTTTTTATCATTACATTCAACAGATATAAAATTTGTCCGTTGCCATAAAAGTTTCTAAACTCTTATTCTCAATGTCTGTACTACAGGCAGTGCATTTGACTGCAGACTAATAAACTAGTCCTGGACTGGTACACTTCAAGAGCAGTGACCTAAGAAGAAAGTTTGTTAAGCAAATTAGTAGAATAAACAGGATATTTTTAGAATATTTACCTGAATTTTTTTTTTTTTTTTGAGACAGAGTCTCGCTCTGTCACCCATACTGGAGTGCAGTGGCACGATCTCGGCTCACTGCAAGCTCCGCCTCCCAGGTTCAAGCGATTCTCCTGTCTCAGCCTCCCGAGTAGCTGGGACTACAGGTGCCCACCACCACGCCCGGCTAATTTTTGTGTTTTAGTAGAGATGGGGTTTCATCATATTGGTCAGGCTGGTCTCAAACTCCTGACCTCAGGTGATCCACCCGCCTCAGCCTCCCAAAGTGCTGGGATTACAGGCGTGAGCCACCGTGCCTTCTGGCCCATTTTACCTGATTTAAGAGTAAAAATAATCTCTTCTCATTTAAAATGCTTCCATCTTTTCAGTAAAGTTCCATATTGGGAGGCAGGGATGTAAAAATATACCAATAACTGAAGCCATTATAGTTGTGAGGGGTCCCTAAGTCTAACTCTAAACTGGTGGCAGTACTTGGAAAAACAGGTGCTTTTACTTCCTCTGTTGTTTCTGAGAAACATTACGTATTTTTTAATTTATATTAGGCTATTTTCTCTGTTAATTTCTGGCCAGCCTTTAAATTGATCTGTGTATTTCAGCGCATAATTTTAGGTATATTCTTTCAGGGGAAAGTTCCCTAAGTGGTTGTTGCTGTCATTTGTCTTGCTATGTCATCTAGCCTGAAGTGCAGTGGTGCAATCCTAGTTAACTGTCACCTTGAATTCCTGGGCTCAAGCAGTCTTCCCACCTCAGCCTCCTGAATAACTGGGACTACAGGCATGCACCACCACACCTAGCTGATTTTTTATTTTTCTTAAGCAAACTAAAAAAAAAAAAAGTCTCAAGAGTTGAATATGCTGATACAGTAATTATGTATAACTTAATTGTTCGTATTTCAAATTGGATTTTTGTTCTCTAGCTGCCAGTTATATCTTATTTTATATTTGTAGGTTTTTTTTTTGTTTTTTTTTTTGTGGCTGTCTTCCTCGTTCTGAGATGAATGGCATGTGGTGTTCTCTCAGGCCAGGATTCTCTTTCCCTGCCATCCGAGCCGCTCAGAAGCTGCCTTCCTCAGACAGCCTGTCCGTGGCCATCGTCCCAGGCCCCGCTGCTCACTCGCAGCACTCGGCTGAGCTGCCTTCAGCCTGCCTTGCTGTACAGCGGCCGCTCCCCTCCACTGGCCGCTTTTCTCCTCGCTCCAGTCAGGACTCCCTTTTGTTTTGTATCATGCTTTGTATTACACTTTTCAAGGCTCTTTCATGTATATATTCTCTTATTTCATCCTCCAGACAATCCCATGAGGTTGGTAGAACAGAGATTCTCATCTCCGTTTTAACTGAGGTGAGGCTGGGAGAGTGTCCGCATGGCATGCACCCTCATTCCTTTGCCCTGGGGCTCCCAGAACTACTTGTTACCGCTCAGGTCCAGACTTCTACATGTGCAAGGTTTTGAGTTTGCTCAAAGACGCCTGTAATTTTGAGGTCCTCTTTTCTACTCATTACTTATATTTGTTATTGGAAAGTCCAACATTAGAATACTTGGTTCGATGTCACAGGCCTCTTTGGAAGAAAGAAATCTTCAGAACCTGAGGGGGCGGTCAGTAGAGAACTAGAGCCGGGAGCCCCAGAGGGCCACACAGCGTGAACTGGGTGTCTTGAGGGACAAGTTCTGCTTCAGGGTTAGTTGTCTCCACTGGAGATTTTCAGACAAGAGTGGGAGGGGGTGGGTTTCCCTTATTTCACCAATAAAAGCCCAGCATATTGGGATGCCACAGGACATTTCTCATGAAGAAAAGAATCCTTCTTGAAAGTGGGGAGGGCACATTGAAAAATCACTTTTCACCCAAGTGAGAAATCATTTGCTTTTGACTCTCTCTCCCCATCCCCTTAATGGTCAAACAGACCTGGGTTCCAAATCCAGCCCTGCCACTTACTTAGGTAGGTATGGTGACGTTGGTCAAGTTATTTAACTTCCCTAAACTTGTTTTCTCATCTGTAAAATGGGTAAAATATTGTCCACTTTGGAGCATTATTGTTAGGATTAAGGACAATGCATGTAAAGTCCTTTGATTATGGCCTCGATAAGTAATGTTCCCCGAAACCTAATCCAGAAGAGGGATTTTGACCCAGGAAGGGAGCCACCTGTATAGAGTGGGCTCCAGCAGTGGTTCTTAGACTTGAGCGGGCATCAGAATCACCTGGAAGCCTCTTTACGACTTGCTGGCCCTACTCCCATAGTTTCTGATTCATTTAGTCTGGGGTGAGGTTTGAGATTTTTGCATTTCTAAGTTCCCACATGCTGCTGCTGCTGCTTCTGGTTTGGGGATTACACTTTGAGAACCACTGGGCTGCAGGTAACTGGCCAGTGGGCATGTAGGTGCTGTAGATACATTTGAAAGCCGAGCTTTTTATGTGGTTACTCTGTTAGACACTGCTTGAAATGCATTTTGAAAATACTGAATTTAATATCTCAAGGATATTTCCTGCTGAAGTCCAGGAGTCTTTGTTACATATATTTGAAGGAGAATAAGTTGTGAAAGTAACAGTTGTAAACATATTATAGATAGTCTAATAATATCTAATTGGCTAAGGTATGTGAAAGTGCTTTTATAAAATGTTAGATGATGTTAAGTCACAACTGAAAAAACATTTTAAATCACTTTGTTTTTAAGATGAAACATCATAATGGAGTATAAAGTAGCATAACTTAGATTTCTCATCTCAATGTGCTGTTTACTGTATGTATTTTTCTCTTTCTCCTCCAGGCTGCTGACTTGAGTAAACCAATAGATAAAAGGATATACAAAGGAACACAGCCTACTTGTCATGACTTCAACCACCTAACAGCCACAGCAGAAAGTGTCTCTCTCCTAGTGGGCTTTTCCGCAGGCCAAGTCCAGCTTATAGACCCAATCAAAAAAGAAACTAGCAAACTTTTTAATGAGGAAGTAAGTAGCACCCTGTCTTAGCTGTTAAGAATCCCTTTAAGAGTTGATACATTCTTACCGAGGGTAGTCGGCCTTATTTTGCACTTCAAGCTAAGCCCATTTTTTATTCGCCCAGCCCTCCTACCTAGTATGCCCAAGTTTAAATGTGGTGGATTAATTTGTTGACCTTACCTGTTCTTCCTTGGGGTGACTGTTTTGTGCATTTTTATGGAGCATGCTCAGGTGTCTATAACAGGTGTTTTAAAACTCTTCTATAATGGAGATAGGGACAGTACTGTAACTCGGTATTTATAATTTAAGTAAGAAAATGTGGAATTCCAAAGTTGGTTCACATCACCAGAACATTTCATGCAGATCAAAGAACTTGATGACATTTCCTTAGGCTGCTTAAATTGTAGCCAAAGCTTTTGTATGTATGTTTGACAGTCATTTGGCTAAGGAGTACTTCACTTGCTCTTGAAAATAGTTACTGTAAACTCATCTTTGACATAGTTGGAAATCCTGGCGCTTAAAGTTTGGTCACATGACATAGCTTTTGCCAGTGTTGTAGTATGTACTGGGGTTTCTAGTATCTTCAATTTCATTCTGGAAAGAGCCTGAGATATCTGAGCTGTCTGTTCAGGAACATGTCAGGACTGTTAAATGTGGCATATAGAAATTGCCAAGTAGATTATATTTTTTAAAGCTGTTGGAGCATCTTTCAGCCTCAAGTATTGCTATTTCATATTTAATATTCTTCCTCGTCTGTTTCAGTATGACTTTTCTACCAAGTGGAAAAGATAAGGTAGGCTTGCTGAGTTAGAAGCCCTGGGTTCCAATCTCTACTTGGGACCTTGCCCCTGAGGCGCAAGGGTCAGGCTATGTGGGACCCCCTCCCTTTTGCATTGTTGCATGGTTTTAACATCATTAACTTGGAACAAAAACACATTATAGAGTATGGTTTTTAAGAAATAATTTTGTTTGGGGAAGAAAATTCAAATTGACAAATGGCAGTTAAAATTTGGATTCTTTTGCAGTTATGGTACTTGCTATTCATGCAAATCAGTATCCACCCAGGGTGCTCCTGTTTGACATTGCCAGTGGATTTGATAAGATCTTATGAACCATGCCATCTCTTCTAGTTTCCTCTGAGTTGACTGGAAACAAAACTTGCCATCTGGACTGACAGATTGTAGAGGAAAAGTATTTAATCCCATTTTCCATTAAAAAAAAGTTAAGCAGAAAATATTTTATTTACCTAGATGTTTTTTTAGTATCATCTGCAGAAGTGATTTCTAAGTAGCTGGATGATTATTTTTTTGGTGCTGAGTTTGGGGAGCAGCGCACAAAATTGGCCTCCTCTGCACTGTTAGCAGAAATTGTGAATTTGGAATCATTGTGGGTTTTTATTGTTTAGGTAGGGGAGAGTGTGATTGGAGGGGGCAGGGATTGGAGCCATGTAAGGGCTGTTAGTAAACAAGACCCGGAGGCAGCCCTGGCCGAGGATGGTACAGAATGCCGCTTAGAGAACAAGAAAGTTTTGTGTGTCGTGGCAGGGGGAGGGCAGGGAGTTGGAGACCACACGTCCCCAGAATCTCAGGGCTCTGGGAGCACTCAGGCTGCATTGGCCAGAACTATCCCTGCCCTGGTGACTGGGAGTTGCAGGCTGGAAGGCAGCTCCTCATTCTTCATGATTTAAGCATGAGTTATCTCATACTCACTTTACATTTTATTTGAGAAATTGCTATTTAGAATGCTAAGACTGTGTGTGGTTTAATGCCAGCTTTGCATTTACAGCTTGAGGCTGAAATCGATTGCCCTTCATAGTAAGGAGATCCTCTGGCCATGTGGATACATTTTTATCAGATTTTGGTCAGAATGTCTAAGAGCAAGGGTCACCGGAGGTTTGTTCCTTAGAGAGTGCCAGGAATGGTGGTGAAGTAGTCATCGTGTCGTGCTTTGCTGTGGTGTGACATTTACAGGTTTCAAGGCACTTTTACCTATGGCCTCTACAGGGAGGGTGGGGAGTTGTTCCCATTTTACAGATGAGGAAATAGTCAAAGAGCACATAAGTGAATTGTCCAGATCAGGTAGCAAGTTGATGATAGAGTTGGAACCAGAAATTAATTCCAGAAACTCATTGGTTACAGGACCCACCATGCATGGTTGCCAGATGAGCTCTTGCCCTTCCGGGAGCTCACAGTTTAGTAAGAATGGACAGAGAGTACTGGGCACGTGTCAGCACAGCGATATGAACAAAATACCAAGGGCTAGCTGCCGCAGGAATTCTTTAGTATGCATTTTAAAGTTTTTTAAAATGTTAAGTTCACTGGGGGAGTTCCAAGAAATGCTTTTAGAAAGTGATGTTTGATGTGGGTCTTAAAGGGTACATAGTCATTAGAGGAGGGTAAGGAAGGCCTTCAAAGCTGGAGGAACAACTAGGCATGTGAAAGAACATCCAGTAACAGCTTGGCCACATCACAGTGTGGGACTTGGAGTGTCAGAGTTCGAAGCTGGAAAGATAAATTGGAACCAGCTTGTCTTATAAAAGCCTTTTCATGTCACGTGAAGCAATTTGGAACTGACACTGGAAGATGTGGGGGAACCTTTGGCCTTTTAATGAAGGGAGTGACAGGATCAAATGTGTTTTTTTAGAACTCTTGTCAGCACTTGTGGAAGGTGGATTGGAATGAAGAAAGACAGAATGAAGGTAGCAAGACCAGTGAGGAGGCTCTAGTAACTGTCCAGGTGAGAGCTGAGGGCTTGAACTAGAGTTGCGGCCATTGTTTCATTCATTCAGGACCTTGACTACCTACCACATGCCCAGCACTGGGTCTGCAGCAGTGGGCAAAACCTGCCCTCCTGTGACCCCTCTCAGGAGGGAAGAGAGGTATAATAGCACCACCCCCGAAACACTGGTGACCACAGATGGTGACACTTTGTGATGTAAGAGGCAAGAGAGCAGGCCCAAGAAAGGGAGAGAATCACAGAGGTCTACTTTATTTATTTATTTATTTATTTATTTATTTATTTATTTATTTATTTATGAGACAGAGTCTTACTCTGTCACCCAGGCTGGAGTGCAGTGGCGCAATCTTGGCTCACTGCAACCTTCACCTCCCAGGTTCAAGCTATTCTTGTGCCTCACCCACCCAAGTACCTGGGATTATAGGCCACCTGACTAATTTTTGTATTTTTAGTAGAGACGGGATTTCACCATGTTGGCCAGGCTAGTCTGGAACTCCTGGCTTCAAGTGATCCACCCACCTCAGCTTCCCAAAGTGCTGGAATTACAGGCGTGAGCCACCACGCCTGGCCAACACAGAGGTCTACTTTAAACTGGGAGGCAGAGGACATCTCTCGGACGAAGTGCTATGTTTTAAGCTGTGCCTCATGTGAGAAGAAGGCCAACCAGGTAAGGAACTGGAGATGGAGCTTTCCTGCAAAAGGAATAGCACATGAGGGCCCTTGAGCCCAAGGAAACTGAAAGAAGGACGGTTTACCTGGGGAAGGTGGCATGAAGTAAGGGCATGAGATTGGAGGGCCACATCACCTACGGCCTGATCCAGATTTGTTTCTTAGCCTGAAGTACGGGATTCCTTAGAAGGGAGCAGGTGCACAAGGCAGGCAGATTGGTGTTTTTGAAAGGTACCCTGGCTGCTTTTTGGAGACTGAATTGGAAAGGTGTATTAATAAATCAGGTTTCTGGGTGTCTCTTGCTGTGTTGGGTGAGACTGGGAAAGGAGCAGTTGTCAGGGAATGGAGGGGAAGATCAGAGGTTCTGGTCTGTACTTGCTAAGTTCGAGAGACCTGTAGATAGTGGGATGTATGGATCTGGAGCACAAAACTAGGGGTTACAATTTGGCAGTTGTCAGCATAGAAATAATAATCACATCCTTGAGATTAGATGAAAGGTTCTTTGGAGAGATGATGGTGAGAACAAAGAAGGCCTGGGTCTGAGGCCTGATTATACTCCAAGATTCTGGCCATCTCAGCTACTGCTTTCAAAGGGGCACTTAACACACAGTTAATTACCACGACATTTACAACTTCACAGCCCAGAATGCTGAGGGCTCGGACACCAGCTCTGCCACTTTCTGCTTGCAGGATGATGTGGGTCTTACCTCTCCTCGGTTGGAAAATGGGTGGGAACAGCACCCACCTGAGAGGTTTGTGATGAGGCTCAGATGAGTGAGTTCAGGCAGGGTGTTTGTGAAGGGCCTGAAGAGCGAGCCTTGGTGGATGCTCAGCAACGTGGAGGTTGAGAGAAACTCAGGCTTCCTTTCCTGGGAGGGGTGGTGTTGGACGGAAAGGGTTCCGTGGGAGGTGAGATACCAACCGTTTTGAAATACAAATAATTAATTTTTTAGGACAAGCAGGTAGGAGCATGGCAACCCAGGCAGAGAGTCAACATGTGTGAGGCTGAGGGTTGGCCCGCTGGTCACAATTACAGCAATGTGGCCTTTCAGTGTTCCTCACCAGAACACCTCTCAGACCCACCTGTTACCACACGTGCACACACCTTCACACACCGAATCCCCAGCATCAGTTACTCTGGCCTTTGCCTCCTTTCTGGTGCCTGGTACATGAAAATGTAATAAATGTTGGGATGGAAAGATGAGTGAAATGGAATTATAAATTTCAGAAATCCACCTGAGATAAACATAGATGAAAAATTCCCATCTGGGAACAAGTATATTTTAAAAGATGATTTTCCCCCTGTCAATTAAAAATTGTGTGCATTTAAAATGCTTGTTGATAGAAAAATTGGAAAATAGAGAGGTACAAAGAAGGTAGGAAAGCATCACCTCTAAACCGTGACGCTCACTGTTGACTTTCACAGTCTGTGATTGTTTTCAATGAGGGGACACCATAGGGCTCACACCTTCCATTGGGGGTGAAGGCAAACTTCACCAAACTTCATCTCCAAGTCTGGCCCTGATCAGGTCAGCCCAGTGAGCATGGGCAGGCCCTGCCCTCTTCCCGCTCCCTGGGACTGTCCTCAGTCACACTGGAGGTCCTTGCTGGTGCATCTGTTCAAGACCCAAAGAAAGTCGAATGCCCAGTCCTTTCTAGCCCCTCTCAGGAAATCATCCCCAGCTCCCTGGAGTCTCTGCTTTCCCCAATCTTCCAGAGTAGATTTTGGGTTTCTGTTTGTAGCGTTCTGTACATATGATGCCCTTGAAAATGTCTAATGGGCCATTATTGAAAGTATCTTGGCGCACGGTTCATCTGACAAGCTCCCAGATCGTGGAGCGTGTCCTCATCATCAGAGCTGCCCACAGAGGAGAGTCACCCGGTCACATTCAGCTCACTGTGGTGAAGCACCCCACAGGGGCGAGGAGTTTACTTTTTAAATTTTTTTTTTTGTGTGTGTGTGTGTGTGTGTGTGTGTGTGTGTGTGTGTGTTTCACTCTGCCCTGTTCTGAAGTTTGCTTTTTATAACTAATGGTTATATATTTGGGGAGGAAGAGTTACAAAGGGACAGTTCCTATATGGTAATGAATGCAACCTTGTTGTCTGTGTAAAAATCCTGATTTTGGAGTATATTCACAGAATAGTAACTTTGAAGGATTTTCAAGTATGTGTTAATTGTTGGCTGAAATATAAAATGTTAAAGAACTTGGCATTTGGCTTCTTTCGTTACTGACACGATACCCTCTGCTGTTGCCCTTCTCCTCTCGCAGGCTGTGAGGCTGAGGCAGACACACTGGGTAGGTCCCACGTCTCCTTGTGGCATTTAGATCCAGTCTTACTGAAGGGCATGCTGAAGAGGAGATGGCCCTGACTCCTGGGGTATGGAGGGACACTGCTGCCAGCCCAGGCTGCGTGGCACATCCTGCCAGCTGCAGGTGCCTCCCAGGCATGGGGTAAAGCTTAGCAGTGTTCTGTCTATTCTGATACAAAGGAATGGTCTGCACATTTTGTTAGTTTTGTTTCTGTTGATTTTCTAATCGAAGGAAGGAAATGAGCCCGTAATGATCTACTCCTTAAAGCTTGAACACAGATAAAACGACATCCGATCCCATCTTAATGTGGCTTTGAAATACCCTTTCCTAATACTTCCTGAGCCCTCTTCAGATGCCTTTACATCATCAGAGCCTTTAGTTGCCATTTTTGCTTGTGGTTGCATTATGGCTTTTCAAGCAGCTGCTGTGGTTTTTGAATTGTTTCAGTATTTTTGTTATAAATTAATATCTGCATTTTGAAATGCAGATCCACTCACCCCCAAACTAATTTTTGATTTTTGCTTATCATATTGATAGTAATGAAAAAAAAGAAAAAGAAAATGAAGTGCCTTAGAAAGCGTCAGTGTGAATTGCTTTCACAAAATGACACTTTGATGTGGTTATAGACTTATTTTTATTCTTGTTTCATTTTAACTAGTGTATTTTGAAAATCTTGTCTGTTGATGGCATTTGGGATGGTAGTGTTTTCGCTGTTCGTGGGATTTTTCTTTGTATTCATATCTTAAGTGGCACGGTCTGTTTGGCCTGCAGAGCTGGAACTATGGGGAGGGCCGCGCTGAGCGTTGAGTGGAGACATGGAGCCTGCATCCCCACAGAGCACTGGCCCAGAGCAGGTGTCTTGACGTACATAGAAATGTGTCTGTATTTCGTTTTGCTTTTAAGGTTTATTTGCGTTTTGGGTTTTTTGTGTTTTTATGAACGTGTTTGTTAAGAATGGGCCTTGGAGCATTTTGGAGTTGGACACTGATGGAGAGCCCTGTGGCCAGGCCAGCTGCTCTGCCAGCACCTCTGTTACTTCCCCTGCCTTCCCTCCGCCTCCTCGCTGAGCACCTGCCCTGCCCATCTCTCAGTGTACCCCTGCCCTGGAGGGGCTGCGACTGGGACTGGGGCTCTCCTCCACTGCTTCCCACCAGAGCCTTCCTGCCTCTGCCTGTCTCTGTTCCCCAGCACCTCCCTTCTGGCCCAGGGAGCAGGTCTCTTCCCTGTCCCTCTCTCCTGGAGCTCACCTTCCTCCACCAGGCACCTGCCCTGCACCCTCCTCCCCTACGGTGTCCCTTTGCTCTCAGCACCTTCTCTGCCCCCACCCTGCTTCCCTGTGCTCTCTCCTAAGGACCACCCCCTCCCTGTGCACTCCATCCCTCTAGGGCTCAGCTTCCTCAAGTCTCAGAGGCCTGTCCTCTGAGGCTCTGGCCTCCTGTGGCAGCTCCTTCCTCTTCTGCCTGCTCTCCTCATGGCACTTCTGGGTTGTTTGCTTGGATATTCCTTCTGCTTTCCTTGTTTTTGTCCTGTGCCCTGTATGGAGGTTTTTTTTTTTTTTTTTTTTTTTTTGAGACGGAGTCTCGCTCTGTCGCCCAGGCTGGAGTGCAGTGGTGCGATCTCGGCTCACTGCAAACCTCTGCCTCCCGAGTTCACACCATTCTCCTGCCTCACCACCTGAGTAGCTGGGACTACAGGCACCCGCCACCATGCCCAGCTAATTTTTTTGTATTTTTAGTAGAGACAGGGTTTCACCATATTGGCCAGGATGGTCTCGATCTCCTGACCTCGTGATCCGCCCGCCTTGGCCTCCCAAAGTACTGGGATTACAGGTGTGAGCCACTGCGCCGGGCCTGTACGGAGGTTTTTTTCAGAGTTTCACACACTCTTCCTCCGCTGCACCTGCTTCCTTGGAGATATTTATTTATTTATTTCAGAGACAGGGTCTCACTGTGTCACCCAGGCTGGAGTACAGTGGTGTAATCATAACTCACTGCAGCCTTGACCTGGGCTCAAGTGATCCTCCTTGGAGATCTTAGGATGTTACTATTCGCAGCCAATTTCTGTGACATTCGTGGTTATATTTATTAGCTGCAGACCTTTCTAGCTGCATACTGGGCAAAACCCAGGGGTCTTTACACACCCCCGCTTTCCATCTTGCCCTCCACCCAGCCACATTCTGCCACGCTGCCCATGGTCAAGTTTAAGACCTATTTGTCCATGGCATGGACAGTTGTCATAGCCTCCTAACTGGTTCCTCATCACCCCCACCCCACCTTGCATTCTGCACCTACTGCTGGGGGATTTCATGTTATTCTGCCACTTCCCTTTCTAGAAACTGTCTGTGCCTCCACTGTCTGCAGCAGCATCCCCAGTAGAAATACAGTGCCAGCCACGTGTGCAAGTTTAAATTTTCTAATTACCACATTAAAATAGTAAAAACCAGGTGAAATTAATTTTAAGAAAATACTGTATTTTATATAT
Organism: Homo sapiens; assembly: GCF_000001405.40. Taxonomy (NCBI): domain Eukaryota; kingdom Metazoa; phylum Chordata; class Mammalia; order Primates; family Hominidae; genus Homo; species Homo sapiens. The sequence continues at coordinate 102,203,310 of NC_000014.9, forward strand.
ATATCTCCAAAATATTATTTCAGCATATAACCAGTGTAAAAACTATAAATGAGATCATTGACATTTTTTTTCATACCACATTTTTAGAACCCTGTGTGTGTTTACACTGACAGCACATTCCACTTGAGACCAGTGCTGCGGGACTGGGGAGTGCAAGCGTCAGGGTCCCAGCCGAAGCCCTTTAGCTTGGGACTTCACAGCCACAGCCTGAGTCCCAGCTCACAACTCCAGACCAAATTCCCCTCCCAGCTCATGTGCTGCGATCAAGACAGATGCCACACATGGCCTGGATCCCCACCCCCCTGGCCTGCTGTGTTGGCTGGGCTTTTCCTTGGAGCATGGCCCCTGGTGCTTCTGCCACTCCTGCCTCCCTGCCCACCCCCGAAACCCCATCCCTCAGAGGGACCGGGTATTTTTCAACATCCTCATCCAGATCAAGGCCCCATTGACATTGGAGAGAATTCAAGCCCAACAGGGAATTCCATTACTTATCATTGAGCACTGACTAAGATTTTTTTTTTTAACTAGACTTTTTCTGAAACAAAAATATACCTTATAGTGCAGAAACTGGACTGCATAATTTTTATTCTTGTATTTATTTAATTAAATGTTCTAGGTATTTCTTTCTTAATTTGAAAGACAGGAGAAAAATGTGTTCTGTTCTCTTCCTCTTTTGTCAAACCCAATCCAAATAAGCCAGAGTCATGTAAGTTAAATGACTGTGCTTCCCACACTGGCCTGGGGTCTGAGACAGGCTGGTGCCCTGTTCCTTAGAACGCTTGGGAGTGGCCCTGCAGGCTGGTCGTCGGAGCCAGGTGATGTGTGTCTGTGGAACGGGAGACAGCATGCTCGCTTTGGGGTCTGATGGGCCCGTCTGTTCCCCTGGCACTGGTTCGGCTGTGTCTCTCCGCCTCGGAGTCCTTGAAGTTGTTCTCTGTGGGGGTACACTTCCCCAAACATCCTCTTAGCCTGATATTTGCTGTCTTTCTGTCCTTCTGTCTTGCTCAGCTGTCCAGCACCAGCAGAGGAAGAGGCCTTTCTTGGCCATCCTATTCAACATTGAAATCACTAGAGTCCCCTTCTCCCCAGCACGTTCTCTTCTCTCCCTGGTTTATTTTTCTCCACAGCACTTATCATCATCAGATCACATAAATTTCACTGTCTTCTCATCCCACTTGAACCTAAATTTCATGAGGGAAAGATGCCTGTTTTAATTTATATTGTATCAGTGCCTGGCATATGGTACGCACTCAATACTGGATGGATGGATGGGACTTCAGGCAAGTTTCTTGACCTCTCTAAGCTTCTTTTCTCACTGATAATATGGCGACAATCCCTGCCTTCCTGTAGGGAGACAGGCATGACTGCATTTTCCATTTTCCATGCGAGGCAATTTGGTAACATCTGTAAAAATCATAAATGTATATATCTTTTGGCTCAGTTACTCCACTGGGAGTTTATCCTGTAGGTACATTACTCACACATGTGAAAAGTGCGTGTGTGCAAGGGCATTCATTGCTACATAGATGTCCATCAGTGGGGCACTTCCACAATAAACCACAGTTTATCCAAACAGTTGAATACTCTGCAGCTTTAGAAAAGAATGAGGATGCTGTCTTTGTGCCCATACAGACTGATGTACAAATACACTTGGAGGCTGGGCATGGTGGCTCACGCCTTTAATCCCAGCACTTCGAGAGGCCAAGGCAGGAGGATTGCTTTGCTCCTGAAGCCAGGAGTTTGAGACCAGCCTGGACAACATAGCGACACCCTGTATTTACAAAAAATATAAATTTTTAATCAGCTGGGTGTGGCGACACTCACCTGAAGCACCAGCTATACTCAGGAGGCTGAGGTGGGAGGATTGCTTCGGCCTGGGAGGTCAAGGCTGCAGTGAGCCGTGATTGCACCACTGCACTCCAACCTGAGTGATGGAGCGAGACCCTGTCTCAAAAAAAAAAAAAAGATATGGAATGAGAAAGCAGAGGTGAGACAGTGCATAGTATGCTCCCTTTGGTATGAAAAAGAAGAGTGGATAAATGCGTATTCATATTTGCCTTGTACATGCACAAAGACACTCTGGAGAGAGAAATGAGAAACTAGTACAGTGACTCAGGACAGAGGATCCGGAATGGAGTAGAAGAATGTAAGGCTTTCTACTGTATACTTTTATGTGAATTAATAATGTATTACCCATTCACACAAAAAGCGTATCTTGAAAGGTAATTTTGAGGCTTAGAGAGCATGGGTGTAAGCCTCTACCAGTGGCCAGCACCCACAGTAGACACTCTGATTGGAAGTGAGGGCCAGCACGCTGCTGTTGCTGCCCACAGACACTGCTGCCTGCCTGCCACTCACCCTGATATTGCTGAGACACAGGGCGCCCCCAGAGAAGCACGTGTTTTCCCTGCTGTCAAGCACATGATTGACAGAGAAAAACAATGGGTAAGGCAAGTGAGAAACCCTTACCACAATACAGGTGGATCCAAGGTCGGTTTTTTTTTTTTTTGGTCTGCGGTTGCTTAAACTGGTGTGCTCAGTCCACCATTGCCAGTGTGTCACAGTAACATTTAATTAGGCCCCCACAGGGGGATTGAAGTAGATTGGCACAGGATGTTATCTGTAAGTTACATCCATGTGTCTACTTAGGGTCGTCTCAGTGCACTGTTTTTTTTTGTTGTTGTTTCTTTTGAGATGGAGTCTGACTTTGTCGCCCAGGCTGGAATGCAATGACGTGATCTTGGCTCACTGCACACAGCCACCGCCTCCTGGGTTCAAGTGATTCTCCTGCCTCAGCCTCCAGAGCAGCTGGGATTACAGGTTCGCACTACCATGCCCAGCTAATTTTTGTATTTTTAGTAGAGACAGGGTTTCACCATGTTGGCCAGGCTGGTCTCGAACTCCTGACCTAAAGTGATCCACCCTCCTCGGCCTCCCAAAGTGCTGGGATTACAGGCGTGAGCCGCCGCGCCTGGCCACAGTGCAGCTTCTTAATACGGGAGTGAAGGTTTTTAATGTGTTTTGTCATTGCAGTAACATTTATTTTTAATGGTGCTATAAATGCTGTTCATACCTCACTATTGCAAAGCAATACTGTTTTTACTTGATCATACTAGTTTTTGAGTTCTCATGCAGTTTTTTGTTGTGTTTTTTAAGGCCCAAAATAAAATTTACTCCTAACCGTGCTGCTAGAAGTTTTTATGTCCTGAAATTTCTCCACACATGGTAAATAGAGTAACAATGAAGTGATCCTAGAAAAACTGGGATTTGATTTGGTTCTGGTGAAATGTAAGGTGCAGGAATTGGGAGCCACTGTACCAAAATCAGGACAGCAGTCTGGCTTCCCAGGCCTGAGTTAGCTGGTGTAGGCCTGCCTGACAAGGCCAGTGATGGAGCGAGCTGCAGACACCCTTAGGCCCTGGGCGATCAGGTACAGTTGTGTTTGTGGGATCAAGAGTGCTGGGGTAGTCTGGGCCCAGTGGGCACAGCAAGGTCTGGCAGAGCTGTGATGGGGGAGTGGAGGCCTCTTAATCCACCGTTCACCATCCCATCATCCTTGCACCTCCCTCCACCATCAAAAAAAAGCCCTGCTCTGGCCATGTAAATTATCTCTGTAACCCCTTGCTGAGAAAATTGCACGAAGGTCTAATGGAAATCCTGCCAGAGCAGCGCTGGGTTTTAGGTTGTTGGCATTAGTGCAGGTCAGGTGCTGTTTATAGGTAGGTCACCAGGCAGGAGGATAAAGAGGAGGTGGGGGATGAAAATACTGGCTGTGTCCCCAAGGCTGGCTTGCCACGTGCCTATTAATTTAAGAGGACCAGCCATGCCGTTTTACGGCAGTAAGCAGTGACACCTGCTGCTGAGTAACTGCCCAATGCATGGTCCCCAGCCCTGGGCCCGCATGCTGTGTGGCGTTCAGGCCTCCGTTCTTCCTGCCTGGGGTCCTTTGTTAGCAGCCTACTTTCTAGGGTCTAATGTTCATGCAGTGAGCTTGCATGGCTCATTAATTTCTTTCCCAGCCGTTCTTTTAAAAATCAAGTCGTCTTATTTCTGTAATTCTCTGTAAAGATGTAGCACACATGGCGGGCACATGGCCTCAAAGCCACCCTGGCAGAAGTCGGCATGTTTCTTGGCAGATTCTGCCCCTGTGTGCCCAGTACCCCTCTGAGACTTGAGTCAGGGACTCCCCACCTGTTAGGTGAAGCGGTGGTGTTCAACTTACCTGGGGCTGCTGGGCTCCTAAAGGGACACTGTTACTGGGGCGATGGTGCAGTGGAGAGCACTTGGCAGTAGGAGCTTCTAGGTAGAACTTGGGAGTCTTGGGACTTCTGGATGTGTTCTGGTGATGCGATTTTGCGCTCAGACGGTCCAGAAAGGGACCGCCCCTGTGGAAGGTGTTGCGCTGGCATCCCCATCACAGGATTGATTGGCAAGCAGGGAAAGAGACTTGTGCCTTTGGTGGGGCAGGTATTTTTGCCCTTCGTTATTTGGGTTTTAAAGGCAAGACTACTGACATACGCCTGTTAAAGAAACATCTCGGTCAGGGGTCCAAAGTTAGCATATGGAGCAGAGTGATGGTAATGAGACACACACTCCCGAATGAATCGTCAGTGTATCTCTCTCAACACCAGCAGAGAGGGTTTCGAGGAGATGCTTATGGAGATGCACGTGGGGCGGTGCATGGGAGTGAGGCGGCCTCAGTGGGCCCAGGCTCTGTTTTGGAGTTGTGTGTGCTGCCAGCCATGGACTGTGGATTTCACTCCCCACCTTCGAGCCGCCAGAGCAGAGGGGCAGATGGAACCAGCCCATTACCTACAGTGACAGTAAAGGCAGAGGAACCCGTGAGGGTGAGGCAGAGCCCTCCTGGCTGTGAGGACTCACAGGCTTCACCTGCAGGTCCTCGTAGAGGGGATACCACATGCAGATGCAGTGACCCCCAGATTCAGATGCACCTACTGTCAAGGAAGAAAGATCCCAGCAGGGCTGTTCCCTCCGCAGTGAACCCTGTGCCTGGCATCGTGTCTGGCACTTAGTGGCCCCTCTGCAAATATCTGTTGGCTGCCTGACTCCCTCCGTGAAAGCCAGCAGCCTAACACCGATTTTAGAAAGTAATTCTAAATTACCCCAAAAGGGCCAAAACGCTCCTTGCTGGCTTGGCTGACTGCAGGATAAAATGTGGAGGGCCTGGATAGACTTGCCCCTTCCCATCGAGAAGCACACAAGTTTTCTTGCTGGAAAAGTAGACCTTTGAGACTTCTCCGTTGTGCTAACTTGTTCTCCTTTGTCTTCACAGAGACTAATAGACAAGTCACGAGTTACCTGTGTCAAATGGGTTCCCGGTTCGGAAAGCCTTTTCCTAGTAGCCCACTCGAGTGGGAACATGTACTTATATAATGTGGAGCACACTTGTGGCACCACAGCCCCCCACTACCAGCTTCTGAAGCAGGGAGAGAGCTTTGCCGTGCACACTTGCAAGAGCAAATCCACGAGGAACCCTCTCCTTAAGTGGACGGTGGGCGAGGGGGCCCTCAACGAGTTTGCTTTCTCCCCAGATGGCAAGTTCTTAGCGTGCGTGAGCCAGGACGGGTTTCTGCGGGTGTTCAACTTTGACTCAGTGGAGCTGCACGGTACGATGAAAAGCTACTTTGGGGGCTTGCTGTGTGTGTGCTGGAGCCCGGATGGCAAGTACATCGTGACAGGTGGGGAGGACGACTTGGTGACAGTCTGGTCCTTTGTAGACTGCCGAGTAATAGCCAGAGGCCACGGGCACAAGTCCTGGGTCAGTGTTGTAGCGTTTGACCCTTATACCACTAGTGTAGAAGAAGGTGACCCTATGGAGTTTAGTGGCAGCGATGAGGACTTCCAAGACCTTCTTCATTTTGGCAGAGATCGAGCAAATAGTACACAGTCCAGGCTCTCCAAACGGAACTCTACAGACAGCCGCCCCGTAAGTGTCACGTATCGGTTTGGTTCCGTGGGCCAGGACACACAGCTCTGTTTATGGGACCTTACAGAAGATATCCTTTTCCCTCACCAACCCCTCTCAAGAGCAAGGACACACACAAATGTCATGAATGCCACGAGTCCTCCTGCTGGAAGCAATGGGAACAGTGTTACAACACCCGGGAACTCTGTGCCGCCTCCTCTGCCACGGTCCAACAGCCTTCCACATTCAGCAGTCTCAAATGCTGGCAGCAAAAGCAGTGTCATGGACGGGGCCATTGCTTCTGGGGTCAGCAAATTTGCAACACTTTCACTACATGACCGGAAGGAGAGGCACCACGAGAAAGATCACAAGCGAAATCATAGCATGGGACACATTTCTAGCAAGAGCAGTGACAAACTGAATCTAGTTACCAAAACCAAAACGGACCCTGCTAAAACTCTGGGAACGCCCCTGTGTCCTCGAATGGAAGATGTTCCCTTGTTAGAGCCGCTGATATGTAAAAAGATAGCACATGAGAGACTGACTGTACTAATATTTCTTGAAGACTGTATAGTCACTGCTTGTCAGGAGGGATTTATTTGCACATGGGGAAGGCCTGGTAAAGTGGTAAGTTTTAATCCTTAATGCTGCACCAGATCTAGAACTTGAATAGGTAGTGACTTTTTTCTTTTTCGTGGGAGGGGTGGGGTGTACAATGAATGTGAATGACACTTCTTATTCTTAATGTAAATCTCAATGCATCAGAGCCATAATTTTGGATACTGCATGCCATGTAATTCTGAATCATTTGATAATTTACCTTAGAGCATTTAAAAAAATATAATCAAACTAATTGCCAGCCAAGTCAGTCATCCTCCTGGGAGTATATAGAGTCCCAAGGTTAGCGCTCCTGTATTAGACTATTTCAATTTTAGGAAAATCATGACCATGTGGGGAAACAATGACTTTAAAATGCTGAAATTAAAATTTATGCTTTAACTGGAATATTTTTTGCTTAACTACTCAATTAGAATATTGTACACCTGATCAATGTGTGTTCAGCACAGATGGCCATGAATTGTCATTTATAGTCCAATTTTTTATCTTAATCATAAAATGTTTAGGAATCTATGAAATTTAACTTTAGGAACAAAACGTTTAGCAGGGTTGATTGATATTATTTTTACATTGTTCTGGCAATCCACAGAAAGAGAAGAGCCTTAATTTTTAAAACCCATTTTAGTCATTTTATGACAATTAAAGTTGTTTAATAAACATCTTTTTTCAAAGAAGCAGTTTGTAGCACTTTGATTGAGGTTCTGTGTACTAAGATACCCGTACCTCACTCAGAGCCTGACAGTTCGTGGGAACTGCGGGCCGAGGACGCCAACAGCATTGCAGAAGTGCCTCTTGCCACATAAGCGAAGACCTTTTCTTCAGATGCACTTTGCTTGTGTGTTTTCCCAACAAGGGAAAAGGAGTTTTTTGGTTTTTTGCCGGGGGCGGGGAGGTGCGGTGGGGGAGGGGGATTGGGTCAGAAAGGCACGTGACTCCTCCGCGCTTTGTTTCGTAAAGCCTGAGACTCCCCGAGTCTTCCGACTTCTCCCTGACATGGCCCTCGTTTGGGCTTCGTCCCCCGCAGAGGAAGCGGAAGTGCAGGTTTCCCCTCTCCTTGTTCTTGGATGGCAGCTGTGGTTCCGGGATTACTCTTGGGATGCTGACGCTGGCCATGTGCGTAGGCTTCGTCCTCAGTGGCTCCCACCCTAGCGCCTCAGCCCAGGACCTGGTGGCCTGTGGCTTCCTCGGCAGTGGGAGGCTCTGCTGCTCCCCCGGAGACCGCAGTCTTTCACCCTCACTCTCTACTGCTGCACCAGGAGCTGCTTTTCAAATTCTGGTTTTCCCAGTGGGTGAGATGGCCCCTTGAACTATGTATTCCATGTCAAGATGGTGGTTATCTTACTTGTTAACTCATTTTGGGCATTTAGGTTGTACACCTTTGTAATTAAATATAGAGACAACGATCACTTAGACCAGTTTGCGTAGTGAATATGATTCAGCAAAGTGAAGACCTGGTGGCTTTTCTTTCTCTGCAGTGTAAAGACCCTGGTAGCTGAAGCAGCAGCTCCCTGTGCTCTTAACGCAGCCCTCCCAGGAAAGCCGGGCCAGGTTCCCAGGCCTGCTTCCCATCTGCAAACATGTCACGGTGGCGCCATCCACCCTGTGCCCATCGTGGGCCTTAACGCAGTGGTTTCTGTTGAGTGTGATGGCATGGCCGCGTGCTGCCACCTGGGAACCACAGCAGCCTTCAGGTGCATCTCTCCTGGCTGTGCCTTTCACATCCCTGAGCACTGCTCCTAGGAGTATTCGTGTCCTCTCTACCTGTGGAATACGGGCCTTTGTTCCTAAAGGTGAACTGATCTAAGGTAGCCATGACAGCCATCCTTGTGGACAGTTTCCGCTTTGGAGGCCAAATTGGGTCATGTGGAGAGATTAGTGATGAACGCTCCATGTGCAACTTTTGCACCTACATAGTTGTAAACGTTCAGTTTCAAATGCTTCTGAGGCATTGAGTATGCAGTTTCAAAATTCAGGACTTAGTATTTGGCCTAAATAGAGAGTGGCCGATCCCAAGTAAGTAGCATTTATGGTGACATTTCTGGCGACCTTGCAGTTCTGAAGGTGTTGCCCTGGACAGGGAAGCCGTGGGGGTGTGTGCCCGAGTAACCAACGTGACCGACTGGGGACTCTCTGATTTCTCCCCCTTCTTTAAAATTCTCAGTCGCAGTGGCTGGGATGAAAGAGGGATTGCAGGGGTACACTGACAGGTGACTTAGGAGTCATTTGCTGATAGGAACCAGGGGTGGGAGAGGCAAGAGGAGGAGGTTATGTTTCCTTTGAAAACAACTCCGAAGTGTGCTGTCTAGTATGGAGGCCTGTGTGTGTCTTTCTCCCCCCACCTCCAGTTTTAAACACTATGATATTGTCAGTTTTGGATTTGAGGCTTGATAACAATCTTTTTCTTCCAGTTTTTGCCAAGGAGTGTACTGTCCTTAATGTCTGTCTGGTACCTTGTCTGGGGCCCCTTCGTTGTGTCTACGTGCCCTCCCCAAGGCCCCTCTTGCTGGGTTCAGGGCCCAGTGGAGAGCACTGTGCCAGCCTGGGGAGGGGCTGCCTTTGACTGCATGTCCTGACCCCTGGCTCAGCCCAGGCTGGCCCAGGCCCTGCAGGGCGACACCACTCTGTGTCCACTCTGCCCCTCTGACTGCTGCCCCTTTCTTTGACAGCCGGCAGAGCACTTCTGCAGGCAGGAGGACAGGATGCAAGGTGTTCTCCAAGACCAGAACTAAAAGTGCCCAACAGCTTGAGAAGAGGGCACTGGAGAGAGGGGCAGGGAAGCGCCCTTCTCCTCGGCTGTGCTTCTGAGTAATGGCTCCCGCAGACCTGGGGAGGGCCTGGGGAGGGGTGGCCGCGGTGGTTCCTGATATCAGGTGTGTAAGGTGCAATGCGTGCTGCTAACCCTAGGAGAAATTTGGGGAAAATATTTGTAGTTTTCTCGCCAAACTTTGAGCTTCCTCATTGAAATTTTTCAGTCTTTCAGCCTAAACGTTATTATGAGCAAGAATATCTTTTCTAACCTAATCTGTGGAATAAAACACAGCATTTGGCAAGAAGAGGCTGTTAAATACTCAGTCAGCATCACTGTTCCAGCGTGTACCAAACCACAGAGATGAAAGGCTCAGACGAAAGTCAGGTGCACGCTGCGTGGCTGGAGAATCCCGCTCCCACCCGGCAAGGGGGCGAGCTGGTCCCTGGGCGGTGTCAGACACCTTCTGAAGGTGCCAGGCCAGGGCCAGGGGAGCTTCAACTCGCCCTCCTTGGGTTGGCCTTTTTCACCAGAATTCAAGAAGCCAGATTTGTGCTGTGACTGCGATGGGGCAGGCTTCTAAACACTACTGGTGGCCCTGGAGCCTTTCTCTGAGGCTTTTTTCTTATTCAGAAGGAGAATTAAAAATTCCCCCAGCGGCCTGGAGAAGGGAACCTTTGGAAAAGCTTGCCTTCTTTTAAAAGCAAATGCATGTGCAGGAGTAGACACTTTACAAATAACCAGTAGCCTTGGGGTCGAAATTTGCTTAAATCATGGTAAAGGATCTCATTTCTCTTTTGTGCTGATTGAACCTTCTAGCAGTTTGGAAGTGTTTTCCTGTGAACCCTTAGCTGGGGACTGAGGGTAAATGCCTTAAAAATGGAGGCATGGAAAATCAGAAAGGAGCTATCACAATCATTCTTTTCTCAAAGGCGTTCAGGAATTCTGAGGAAGAAATGCAGTGACAGGATGGGATTTTAGGGGCAAGGACACCGTCCGGGCGGGGCCCAGGGCTCTCCACTGGCTGACTTCACCCCCAGGGCCCAGCTGGCACGTGGCCAGGCAGCCATTTCTCCCCAGTTCCTCCACTTCCTGGGGTTCATTTTAAATAATAAATTGTAAAGTATGAAATGAGTGCTGAAGTTGCCTGCATACAAGGTCCTCATCACCTCTCGCCTGGGAGGGAGACGTTTTCTTTCTTTGTTGAGCGAGCTCAAAGTGTGAGGCGGAGAAAACCTAGGGGTTGGGGGCGGCTGGAGAAGGGATCCACGGAAACCCAAGCGCCACATCATGCGTGTCTGACTGCCCACGGAAGAACTAGAAGCAGTTCACCAGTGGATTTTCTGGGGAACGATTCATGGAACACAGCGTCTGGCGTCCAGCTTTGTGGGTGAGGGCATGGCGGGGGATCCGGTGGCCCTGCCCTGCCTCCGGTGCCGGTGGATGGGGGAGGGACTGGCCTCTGACTGCGGGGTTGCACCATGGCGGCGGTCGGTGTGCCCTTGGCTGAGGTTTCGTTCCTTAGCAGTGAGAACCTCCACATGCGTGGGTAGGGGTCGGGTGACCTGGAGACGCCTCCTCCGGTCTGGTCTGGGTGACAAAGGTGAAGGTTTATAGTCTACCACCCTGGCAGCAGCCTGCAGGGCCCCCCCTTGTCTGGAGCACACCCTTCGCCACGGGCTGATTGGGACTGTCGGGTGTTGCTTTAAGTTAACAAGGTGCACATCACAGCGACCCCAAGTGATGTCCCAAAGGGAGGAGACATTAGTCTGGCCGAAGTGAAGTCTGTGGCTTTATATGTAAAAGCACTCGTATGCAACTGTTACCTTTGAAACTCAGATCCTAGTTACGAACTATAAGAACGTGCCCCTCCAGTAGAGGGAGACTGTCTCACTGATGTTGATTTCTTTATTCATTTCCGCATCTGTTACACGAACTTCGTGTCATAAATTGCTATCCTTTCATTTGAAAGTGTAAAAAATTTCCTGCATTTTTATCATTTCTGTATACTTGAGTTTATTAGAGATTGTTATGTTAGGCGACACTGTATAAAATTGTATGGATATTTTGAGTGAAAATCAAAAGTAAAATTCACATGTATTTCCTTTTTTATATTTTCATCCAATTTCTTGACAACTTGAATAAATTTCATAAAGAGCCTTCCTAACATGAAATATTGGTAAATTAAATTCTTTACTGTTGCAATAATTAATGAAACTTTAGTATCAGTATTGTTTTATAATTTTAAGGAAATCATGTTTGTTTCACTGCTTTGTTTTTTTTTTTAGCTGTTGCCTTGTCACTGTCACAGCTAACAAGACTTACTACATACTTGATATTCTGAAGTACTGTGGGGCTGTCCTCTGTATACTGACATTAAATAAACGTGTGTGAGTGAACTGTAAATGTAGATAATTTTCAGTAGTCATTTTCACATCTAAGCTTTAAAAATCCCAGTGAACCAAAACCAGAAAAGTTTTTAAATGCTGTAAAATTAAGGACCTTGTTAATGTTTATAGAACAGCCAGCCACCGGAATTGCTCCCTCTTACTAAAGCTGACTGTTTCTCATAGTTGGCAGCGTACTCGATGAAATGTTCTGCGTCTCAGATACTGTTTTATGTGGTCCTCCTCTGTGCCAACTCCAGTCCGGGAGAAGGACTGTTGATTGGCGTTTCGGCTGAGCTGTGTAGAGGCTTCTGTTTAATGAGAATGCAGACATTCTGAAGTCGTCCTGGGCCACGAGCTGGCTTTTGTTACATGGACTCACTATCCCGGATGCTGGACATCCGACATTCTGTCCAGCCACCCAGCCAGCAGCTGGGAGAGTGGAGAAGGTAGCGGCTGGTAGGCTGCTTGCTTTTTTTTATTTTGCTGTAAGTTCTGGGATATATGTGCTGAACGTGCAGGTTTGTTACATAGGGATGCATGTGCCACGGTGGTTTGTTGCGCCCATCAACCCGTCATCTATGTTTTAAGCCCCGCATGCATTAGGTATTTTTCCTTATGCTCTCCCTCCCCTTGCCCCCAGGTAGGCTGCTTTCAGTAGGAGCTCTTTTCCTGGCTAGAGTTCATTGTCTGCCTACTCCTCATCTTGAATAGTGTTTGCTTAAGGCTTTGTGCTGGCGTGAGGTTGTCCTGCTGTAGACACCAGGCCCGTCGTCGGTGCAGAGCGCTTCCTACACAGGGCAGTGGGGGACGTTCCATTTGGGATGAGAAGAACTCATGATTTACATTGTCTTACTATGAAATACCATCCCTCACTCTTGACAGACGACGTAGCTGATCTGAGCAGCGCCCTGGCACCCGCAGGCCTACCCCCCTGCCTGAGGTGTGATGAGTGAGGGCGAGCTGGCCTCAGACACAGCCCTTCCTCAGGCCCTTGTGCTCCCATTTAATTGTCACTTCCCTGCTGTGTCATGAGACATCCAGGTCCCACTCAGCCGCCTCTGCATGTTGGCAGCCGGCTGAGCCCTGTGCTCTGCCTCCAGCACGTTCATCGGGTGGGGAACTCCCAGAAGCTTCCCACGGTGCTGTCTCTGGAGTGCGGGGTCAGCAGAGCCTCCAGTGCTGAACTATCTGCACTTTTTGTCTTGAGTCTGGGCTGTCAAAGCGGAGGGAACATTCAGACCTACAGCTCTCAAAAGCGGCCTCCTGGGGCCTACGACTGCCACAAGAGTGCACAGGGCTCTGTTCTTAGCACTGAACAGGGCGTTTTGGTTTGTGTTTTTTGAGACAGGGTCTCGCTCTGTTGCCCGAACATGGCTCACTGAAGCCTTGACCTCCTGGGCTCAGTGATCCTCCCATCTAGGCCTCTTGAGTAACTGGGACCATAGGCACACACCACCAAACTCAGCTAATTTTTGTGTATTTTTATTTCTGTAGGTACAGGGTCTTGCCATGTTGCCCAGGCTAGCACTGAGTAGATTTTAAGCCCTAAAGACTATTAAGTTGACAGCAAGTTTTGTTTTTTTAAGAAAACCATGACATTTTGGTCTTTTAAAAATAGCTAGTTTGTACCTTCAAAAAAATAAAAATAGCTAGTTCTCAGCTGGGCATGGTGGCTCATGCCTGTAATCCCAGCACTTTGGGAGGCCGAGGCGGGTGGATCACCTGAGCCCAGGAGTTTGAGACCAGCCCAGCCATCATGGCAAACCCCCATCTGTACTAAAAATACAAAAATTAGCCGGGCGTGGTGGCGGGCGCCTGTAGTCCCAGCTACTCGGAAGGCTGAGGCACCATGAAAATCACTTGAACCCAGGAGGTGGAGGTTGCAATGAGTCGAGATGGCGCCACTGCACTCCAGCCTGGGCGACAGAGCGAGACTCTGTCTTAAAGAAAAAAAATAGCCATTTCTCCATGTGTGGCTGCCTGTCAGAATTAATGGATTCTGAACCCAGGGGTCTCTGGAGACGAATGGACCATCTAGAGGCTCTCAGCTCCCTACCACCCCTTCCAGGGTCAGTGGCCTCCAAAACCAGCCTCCCCTTTTAGGTGGGGGGCAGCATAAGCAAAATCCTCTTTGAAGTTACTCAAGCTAGAAAGGCTTTATGGAGACTAAGTGGGGTCCCTTCTTCCTGCCCCACACAGTAGAGAGGATTGCAGGGCCAAGTGGGTCCCAGGAGCGGGAGGGCCTCCAGTGACAGCCCGGGCCGGTGCTGGTCTCCATCAGTGAACGGGATCACGATGAAGGCCCACTGACTTGCACACGTTCTCTCTGATGCTTTTCTTCCACCTTCAGATCGCAGCGGAGCCCTTAGATGGTCGTGCCCTTCATCTGCGTGGTCTTTCCCCGGAAGTCTGAAGAGTACAATCCTTTTCTCTGGGTGGCTTTTCTCATTAGATGCCAGGTTGAGTGGCATCTGGGCAAGTGTGGCCCCTCACTGTCACCTGTCAGTGGACAGGTTAAAGCTGGCAGAGGTACGTGGTCCACTGCCCAGCTATAACTGAGGTCCCAAGCCAAACTGCACGGCAAGTCTGGGGCAGAGATGGGTCCCGACGTCCCTGGGCTGGGCCCAGGGTTCCCGGCTCTGTGGCTCACGTGCCGCTTGTGTGATGTAGAGACTGGCTTCGGGTGCCGTGAATAAACCATGGCTGCTTTCTCCAGGTTTGCTTTGGTTCCTTTCTGTTGTGGTCTGTGTAGTGAGAATGGTGGGAGTCTTGCACGTGAGCAGTTAAGGAGTGTGTTCAGAGCTGGAAGTCTTGGTTCTGAGAGCAGGCTAGCCTGGTCATAGTTCTCATCGTTTCCGCACCGTCTCTAAAAAGGTGTCGCTTTGCAAATAACATTTAACTCGTGTTCTCCCCAGGGTGAGATTCTGCCAGGAGCACCTGCCACAGAGGCCAGCATTGGAGCCTCAGGGGCTACGTGCAGGGCCAAGGCTGGCCTTCTCCCTCTGGGGGACGCCAGTGGAGGTGACCTCCACAGCACGCCGGCCAGCTGGCACCAAGCTCCCGGATGTTGTGGCTGTGTAGAACCAGATTCTGTCTTGTGGTACTTTGTCCACGATCTCAGGAGAGAAGCGCTAGTCTGCCCGCCCGCGTGCCTGCCATGAAACGGGTCCCAGGGCCTGTGTGCGTCTTACTTTTGTTTGGGTTGGAAAGGGTGACCTTGGGGGTTGAATGACCAGAGAGGGTATTGAACAGTCCCAGGTGGATGAGGGATGAGCTGGCGCCCAGCCCACACTCTCATCCACATCCCACAGCTGTCTCCTTGAGGTTCTGTCTTCTCTGACACTCACAGGCCAGGGGTCGTGGGGGTCAGAAGGGGAAGCCCTCCCAGAACCCAGAGCTAGGAGACCGTCCAGGCCTGACAGAGCTTCAGGACATGTCCTTTCTCTGACGTGGCCTGTGGCCCTCACAGTCCTATCTGGCTGTCAGAATCTCCAGTCCGAGCAGCACCTGCAGGGGCAGGAACATGGCCTTGCTGCTTTATTGTAAATTGTTTTGAACCAAAATATTTTTCATATATATTCTGGTGCAACAAGGTGTAATTCTCTTAACTTAGTATTATAAATTAGAATCAAACCCAAACCAAGAGCTGGAGTATTTTTTTATCACTTAATTTTGAACTGAAGTCTCTAGCGGGAATAAAACAGTGACTCTGCGGGGAGCCAAGCAGCTGACTAATATTAGAGCCAAGGCTTGCCCCGTTCCTCTCACGGTGTGGGGGCTGATGGGACGCCGTGCAGATTCTGCCTGGGGAGCTCCTTTGCCTGATGGCAACTGGTAAAGCCTGGAATTGCCAGCTGTCCTGCTTCTGGTGCACAGCCCAGCAGCTCCCGCACGCTGCTGAGCACAGGTGAAGCGTGGGCGGGCTCCCCTTGCCAGGTCCTCCGTCGGCCGGGCCGGGCCTTGCCCCTTTTCTCCCATGAAAAGGAAGCAGAAGGACAGGGTAAAACCCCACTCCCTCCCTGAAGAGCAGGCGGATTGGGGCAGCAGGGTCCCTGTCACCGGGAGTTTGACACGGATGACCATTTGGGCAGTGGATCCCCCACGCTGTGCTCTCGAGGGAAGCTGCAGCCGGGATCCTTCCATGGGGGCCTAGGTGTCTGTTTCTCGTCTTCCTCTTCTACCACCTGATAATCTTTAGACTGAATCACAGGCAGATAGAAACAAGGTGACTTTTTTCATTTGATTCTCTTTTGAATGGCGCTTTTTCCTCCTGTTGCCTCCAGTGTTCACCACGGCAAAGTGAGTCCATCTCCAGCAAGTGACAGGTGCCAAGATGAAGGGTCCAGTGACTCGCACAAGTCCTCAGCGGCATGCAGGGCGCCGAGGCCCCTTCCCTGCCACCCGGAGTGCTGTGTCGCACCCCCTGCTTCTGGGCATGCCTGGCACTGATGCCAACGCAGGGCCACAGCAGGCCCAGCACACTCCAGGGCTTGTGCCTGCAGGACTGTCTCCTGGGGCTTGCTGGGGTCACTGCTGGAGAACTGGAGGCCGGGCCCTTTGGGCCTTCGCTTCGCCTTCCGGTTAACTCCTCTTAGAGACCACCGTTTTCCCCTTTGCTCTGACGGGCGGGCTCCAGGGAGTCCCTGGTCAAGCACCCTGGGGTCCTCTTGGGTTTTTCACCGGTGGCCAACGTGCTTCCTGAGTGCTGCAGCATGGGGACCCTGAGTTTTGATCATGGGCACATTCTCTGCATGGCGATGCATTCTAAAAGAACTGTTAACCAGGGCTGCCATCAAAAGGGCGAAGCCTGCTAACGGGAACCCCCAGTTCCGTTATGCCAGTATGGACTACAGAAGACGAGAGGAGGACAGGTTTGAGGGCGGTTGATTCAAGATCTCTCTGGAAGCTGGGCCCAGTGGAGAGTGGGACAGTGGAGGGCATGAAGGTGGTTCTAGTTGGCTCCTAGCTGCCACCACAATTGGCATCAAGGCGTTAGCCAGCAGAAACTGGAGAATGAGTGTGCATTTGTTTTGTGCTAATGGGAGAATAGGAAGCCTGCAGCCCTCGCGTTGGGTCGCTTTCTAGGGGTGCGGCTTTGTAGGGACCAGCTGGCGGAAGCAGCGTGTCCCTCAACATCAGGCTCTGGCAGCCTGGTGGCTGCGCCACCTCTGCGTCTCAGCAGCCGCCCTCCCCTGGGAGTGATGGAAAGCAGCCGAGTCCTCTGGGGCCTCACACTCAGTGAGAGGAAGTCTAAGGAAGGGTGCTGTCCCTCATGGCCGTCAGAAGCCACCTGCAGCCACTAAGTATGTAAATTGGGGCCAGTCCAACCTGAAAAGTGCCATAACGTGTCAACCACACAGCACACCTCAAAGGCTTCTTACCAAAAAAGTCATTAGTAATTTTTATATTGCTGAATATTATATGAAACATCTTCAGTTAAAATATTAAAATTGGCCAGGTGCGGTGGCTCACGCCTGTAATCCCAGCACTTTGGGAGGCCAAGGCAGGTGGATCACGAGGTCAGGAGGTCTTCAAGACCATCCTAACAGTGAAACCCCATCTCTACTAAAACTACAAAAAGTTAGCTGGGCGTGGTGGCAGGCGCCTGTAGTCCAAGGTACTTGGGAGGCTGAGGCAGGAGAATCACTTGAACCCAGGAGGTGGAGCTTGCAGTGAGCCAAGATCGTGCCACTGCACTCCAGCCTGGACAACAAAGTGAGACTCCGTCTCAAAAAAAAAAAAAAAAAAGAAAATATTAAAATTAATGTCACTTGTTTTTATTATCTATCTTTTCATTTTTTGAGACAGGGTCTTGCTCTATCCCCCAGGCTGGAGTGCAGTGGATCGCGGCTCATTGCACCCTGCATCTCCTGGGCTCAAGCCATCCTCCTGCCACACAGCCTCCTGAGTAGCTGGGATGACAGCCGTGCGCCACCACACCCGGCTAATTTTGTATTAGTAGAGATGGAGTTTCACCATGTTGGCCAGGCTGGTCTCAGACTCCTGGGCTCAAGTAATCTCCCCACCTCAGCCTCCCACAGGGCTGGCTGTCACTTGTTTTTAAGTTGTTAAACGTGCTCCCGGGAAGCTAAACTTAACACAGGACTGGTAGAGACACCACCTTCCTGTGGGTGGGGCTGCCTCCTACCTGGAGCAGCACTCACCTCCACCTGGCACTCCGTGAAAGGGGAGGGAGACTCTGTGGCTGCCAGATGAGGGTGGCCCCTCTCCGTCTGTCCCCAGGCTGGGTCACCACCACTTTCTCCCTCTGCCAGGAGTAGATGACTTTTCTGTTGCCGGGGGGAAGGGAGGTGCCTCCTGGTTCTGGAGATTTGTCACTTCCTGGACACCACATAGCTTGTGGAAAGCACTTTCTTAGGGTGCGCGTGGTGATGAAGGCAGAGTGTCCTGTGTGAGAGGCTTCCTTCCTCCAGACTGTCTGCGGCAGAAGTGGGGTCAGGAACCTGCTGCCCAGCTTTCCTCCACAGGCTTGATGTGTTTGAGCCAGAAGTATGGGGCGTTTGCGGGGTCCTCCACAAGTACAAACAGGGTTCTGTCCCTTTTCAGGGGTCCCAGAGGAAAAGCACTCCTATAGACTCTGAGCAGGGGCAGCTGCCACATTCCGTTTGCTTCCTGAGCTTGTCTAGGTGAACAGATTTCAGGTGGAAGGTAAGAAACGGGATGAAATGACTTGAGCGGGACAGCTTGCTTCCAGGCTTCCGGCAGCAGGGCGTGGGCGAGGCTGAAGGGCAGTTTCCGATTGTCACCTTCATTTGTGTCCACACAAGTCCAATATGTGAGAAGGTAGCAATGTCAGCTTGAGTTAAAGGCTTGTCATTTGTAAACAGTACTCATCAGCTGAAGCCTTCTTCCATGACAGCTAAGTTGTATTCCCAGAGCTGAAAATGTGCACCTTTGGGGCTGCACTGTCGCCATCTTAATGTTCTTCATAAATGAACGCCACACTTTGATGTAATGTAATTGCTGCTCAATAGTAAATGCAAAGAAATGGAAGTACTCTTTGCTGTGTAGGAGGTTAAACCCTCTTAGGTTTACCCAAGGTCACACCAGTATTGTAAAATCTGGGTGAGATTCCCCGCCCCCGCCCCCGACAGTGAGCCTCTCAGCAGGAGCCGCCCTAAAGAGCCAGATGCCCCCCACCATTCTTCCTGCTGGCCCTGGTGGGTTGGCCCCCACATCCCTTCTCCACACCCAGCTGCAGCCTCACGGCAAGACTACTTTGTTCTGGGGCTCCCCCGACCTCGGCCTGGGCCCTGCTGTCTCTACCTGTGGGGCCTACACATGTGGACAGCTACAGCCAGGGGGTGCCACGGTCACACCACCCAACAAAGCAAGAACCCCCCAGCAGAGAATGCCCTTTCAAAGGTGCCACTGAACTCTATCCTTGGAGACAACCCCTGGCTCCGAGGGACTGGGTGTGCGGTCCAGAACTGCGGTGCCCTGGGCTCAACCCTGGCTGAAGGCGCTGAACACCTCCCACGAGGCACCTGCACCTTTGGGTCAGCAAAGCTCCAAAGAACCTGTTCTCAGGTGCTGAGAAACCACTGTCTCCCCCAAGGGCAAGGCCAGCCCTGCCCGCCCTTCTCTTGGACGGTATTGAGGCCACAGTATTGCACCCAGCAGGGTTCCAATTCTCTAGGAATGGAACGCAGTGATCTGGATAGGAATTAAATAGATGAAGTGGAGGGTTTGCTCCCACACTGGCTTCCACATCAACAGCACCAGTTTTGACCACGTGGAGCTGCTGGCGGAGGGCGCGCATGGTGGCTGTTGCCCGTCCGGTGTTTTGCTGGATTAATGTAGACTGCTTTGTTTGCAGGGCTCATTGTCATCCCCAAGCCAGGCCAGTTCTCCAGGTGGAACTGTAGTGTAGCGACCTCACTGCTGCGCGCACAGTCTCCCGGGACTTGGACTCGAGGGAGTGACGAGGAGGAGCTCCGAGCTGCGCCTGAGCCGTGCCAGCCGGCGGACCTCAGGCGGTGGACGTCGGCGATAGCCGTGTGGACGGTGACCGGCTCACTCTGCGGCGCCGTGCTCCCGCTGCTCACCCAAAGAAGTTGTTTCCATTTTAAACCGGTCTTTTGGGGCTGCAGTAAAAAATAAGAAATGGAGTTTTCTTGCTTTTTACTCTAAAATTCAATGTAATTAAATTTCATATATATATAATATATACATATATACATAGTGTAAAATAAAATGTTTCTTGGACAAGAAATCCCCTGAAATTCAGCTGTTATAGTGCTTCACTGTTTTTGCACTGATTTTTCTATACCTTAGGTGGTCAGAAGACAACCTTGAATGCACTCATAGAGAAAACTGTTACTTTCTGACGTAATGTAATTCAGGAAGACAGACGCTGCAATCACAGATTTTAAAAAATTGTTTGCACTTAAAAATAGTTGAATGCTGGTGGAAAGTTACTTTGCAGATGGGTGTAAGGACTCATGGCCCTCTGAGGTGCGGCGTGAAGATGCCCTTTTTACCCGTTGACGTTTATTTTACGTAAAATAAACTGTTGTTTCCAATGCAATCAACTCTGTATTATATGTATAAATATTGTAATTCTGCAATTGGGGAAAATAGTTACTTCACTAGTAATTTTCATCATTTAAGAGTGATATTTCTAATTCACAAAAGTTAATATTAAAACTATCTTGAATATACCGCTTGTTTATCTTCTGTTAAATTGGCTTAGTTTGTCCTGTACATTTGGGTTGAACTGGTTGGTATGGAATTGTTTTGTCTTTTTCACCCCATGTTACTTGAAGCCCCCTCACCAGTCACACTTGAGATGGGCTGTTCAAGAATATGGCTCAGGAGGGCGTGGGCTCTGTGGTCGCCTCACAGCCTCAGCTGTCTGTGGCCACTGTGGGCAGCTGCACGTCTGCACAGGGCTTCAGGATCACGTTTCCATACAACTCCGAGTCCTCCTTTCGTCATTGAAAGCCTGTGACCACACATAACACAGTTTCTACAGTGAGTATGAACATGGGACATGAACTAGCTAATCACACTGTTTACCTGAGATTTTTTTTTTTTTTTTTTTTTTGAGATGGAGTCTCCCTCTGTTGTCCAGGCTGGAGTGCAGTGGCGCAATCTCGGCTCACTGCAAGCTCCGCCTCCCGGGTTCACGCCATTCTCCCGCCTCAGCCTCCCGAGTAGCTGGGACTACAGGCGCCCGCCACCACGCCCGGCTAATTTTTGTATTTTTAGTAGAGATGGGGTTTCACCATGTTAGCCAGGATGGTCTCGATCTCCTGACCTCGTGATCCGCCTGCCTTGGCCTCCCAAAGTGCTGGGATTACAGGCGTGAGCCACTGCGCCCGGCCTTACCTGAGATTTTTCTTACTTGGTTGAAACCAGCTCGTGAGCATCTGAGTTTAGGGCATCCCACACCTGCTCAGCGAGTTACTGGAATCCCAACAGAATGTGCAGCTACCAAGCAGAAGAATGTTTATTTATTTTTTTAAAAAATCATATACAACTGGATCCTTCGAAAGCTTTATTTTGTGAGACTTTAAACCATGAAGTGTCTGAAACCTATTTCTCTAATTCATCACATTAAATTGGGGGCATGTCTTTACTTTCAGGCTTTTGAGGGGAGGTATGCTACATTTTCACCATTTGTATGAATGCAGCCACGGAAAACTTCACATCAGCTCAGCCCTCGGTTTAGTTTTCTTCGGAGGAGACATTAGTTACAGCTTGAGTTCTCAGCCTGCCCCACTCGAAGGCGCCAGCAGGGACTCTGGATCACGGGGCCATGAACTATGGAGTGAGTCTTCTAGAAAGAGAAATAATAAAAGACACTAAGACTTGCTGTTCTAAATGAAAGAATCAGAATGGATGAATTAGACACATGCAGAGTGACCTCTGTATTAAAATAAGATATTAGCATGTTTTAGGTACTTTGGTATTTCTGTCATCTTAAAGTGTTGATTGCTAGGTGCTGTCAGTTATACAGGAAGCCAAACCCAGGAGGGCCCAAAACAGCTACAGTGAACTGCGGGTGTATTTGGAAGGCAGAAGGAACTACTTTTGAAAATAAATCTAGAATTATTTTCTGTTTAAGACAGAGTCTTACCTGTCATCCAGGCTGGAATGAAGTGGTGCGATCATAGCTCATTGTAGCCCCAACCTCCTGGGTTCAAGTGATCCTCCCATCTCAGCCTCCCGAGTAGCTGGAATCACACGTGTGTGCCACCATACCTGGGTAATTTTTTGATATTTTGTAGAGATGGGGTCTCCTTATGTTGCCTAGGCTGGTCTCAAACTCCTGGGCTCAAGCGATCCTCCTGCCTCAGCCTCCCAAGATGCTAGGATTACAGGTGTGAGCCACCGCACCCGGCCAAGTCTAGAATTCTTAATCCAGCCATCTTCCTGGTCATCTCCTTATTCTGTCTCCTGTTTGTTGGAAGTGGCAGGTGAAAGTTTAATACCAGGACAATAATTGTGTAAAGATTTGAGCAGTTTGGTCAGATGATCCAGCCGTGTCCAAAACTTTTGTTGGCCCCGAGATGGCATCACTCGAGATGGTTAGTCCTAGCTCTGCCTCAGCCCAGTCTGTCACCCTTCGCTGGTTCTGGAATGCAGTTTGCATTTGGCCATCACTGTACTAACGCTGTCAGATACGCCCCAGTTTACTCTAGATGCATGTGTGTCAGGAATAAGTCTTTATTTTTATGGTGCTGTTCCTAAGACTGCTCTGTAGCCAAGTGGGCCAACATGACTTCCAAAATCTAACTGCCTCGTAACTGTTCCCACCACTGTCACCATGGACTCAAGCATTCAGCAGGCCCTGGGCAGATGGTAGCGAGGCAGCGTCAAGGCTGGTCATGCCCTCACTCAGGTGCCCTGGAAAGACTAGCTTCCCTGGTACGATTTGGGTTTGCTCTTCTCACTTGTTGCCTTGCACTTTCTTACACTTCTGGCGTTGGAGAATGCACGGGGATTAGGCCCAGAAGAAGCCAGGAAGAGGTCGGCCGTGCCAGGGGTGGGTCTAGCTGGACTCTAGCTGCCTTGTGGCAGGCTGGCTGCACCGCAGGTGTGGGGACAGCAGAGCAGATGGGAGGTCACGGTCGCACTGCTGCCGCCTGTCACACGAAGACGTGCACGTCTGAGTGCCAGATGGAAATGGCTGATGGAGATGGCTGCTTACTGCTTCTCCCTGCAAGGCCTGCCCCCGCCAGTGTGGGGTGTGACTGGGCTCCCCTGTGCTTCTGCCCGGTGTCTTCTTTAAGGTCAGGAGGGTGAGGTGGGTGGATGAGGGTAGGCTCACACAAGAAGGGTGACACTGCGGCCGGGCAGCATGCAGGTGCTCAGCAGAGGGTTGAGGGATGAACGTGTTTGAATGGGGAGGAGGACGGCTGAGGCCTCATCCTCGCTTCCGTTCTGGGTTCTGTGGGGATAATTCAAGCGCTTCAATTGCATTGCACAGAAGAATGGAAATAATCCGGCCAGCCAGGGTTCACGAGCTTTCCAGTTTGGGGTGGCAGAGGCCCCGCCGGGGCCCCGGCAGCAGGGCAAGGTGGCCTCCTATGGGCTGAGCCAGCCTGGCCCCTCTGCCCTCAGCCCTGGCCCCCATCACAGGGCCCAGACGGACACAGGGAACCACACGCAGCTGAAGCGGCCTGGGGACCCTGACGCCTCCTGCCAAGAGCAGGCAGGTGCAAGGGCCAAGTGCAGGGCGGGAAGTCCAAGGGTGGCTGGCAGGATTTCCCTTTTCTCCAAATCTGTAGGAAATCATCACCCTCGGAATCTCCACCCTTGGACTTGGGAAGCTGATGTGGGAACCCTGCTGTGCGCCACAAACCCCGCCGCTCCTCCATGGAGGGGGCCTGTGGAGCTGGGCTCTGGTCCCCTGCTCACCTCCAGCCTGGAGGCCCAGCTGCCCTGGGCCCTGGCGTGCCGGGCTCGACACTGCTTCAGAGCGTTTACGCCCGAGTCTAACTAAACCAGGAGGGCCTCAAGTGGTGGACCTTGGGATGGTCCTCCTCTTGCTTTAGGGACTGTTTCTTGCCTCCAGAGGGCCCCCAGCCCCGCTGCCCCCACCACGAGGAGTGTGACAGTCAGGACAGGGCAGCTGGTGTCCTGGGCACCGGCATCTGCAGACCACATTTGCTTTCTCAAAAAAGCCTGCAGAAGAACTGTAAAGACTTTCCCTTCATATTTTATAGACATAAAGAGAGTAACACGTTTCCCAAGTACACACTCAATCCGTTAACATGCCTGACCCTGAAGCCAGGCCGGGGGACAGGGCATGGCCCTCCTAGCCACCACTCCCCTACCCACAGGTCCCTCTCTTGTGACCTGCGCGCCGCCCCCCCTACAGCCATCTCCCCAGCCTTCTGTCCCCCAGCCCTCCCTGCTGCTGGGCTCTGCCCACGGCCTTGACGTCCGACTCCCCTGGGACTCCCAGGCCCTCTGTAGAGGCAGAACGGCACCACCCCCCTGCTCAGACACCTCCCCTACAGCAAGGGCAGCCCTCAAGGCTGCACCAGGGTCTCAAATGGGTTTAAAAGGAGCCCGGGGAAAGGCCTGCACTGCACCCTGCTCTGGAACATTATGGCAAGCCTCCCTTCCGGTCTGAAAATTACGGCAAGCCTCACTTCCGGTCTGAACATTACGGCAAGCCTCACTTCCGGACTGGAATCTGCCCTTCTTCTTGGGTTCCTTTGCCCCCATGTGGTGCAGAGTGGGCACCTGTGCCCACGGACTCGCTGCCCCACGCTCCCCGCCCTTGCCTCCTCCTCCAGCCTGCCCTCCCTCCGCGTGGCCCGCGGTCCATCTCCTGCGGCCCCGCTGTCGTGTCAGGTGGCCTGGGGCTGGGGCCAGGACCACTGGAGAGCACGTGAAGGAAGGGTGTCACAGATTTGTCTCAACAGGGGAGCAAGGAGGCTTAAACACTACTAGCCTGGGAAATTTAGCCTTTTTCAAAAATATCTCTTTAAGTTTGGGAAGATGACAAAAAAGAAAGAAGACCCAATTACTAAGTTACTTTCCCAGATAAACAAGAGGACTTACTAGGACTTTTCTTGTGCCCAGCAGCCCGGCCAGTGCCACGGTTTCTTTGCAATGTTCCCATTCCCATCCCCATGGGGAAACAGGTTTCTCTTTCTAGGACACAAGGTGCCCAACTTATTGTTGGCACTCAGCAAACAGCTCAAAGCACCCACTGACAGGCCAGGGGCAGGGCTCCATACTCCCCAGAGACAGCTGAGCACCAGGAGCTAAAATGACAACGTGGTCACCTTGAAGCCTATGCTCAGAAGAGACCCTTCAGGCCTGCCCTGTGCCCCGCACCACCTCGCCAGGCTGGTCACTGAGGAGCACACAGGGCTCCGAGGACACGCCTGTGTGTGTTCCTTTCTGAATGGTTCTTCAAATGAAAATTAAGCCACACCAGGCCAGGCGCGGTGGCTCATGCCTGTAATCCCAGCACTTTGGGAGGCCGAGGCGGGAGGATCACCTGAAGTCGGGAGTTTTGAGACCAGCCTGACCAACATGGAGAAACCCCGTCTCTACTAAAAATACAAAAAAATCAGCCGGGCGTGGTGGTGCATGCACGTAATCCCAGCTACTTAGAGGCTGAGGCGGGAGAATCCCTTGAACCCGGGAGGTGGAGGTTGCAGTGAGCCAAGATTGCGCCATTGCACTCCAACCTGGGCAATGAACGAAACTCCGTCTCAAAAAAAAAAAAAAAAAAAAATTAAGCCACACCAAAGTCTTCCCAACAAAATCAATTCCCCTCGTGTGCCCACAAAAGCTAAAATAAAGGAATGGCTGGTAAGGACACATGTTGGACTCGGAAAACATTAAAATGCAATACTGTAACGACAGCTTATTCTTTAATAAAAGTCAGGGGTGTCAGCAGCGTCACTGGTAAGACATGATGGCGCTCCACGACTGACCAGCAGCGCTGGGAAGGGACACGCAGAACCCACCTTCCAACCACGCCCAACACATCACAGAAATGCCTGCTCGTTTGTTTTGATTCATATACAAAGTTACAAAGTATTTCCTGCCCCAAATTCTTAACGAAAATGAAAGAAAACCCTAGAATGCGGTGGTTTTACAAGTATATTAGCCCAGAACATCCTAGGCAGCTGCGCGGGCCGCGGGTGCGGCAGGGCGCAGGGCAGCACCCAGAGCCCCGGCCAGCGCGAAACGGACGCAGGCGCATCCCCAGCCCTCCGTGGCGTCTCAGCAGCAGATCACCCAGGCCTGGCCCGGTCGGGCTTGGTGTTGCCTCCGAAGTCGAGACGACGGTGCTGCTCAGTTATCTTCCGCCTTTCCGCACTATGGTGGGCAGGCGACACTGCTGCGGGGCAGGCTTAAGGTCCTTCTGCGGATCTGTCTGTCAAAGAAAAATTACAGACACAAAATTCAGTGGCGGCCTGGGCTGGGTCGAAGAGCAGCGCCGTCAGAGAAGCTGGTTCCGCGCTACCTTCTTGCTCGCAGGGATGCACTTCAAGGGTCTCAGCACCGGCACTCTTCCATTTGTTCCAGATCCAAGCACGGACTGCAGCGTGGGGCTGGAGTAAGACGACAGTCTGACCACTCCCGAAAGCTTTAGTTTGGGCAGTTCCATGACATAGGCCGGTCCTCGTCTCTTGGGACGGTCCTCCTCTTGCTTTAGGGACTGTTTCTTGAAACAGAACAGAGGCCAGTTGGACATAAAACGCTTTCTGCTTTATGGAAATTAGGAAAAACGAAAGAGGCTCTTTTGTACTGCTTTTGCCTAATACAATTTCTTGACCATAAGATGTGACTGGGACACATCCACCAGGTCCCAGACACCCCAAGGGAGTGGCTGCCCACTAGAGTCCCACGGGGGAGGCCAAACCTTCAGGGGGAACCTGAAGAATGCCGACTGCAAGCTGAGCAGTGCGGGCGGCAAAGGGCTCGCGGGCTGTGGTGCCCACGCCTCCTGCCTCCTGCTCTAGCTCCAAGGTCTCACACCCTGATCTGCCTGTCGCCTGGTTTTGGGTGGCTTGTGAGCTAAGGATGGTTTTACATTTGGGGTTTTTTGTTTGTTTGTTTGTTTTGAGACACGGTGTTTGTTGCTCTGTAGCACAGACTGGAGTGCAGTGGTGCAATCTTGGCTCACTGTAGCCTCAGCTTCCTAGGCTCAGGCGATCCTCCTGCCTCAGCCTCCCAAGTAGCTGGGACCAAAGGCACGCACCACACCCAGCTAATTTTTAAAACAGATGGGGTGGTGGGGCAGTGGTCTTGCCTACGTTGCCCAGGCTGGTCTCAAACTCCTGGCCTCAAGTGATCCTACCCTGGCCTCCCTAAGCACTGGGTTTACAGGTGTGAGCCACCGCACCCACCTGGTTTTTATTTTTAATGACTGAAAAAAAAATGTTTCATGGCATGTGAAAATTATGTGAAATTCAAATTTTAGTGTCCCCAGTTCTACTGGAACGCAGCCCCTATGTGGTTCATGTGTTGCCTCCAGCTCCTTTCACACTGCAGCAAAGCAGGGAGTGTAACGAACACCCCACGGCCACGGGGCCTAAAATATTTCCTATCAGACCCTTAGAGAAAAATATGCCGACCTCGGATGTGACTGAGGGTGGGGACTTGGGTGAATGCCGGCCAGGAGTGACATCAAGGGTTTGAAGCAGACCCTCTGTCCAGGAGGGAGCGGAGGCAGAGCAGG
The DNA here is from genome assembly GCF_000001405.40 of Homo sapiens. NCBI lineage: Eukaryota > Metazoa > Chordata > Mammalia > Primates > Hominidae > Homo > Homo sapiens. The sequence goes on from NC_000014.9 coordinate 102,230,675, forward strand.
GACAGTAGTGAGGAGGCCATCTGTGGTGACTTAGGCAAGGTGAGGAGGATGTAGGAGGCAAGAAGGCGAAGCCCCTGTGGGATGAAGGAAGGGTCCACGGGGGGCCTGGGCAGTTGACGGAGTTGCCTCCCTCGGAGGGAAGGCCATGGGAAGCCACAGGGAAAAAGCACGTTTGGGGAAAGATCAGGAGAAGGGGTTTCAGCAAGTCTGTCTTTCGGACATTCAAGTGGAGCTGTCAAATCAGGGACCAATGGGACACAGGAGCCTGGCTTTCTGGAGAGCAGCCTGACTGCAGCTCTGGGTTCCCAGCTCCCAAGCGGTCAGGGAGCACTCGGTAAAGGCTGGGAGGAGCGAGTGACGTACGGACGACCGAACAGACGAATGATGGAAGGGCACACTGTCACACTGTTGGGGTGCCAGCCCAGAACTGGGAGACTGGTGTGACCCTGCCAGCAGGTGACACAGGGCTGCACCAGGCTAGGATGCCACACGGTAGGTGGGAAGGTGAAGGCACTGAGGGGCAAAGCTGGCATTTCTCAACCGAAAATGTGCACAACCTCTGCTGATGGGACGAAGTGCTCATCTGGAGCCAGGCAGAGACAGTGACTTGAGACCTGTCACTGGCTGGGTGGGTGACTTGGGCCAGCATTGCATCTTCTTGGCGCCTCCCTCCAGGGCCGTTCTGAGGGGCGATGTCTGCACGGTGCTTTGGCATAGAACCTGGCACCTGCATATGGTCATCAGGACAGACACAAAAGTTCATGCAAACATCCCCTCTCTGGGCCTGCTCACATGGGATATTCGTCATCAATTCTTAGCTACTGGGGCAGAAAGGGCTTGAGCAAATAGAACTGGGGTCCCTGATGTCCCAACACATGGAGCCATCAACTCGCATGCTGTTCAGGCCTCGACTGACAATGTGGTCTGCCACAGCCTCCACAGGTGGCGTCCTCCTGAGAGAGACACAGGCCACCCGAGGGCATCCAGTCCCGGCTGAGCTAGGCAGTCTCCGGCTCCGATTTCGCTTAGTACCTGCTTTCTGCCCTCCTTGGAAATCTGGCAGCTGTTACTGAGTGGTTCCGGTGCCACAGGGTGCTCCGGAAAGCCAGCTTTTCTGTGGCTGCCCAGAGCCCGCTTCTCTGTTTTCCTACGGGGAAGGAGAAGAGAATGGAGCAGCTCCACTGAGAGCCCGCAGAGCACACGGCCTACTGGCTTCTTTGTCTCCAATTTGTCTACTGTGTGAGTTGTCACTAGCTCTTCTTTTCTGCCTGAGCTGTAATCAGGAGCCTTTTTTTTTCTTTTCTGTCTCAGCCTGACAGTCTCTGGGCCAGGAACAGAGCTGGCTCCATGAATCAGAAGCGCTGCCTACCCAGGGACTCGCAGTTTCAGATCAAACTGTCACCTCCACAGTTAGGCAAACAGGAGTGTCCAGAGGTCCGGAATTAGGTGACCTCAGGGCAGACAGGTCTTAGATTCACATTCAGCAGGTACTTCCAGCGCCAGGTGACATCCACAGTGCTCTACCATCTCAGAATGCATCCTGTTCACACCATTTACAAGGGCCGCACACCAGGCTCTTCTAGAAGGATTACTACCTGTAGCCTTGGCATCAACCGCAAAGTGGACAGCCAGCCCCTCTTTCTCCTGCCGTGGAGCTGCTAACATCCTCATTTTGGGGAGGATACACCAGAAGGCAGCACGGTGTGGGCCCCAAGAGGCCCTGACCACTCTTCAGGATAGAGAGCGCGATTCCCAAGAACCAGGGACCCTCCAGGGGGCAGTACCTTGCCCCACCATGTGCCCATGGGTCTCATTTGCCAGGTCCTGCATCTGCCCCACCGAACCCACGAGAGTGCCTACCTCTGTTCTTGGAAGTAGGGGTGCTGCAGGGCCTGGTGGGCGGCGATTCTCTCATCGGGATCATAGGCCACCATTGCGTGCAGGAGGGAGAGGCATTGTGGGGACAAATTGGTTGTTAGTAGAGGTATTCCTGATCCCTTTTTAAAAGGAAAATCAAAATTCATAGCTCTCGACCTGTATTAAAAACCCAATGATAATAAATGGTCATGCTGTCACTGAGCGCACCGGTGGTCCACTGTCACAACTAAGGGCCCTGTGTGGTGGGGAATGGTTTATGACTGCAGAGTCTACACCTGTCCCAGCCCACAGAACGTGCACCACCAAGAGGGACCCCTGATGTAAATGATGGGCTCTGTGTAGTAATGAGATATCCACGGTTCATCGACCATAATAAACACACCACTCGAGGCAGGTGCTGACGACAGGGGAGGCTGTGTGCACATGGGGACAGGGCTCTATGGAAACCTAAAACTGCTCTTAAAAAAATCTATTTAAAAATAGTCTATTATAAAGGGGGGGATCTGTTATGCTAAAAATGTAAGAAAACTACCTTTCCTATAAAAGATTAATATCACCTTCCCACATGAGAAGAATGAAATAAAATTTAACAAAAAAAGAAGAGTCCAAAATGGTTGCCACCTTCTCCCTCCCTGGGATGTGGGGGCCGCTGGGTGCTACTTGCCCCTCAGCCCACAGGCCCTCCCTGGGAAGTCCCAACTCCCAGCCTCAGCTTCACCAGAATGACCCTAAGAGTCCGGGAACACCTCTTCCAGGCGTCGGTCCCGCCAGCAGGGCTGTGGAGGGCTGCAGAAAGCCCTCACCACCTATGCTCTGTGCTTGGGGAACGTTTCCACCCAAAGGCTTCTAAGTCCTGTTTAAATTACTCAGGGAACACAGCCTGACTCCCCAGCCCTCAGAAAGCCTGTGACAAATCTTTCTGTGATGCTCAAGGAAGAGCTCACCTTTGAGACCACTTAAAGTGATGGGCTCTGTCTGAGCAGCCACTCACTGGCCCTCAAGTGAACTTGAACCCCTGTAGTCAGCCAAAGGAGCTCCTGAGAGGGGTTTGAGGGAGGCACAGGGAGGGGCTTGCCCTGCTGCAGGTCCTAGCAGGGGAGTGGGTCCACATCCACTCTCAGAACACAATACTTACTGTTTGAACTTGGTGAGGATCTTCTGAGCGGGTGTGCCGATGACATCGTGGATTTTTGAGATTTGGTCCAGTTCATTTACTCCAGGAAAGAGGGGCTGCAGACTGGAAGGGCAGAAGGGGCACTGTGGTCAGTGTTAGGGCAGAGCCAACAGACCTCACCAATTACAAACCATCTGGACCGCACAAGGGGAGATCGTGGGAAGCATAAACAAACTTTACCTACACCCTTCTGTAAGTTCCTGCTGTTCATCTAGCTGCTACCGTAAACATCACAAGGTGATATGTGGCAAAATTAACCAGCAAACAACCCCGGGATGTGACCATACCGAAGAACTCCCTCAAACTCCCTTCCCCAATATAAACCCCTCAATCTGTAAGCTTGGGGCTGCTTCCTCTGACTGTTAAGCGGCCGGTGGCAGGTTAATAAAAACTTGCTTGCCTGACTTTAGGTCAATTTTTCCTTTCTCTCGGATGACCTAACATTCTGGTGCCGAAACCCGGGAAGGGGGATAGACTCTGGCCAGGACTCGCTCACTATCAATCTCTCTCTCTCTCTCTTTTTCTCTCTCTCTCCCTCCCTCCCCTATCACCCCTCTCCTGGCCAATCTCCCCTTCCCCGAACCTGCCAAAGACCCAGACAATCTCCTAGACTCTCCCATTGCTGGTGACTTCATCCACCATCAAAGCCTCCGCCAGGGTGAGTAAAAAGAGACTGTTGCCATTCCCTGAACTCTTGACCGTCCATCTCCCATTTCCGAAAGACCCAGCGCTGGGCCAAGGGCTTCCTCCAGCCTCCAGGCCTCTGGTTCCTCCGTTTCAGGGACGCCTGACACGGTGGTTACCTCCTCTATTCCTGACAAGTTCCGCGGGAAAGGGGACGTCACCGGCAGTCTCTTCTTCCTCTACCCCCCTCCCTTCCATTCACTATGGGAGCCTCTCAGTCTATTCCTCCTAAAACTACCCCCCTTGGGTGCCTCCTACACAATCTGTATACTCTTGGCCTCCGTTCAGAAATCTGCCCTAAAAGGCTTATCTTTTACTGTAACACCACATGGCCTCAATACAAATCAGACCATGGCTCCCAATGGCCTGAAAATGGCACTTTCGATTCCGACATGCTCAGAGACTTAGACAACTTTTGCCACCGCAGTGGGAAGTGGTCTGAGATTCCTCATGTTCAGGCTTTCTTTACTCTCTGTAGTCGTCCCTCCCTCTGCCAGTCCTGCTGTACTTTTCAAATTCTCCTCGCCTGCTCCAAACCCGACTCACCTCCTGCTCCCCTCATCCCAATAGCCCCAGCGGACGACTTCTCCTTCTTTGATCCCACCGATTTCTCCCCTCCTCGACAACATCCTAATCCTCCACCGGAACAGCATGACCCCCCACCGTATGCCTCCGCTCCGGCTCTACCTCTCTCTCCCCTTCTCTCCAACCACCCCACCTCCGACTCTGAGTCCTCCCCATCTCCACCCCTTACTCGTTCTCGAGCCCAACACGCCCAGCAGCCTGCTCCCTTGCTTCTTCTCCGGGAAGTGGCATGGGCCGAAGGGATGGTCCGTGTCCACGTCCCATTTTCCCTCTCTAATGTTTCCCAAATTGAGAAACGTCCAGGTTCTTCTCCGATCCCGACACTTACATCAAATAATTTAAATATCTCACCCAGTCTTATGAACTTACTTGGCATGATCTCTATATTATTTTGTCTTCTACCCTCCTTCCGGAAGAAAAGGAAAGAGTGTGGCTTGCAGCCCAGGCCCATGCCGATGACCTCCATCGGCAAGATCCTACTAGGCCAGTAGGGGCCGCTGCAGTTCCCTGAGAAGAGCGTACCTGGGCGTATCAACCCACAGGCCCCTGCCAGACCTCCTGTAATCATATGATTACTTGCCTCACTGCAGGCCTTAACAAAACTGCCCATAAGGCTGTAAATTTCGAAAAACTCAAAGGAATCTCCCAAAAGGCCAATGAAAACCCTGCCCAATTCCTTTCTCGCCTTACAGAGACTCTCCAAAAATACACGCGTGTCGATCCCGCCTCCCGGGAAGGAACTATTGTTCTTTACATCCATTTTATTTCCCAATCTGCCCCCGACATCTGGCGCAAACTTAAAAAGGCTGAAGATGCCCCTCAGACCCCACAACGAGACCTCCTTAACTTGGCTTTCAAAGTCTTTAATAACAGGGATGAGCAAAATAAATTAGATAAAGCCCAAAGAGATCGTGCTAAATACCAGCTTCTAGCAGCGGCTGTCCATCAACCCAGCCGTATCACCCAAGGGCACAAAAGACCCGATAGCAGCAACCCTCCGGGCCTTGTTTTAAGTGTGGCAAAGAAGGCCACTGGGCATGGGTGTATCCTAACCCTTGAGTGCCAAAGAGTCCTTGTCCAGTGTGCCAGCAGACAGGCCACTGGAAGTCCGACTGTCCTCTCAACAGACAGACAAGCCTGCTCCTCAGAGCCACCACCCCTTTAACAAGACAAAAAGTGAAGAACCGCTTGCATTCCCGCAGCTCCTCAGCCTAGCCGCTGAGGACTGACCGGGCCCAGGGCCCCCGGCCCCATCTGCCATCACTGCATTGGAGCCCAGGGTAACTCTGCGAGTAGCAGGTAAGCCGATCTCTTTTTAAATTGATAGCGGGGCCACCTACTCAGCTTTGCCTGAATTTTCAGGACCCACTCATCCCTCTCAGGTCTCAGTTGTGGGGGCTGATGGACTCATCTTGCGTCCACGCGCCACCAGACCCCTTACTTGCTCTCTGTTTGATACTGTTTTCCCACACTCTTTCCTTATCATGCCTCGTTGCCCTACCCCCATCCTAGGCCAAATTCAAAGCCAAATTCAAATTCAAATTTTGGCCAAATTCAAAGCTTCTATCACCTTTTTCTCCCTCCCTCAACCGGAGTCCCTCCTACTCCTCTATGCGAGTCCAGCCCCTGACCCCTCTCCCCAGTACCCACTTCCCACCTCTTTTGTAAACCCAACAGGGTGGGACACCACCACCCCTTCCCTAGCTACTCACCACGACCCCATCAAAATCCAGTTAAAAGACCTCTCTAAATTTCCCAGCATCCCCAAAAACCCTATCTCCCTAACCCACCAAAAAGGCTTACAGCCCATCACAAACAAGCTCTGTTCACGCCGTCTTCTTAGGCCAACACGTTCTTCATATAACACCACCATCCTCCTGGTTAAAAAATCAGACGGCTCATACCGACTCCTGCAAGACCTCCGAGCCATCAGTCAGGCTGTCTTTCCTATTCATCCCATAGTCCCTAACCCCTCTACACTTCTCTGTCTCATTCCCTCCAACACCACCTGCTACACTGCTATTGACCTAAAAGATGACTTTTTTTACTATTCCCCTGCACCCTGATTCCCAAAACCTCTTTGCTTTCACCTGGACCGACCTTGACACCCTCCAGTCACAACAACTAACCTGGACTGTCCTCCCTCAAGGCTTCAGAGATAACCCTCACTTCTTTGGACAAGCTTTAGCTCAAGATCTCACTTCCTTAAACCTTTTCCCTAGCCGTCTCCTTCAATACGTGGACAATCTTCTCCTTTGCAGCCCCTCTCTAGAAGACTCTCAAACTCACACAGTTACTCTCTTAAAACTTTCTCTCCATCAAAGGGTATAGAGTCTCCCCCTCCGAAGCTCAACTTTCCACCTCCATAGTAACTTACCTAGGAGTTCAACTTTCCCCTGGGACCCGGGCTATGACCCCTGCCCTAGCAGCACTAATAGATAATCTGCCCTCGCCCTCCTCCAAAAGCGAAGTTCTTTCCTTCCTAGAACTAGCAGGCTTTTTTAGAATATGGATTCCCAACTTTGCCCTCCTAGCTCACCCACTCTATGAAGCAGCCAAAGGCCCTCTCAGTGAGCCTCTAAATCCCTCACGTAACATACTCCCCAACTTCTGCAAACTTCAAACCGCTCTTGTCACTGCACCAGCTCTGTCCTTACCTGGTATCTCCCAACCTCTCACACTCTATACTGCCAAAAGATGAGGAATAGCCCTCGGTGTCTTAGGGCAACAGAAAGGAGACCCTCCTTCCTTTGCCCCTGTAGCCTACCTCTCTAAACAGTTAGACAACACAGTCAGAGGATGGCCAACCTGTCTTAGAATGCTAGCAGCAGCGGCCACTTTAGCTGTAAGCAGGAAACTAACATTGAGTCAAAATACCACCACCTACAGTCCTCATAATCTACAGGATCTCCTCTCCTCCCGAGCATGAGGCTCCCTCCTTTCCGGATTCAATTACTCCATGCCCTCTATCAAAAATCCTGAATTCGGTCTTGCCAAAAGTGCTCCCTTCAACCCAGCATCCTTACTCCCTGTATCTTCTTCCCTTCCTACTCATTCTTGCACTGACGTCCTAGATCACCTGCAGCCACACTTTCCTAACATTTCCTCCGAGCCTCTCACCAACCCCGATGACCAGCTATTTATAGATGGCCCCCCTTCTGGGCCCACTGGCTCCCCCAAAATTGCTGGGTATGCAGTTGTTTCCCTTGACCGAGTAATTGAAGCTAAGCCCCTACCTCCAGGAACCTCCTCTCAAAAAGCAGAATTCATAGCTCTCACCAGAGCCCTAACCCTTTCCAAAGGCAAACGAGTCAACACTTACACAGACTCCAAAGATGTATATCACATTCTTCATTCCCACGCCACCATCTGGCAAGAGAGGAGATTCCTTACTGCCAAAGTGACCCTATCACTAACCACCCCCTTATTTACCAACTCCTTCAAGCCGCACATCTCCCAACTGAGGCAGGAGTTATACACTGTTGGGGACATCACACAGGAACAGATAAAATCTCAAGAGGCAACAGAAAGACCAATGGGGCAGCAAAAGAAGCCTCCCTTTCTTCCGCTCCTGCCTCCCTCCTCCTCATTACCCCTGCAGTCCAACCTCAGTACCCCCCACTGAAAAAGCCTCATTACTATAACAAGGAGCCTTCCTCCAGGGGGACTGGATAGATAAGGACCAGAAGCTAGACCTTCCCCAGGGCCAAACCGACAAAATCCTGACATCTCTCCACCAATCCTTCCATATTGGTGCATGTCCCCTATATCTCCTCCTCCGCCCATATTTCTTCTCCCCTCACCTATTTACCTCACTAAAAAGTATAACTTCAAAATGTCATATATGCTCTGTCACCTCCTCTCAAGGAGCCCTCCATTCCCCATCTATTCCTACACACCAGCTAAGAGGAACACTCCCAGGGGAAGACTGGCAAATAGACTTCACCCACATGCCTCCCGTCAAAAACACAAGACTACTTCTCACTCTTATAGACATCTTCTCTGGGTGGGTGGAGGCATTTCCTACCTCTTCAGAAAAAGCTGCAGTAGTCTCCCAGATCCCCACAAGAGAAATCATCCCTAGCTTTGGTCTCCCTCGCTCCAATCAATCAGACAATGGCCCTGGCTTCATTTCCCAAATCACCCAACAGCTCTCCCAGTCCCTCAGCATCCAGTGGCACCTCCATATCCCATATCGACCCCAATCATCAGGAAAAGTCGAAAGGGCAAATGGAAACCTTAACACTCAGTTGATCAAACTCACTCTAGAAGTCCAGAGGCCCTGGACTTCCCTCCTACCCATAGCTCTAGCCAGCGTCAGAGCCAGCCCAAAGGCACCCTCCTTCCTCAGCCCATTTGAATTAATGTATGGATGCCCTTTCCTCTTACAAAACAGGCCTCCTTCTGAGACCCTTTCCTCTTACAAAACAGGCCTCCTTCTGATTCTCAATTAGGAGAGTACCTCCCAGCACTCTCCCTCATCCGCCATCTCCTCTGCAAACAGGCACACCAGGCCCTCCCAATACCACATAAAGGCCTCACTGACCAGACCCTCCTACCAGGAGAACATGTTTTTCTAAAAACCCTTAACCCGGCTGGGCACAGTGGCTCACGCCTGTAATCCCAGTACAGTGGGAGGCCAAGCCTGGTGAATCACAAGGTCAAGAGATTGAGACCATCCTGGCCAACATGGTGAAACCCCTTCTCTACTAAAAATACAAAAATTAGCCGGGCATGGTGGCAGGCACCTGTAGTCCCAGCTACTCGGGAGGCTGAGGCAGGAGAATCACTTGAACCTGGGAGGCAAAGGTTGCAGTGAGCTGAGATTGTGCCCTGCACTCCAGCCTGGCGACAGGGCAGGACTCTGTCTCAAAACAAAAAACAAAAATCAAACAAAAAAAAACCCTTAACCCAACCAGCCTTAAACCAAAATGGGAAGGCCCTTTCCAGGTCATCCTTACTGTCAGGCCTCTGAGCCCAAGCCTGCAGTATACATCCAGATGGCCCGAAGCAAGTGAAGAATCACAAAAGAAGTGAAAATGGCCAGCCCTGCCTTAACTGATGACATTACCTTGTGAAATTCCTTCTCCTGGCTCAGAAGCTTCCACACTGAGCACCTTGTGATCCCCTAGCCCCTGCCCGCCAGAGAACAACCCCCTTTGACTGTAATTTTCCACTACCTACCCAAATCCTATAAAACGACCCACCCCTATCTCCCTTTGCTGACTCTGTTTTCGGACTCAGCCCGCCTGCACCCAGGTGAAATAAACAGCCTTGTTGCTCACACAAAGCCCGTTTGGTGGTCTCTTCACAGGGACGCGCGTGACATTTGGTGCCGAAACCCGGGACAGGAGGACTCCTTCGGGAGACCAGTCCCCTGTCCTTGCCCTCACTCCGTGAGGAGATCTACCTACAACCTCGGGTCCTCAGACCAACCAGCCCAAGGAACATCTCACCAATTTCAAATCAGGTAAGCGGTCTTTTCACTCTCTTCTCCAGCCTCTCTTGCTACCCTTCAGTCTCCCTGTTCTTCCAATTCCAGTTCTTTTTCCTCTCTAGTAGAGACGAAGGAGACACATTTTATCTGTGGACTCAAAACTCCAGCACCAGTCACAGACTCAGGAATAGTCTTCTCTTGGTGTTTAATCACTGCGGGGATGCCTGCCTGATTATTCACCCACACTCCATTGGTGTCTGATCACCGCGAGGATGCCTGCCTTGGTCATTCACCCACATTCCCTTGGTGGCAAGTCAACTGCGGGGATGCCTGCTTTGGCTGCTCACCCACATTGCAGCCCAGGGCTGCTCACCACCCTCCTTATCTGTGTCTCTACCCTCTCTTTTCTCTGGGCTTGCCTGCTTCACTATGGGCAACCTTCCACCCTCCATTCCCCCTTCTTCTTCCTTAGGCTGTATTCTCAAAAACTTAAAACCTCTTCAACTCTTGCCTGACCTAAAACCTAAGTGTCTTCGCCAACACCACTTGGCCCCAATACAAACTCGATAATGGTTCTAAACAGCCAGAAAATGGCACTTTTGATTTCTCCATTTTACAAGACCTGGATGATTTTTGTCGAAAAATGGGCAAATGGTCTGAGGTGCCTGACGTCCAGGCATTCTTTTACACATCGGTCCCTCCCTAGTCTCTGCTCCCAATGCAACTCATCCCAAATCTTTCTTCTTTCTCTCCTGTCTATTCCTTCAGTCTCCACTCCAAGCTCTGAGTCCTTTGAATCCTTTTCTACAGACCCATCTGACCCCTCCCTTCCTCCCCAGGCTAATCCTCGCCAGGCTGAGCCAGGTCTCAATTCTTCCTCAGCCTCCACTCCCCCACCCTATAATCCTTTAATCACCTCCCATCCTCACACAGGGTCCAGCTTACAGTTTCACGTGGGGAGACTAGCCCTCCCGCACCTGCTCAACAATTTCCTCTTAAGGAGGTGGCTGGAGCCGAAGGCTTAGCCAAGGTTAATGCTCCTTTTTCTTTATCTGACCTCTCCCAAATCAGTGTTTAGGCTCTTTTTCATCAAATATAAAAACTCAACCCAGTTCATGGCCCGTTTGGCAACAACCCTTAGATGCTTTACCGCCCTAGACCCAGAGGGGCCAGAAGGCCATCTTATTCTCAATAGGCATTTTATTACCCAATCTGCTCCTGACATTAGAAAAAGCTCCAAAAATTAGATTCCGGCCCTCAAACCCCACAACAGGACTTAATTAACCTCACCTTCAAGGTGTACAATAATAGAGTAGAGGCAGCCAAGTAGCAATGAATTTCTGAATTGCAATTCCTGCCTCCACTGTGAGACAAACCCCAGCCACATCTCCAGGACACAAGAACTTCCAAACGTCTGAACCGCAGTGGCCAGGCGTTCCTCCAGAACTGCCTCCCCAAGGATCTTACTTCTAGCGCCGGAAATCTGGCCACTGGGCCAAGAAATGCCCACAGCCCAGAATTCCTCCTAAGCCATGTCCCATCTGTGCAGGACCCCACTGGAAATCGGACTGTCCAACTCGCCCAGCAGCCACTCCCAGAGTCCCTGGAACTCTGGCCCAAGGCTCTCTGACTGACTCCTTCCCAGATCTTCTTGGCTTTAGCGGCTGAAGACTAATGCTACCTGATTGCCTCGGAAGCCTCCTGGACCATCACAGACGCTTTGGGTAACTCTTACAGTGGAGGGTAAGTCCATCCCCTTCTTAATCAATACGGAGCTTACCCACTCCACATTACCTTCTTTTCCCTTGCCTCCACAATTGTGGGTATTGACGGCCAGGCTTCTAAACCTTTTAAAACTCCCCAACTCTGGTGCCAACTTGGACAACATTCTTCTGTGCACTCCTTTTTAGTTATCCTCACCTGCCCAGCTCCCTTATTAGGTGGAGACATTTTAACTAAATTATCTGCTTCCCTGACTATTCCTAGACTATAGCCACACCTCATTGCTGCCCTTTTCCTCAGTTCAAAGCCTCCTTCACATCTTCCCCTTGTATCTCCCCACCTTAATCCACAAGTATGGGACACCTCTACTCTCCCCTGGCAACTGATCACACACCCCTTACTATCCCATTAAAACCTAATCACCCTTAACCCACTCAACGCCAATATCCCATCCCACAGTACACTTTAAAAGGATTAAAGCCTGTTATCACTCACCTGTTACAGCATGGCCTTTTAAAGCCTATAAACTCTCCTTACAATTCCCCCATTTTCCCTGTCCAAAAACCGGACAAGTCTTACAAGTTAGTTCAGGATCTGCATCTTATCAACCAAATTGTTTTGCCTATCCACCCTGTAGTGCTAAACCCATATACTCTCCTATCCTCAATACCTCCCTCCACAACCCCTCCACAACCCATTATTCTGTTCTGGGTCTCAAACATGCTTTCTTTACTATTCCTTTGCACGCTTCATCCCAGCCACTCTTTGCTTTCACTTGGACTGACCCTGACACCCATCAGGCTCAGCAAATTACCTGGGCTGTACTGCTGCAAGGCTTCATGGACAGCCCCCATTACTTCAGTCAAACCCAAATTTCTTCCTCATCTGTTACCTATCTTGGCATAATTCTTCATCAAAACACACATGCCCTCCCTGCTAATCATGTCTGGCTAATCTCCCAAACCCCAACCCCTTCTACAAAACAACTCCTTTCCTTCCTGGGCATGGTTAAATACTTTCACCTTTAAATACCTGGTTTTGCCATCCTAACAAAACCATTACATAAACACAAAAGAAAACCTAGCTGACCACATAGATCCTAAATCCTTTCCCCATTCCTCTTTCCGTTCCTTAAAAACAGCCCTGGAAGCTGCTCCCACACTAGCTCTCCCTAACTCATCCCAACCCTTTTTCATTACACAGAGCCAAAGTGCAGGGCTGTGCAGTTGAAATTCTTACACAAGAGCCGGGACCGTGCCCTGTATCCTTTTTGTCCAAACAACTTGATCTTACTGTTTTAGGCTGGCCATCATGTCTCTGTGTGGCAGCTGCCGTCACCCTAACACTTTTAGAGGCCCTCAAAATCACAAACTATGCTCAACTCACTCTCTACAGCCCTCATAACTTCCAAAATCTATTTTCTTCCTCACACCTGATGCATATACTTTCTGCTCCCTGGCTCCTTCAGCTGTACTCACTCTTTGTTGAGTCTCCCACAATTACCAGTGTTCCTGGCCCAGACTTCAATCCGGCCTCCCACATTATTCCAGATACCACACCTGACCCCCATGACTGTATCTCTCTGATCCACCTGACATTCACTCCATTTCCCCATATTTCCTTCTTTCCTGTTCCTCACCCTGATCACACTTGGTTTATCCATGGCAGTTCCACCAGGCCTAATCACCGCTTACCAGCAAAGGCAGGCTATGCTATAGTATCTTCCACATCTATCATTGAGGCTACTGCTCTGCCCCCTCCACTACCTCTCAGCAAGCCAAACTCATTGCTTTAACTCAAGCCCTCACTCTTGCAAAGGAACTACGCATCAATATTTATACTGACTCTAAACATGCCTTCCATATCCTGCCCCACCATGCTGTTATATGGGCTGAAAGAGGTTTCCTCACTACACAAGGGTCCTCCATCATTAATGCCTCTTTAATAAAAATACTTCTCAAGGTCGCTTTACTTCCAAAGGAAGCTGGAGTCATTCACTGCAAGGGCCATCAAAAGGCATCAGACCCCACTGCTCGGGGCAACGCTTATGCTGATAAGGTAGCTAAAGAAGCAGCTAGCATTCCAACTTCTATCCCTCATGGCAGTTTTTCTCCTTCTCATCGGTCACTCCCACCTACTCCACCACTGAAACTTCCACCTATCAATCTCTTCCCACACAAGGCAAATAGTTCTTGGACTAAGGAACATATCTCCTTCCAGCCTCACAGGCCCATTCTATTCTGTCGTCATTTCATAACCTCTTCCACGTAGATTACAAGCTGCTAGTCTGCCTCTTAGAACCTCTCATTTCCTTTCCATCATGGAAATCTATCCTCAAGGAAATCACTTCTCAGTGTTCCATCTGCTATTCTACTACTCCTCAGGGATTGTTCAGGCCCCCTCCCTTCCCTACACATCAAGCTCGGGGATTTGCCCCTGCCCAGGACTGGCAAATTGACTTTACTCACATGCCCTGAGTCAGGAAACTAAAATACGTCTCGGTCTAGATAGACACTTTCACTGGATGGGTAGAGGCCTTTCCCACAAGGTCAAAAAAAGGCCACCGTGGTCATTTCTTCCCTTCTGTCAGACATAATTCCTCGGTTTGGCCTTCCCACCTCTATACGGTCCAATAACGGACTGGCCTTTATTAGTCAAATCACCCAAGCAGTTTCTCAGGCTCTTGGTATTCAGTGGAACCTTCATACCGCTTACCATCCTCAATCTTCAGGAAAGGTAGAATGGAACAGACTAATGGTCTTTTAAAAACACACCTCACCAAACTCAGCCTCCAACTTAAAAAGGAGGGCTCTGTCAAGGATAGAGCCCAAAAACTCACCAACCAAGCAAGTAATTACGCTGAACCCCCTTGGGCACTCCCTAATTGGAAGTCCTGGGTCCTCCCAATTCTTAGTCCTTTAATACCTGTTTTTCTCCTTCTCTTATTTGGACCTTGTGTCTTCCGTTTAGCTCTCAATTCATAAAAAAACACATCCAGGCCATCACCAATCATTCTATATGACAAATGCTCCTTCTAAGAACCCCACAATACCACCCATTACCCCAAAATCTTCCTTCAGCTGAATCTCTCCCACTCCAGGTTCCCACGCCACCCCTAATCCCACTCGAAGCAGCCCTGAGAAACATCGCCCATTATCTCTTCATACCACCCCCCCAAAAATTTTCACTGCCCCAACACTTCAATACTATTTTATGTTATTTTTCTTATTAATATAAGAAGACAGGAATGTCAGGCCTCTAAGCCCAAGCCTGCACATATACATCCAGATGGCCTGAAGCAAGTGAAGAATCACAAAAGAAGTGAAAATGGCCGGTCCCTGCCTTAACTGATATTTCCTTGTGAAATTCCTTTTCTCAGAAGCTCCCCAACTGAGCACCTTGTGACCCCCTCCGCCTGCCCCTGCCCACCGGAGAACAACCCCCTTTGACTGTAATTTTCCACTACCTACCCAAATCCTCTACAACGGCCCCACCCCTATCTCCCTTCGATGATTCTCTTTTCGGACTCAGCCCGCCTGCACCCAGGTGAAATAAATAGCCTTGTTGCTCACACAAAGCCTGTTTGGTGGTCTTTTCACATGGACGTGTGTGACACTTACAACCCCTACTGCAGCCAAACTCTCAGGACATACCCCCTAGTATCACCTTTCCAGGTTAAAGAGAGCTCCCACCTCCGATCCTCCAACCAGCACCTCACCAACTTCTAACTGGTATTCCAGCACACTCCTTGGGCCAACCTGACTCCGCCTCACATCCATCCCAGAAGAAACTTCACATCAGTAAATCCATCCATCTCAAACAGGTTTAAAGTACTATTACAACTAGCCTCCTTTAATGGAAACACTCTATTACACCCTAACTGCAGGCATTATAATACTTACCCTATTGTTTGCAGTGGGATTATATAGTGTAACTCCTTCCAATTGGAATACCAGCCAAAAGTCTCCCTCACTTTAGCCGTCTGCCTAATCGTTACCCTTACAGCAGGAATCACAATCACTATCAAACATTCCCACATCCTCCCTAGATGCCCTGCTTTTGTCTATCCTGCCGCTTCACTCTCTTCCTTCACGCCCTCTCACAAGATATTTCCTGGTTCCACCCACGGAACGACACCCTGGAGGCCTTTTTCAAGTGGATAATCGACCTTTTCTTCCAAGGCTCTCTCTGTGGCTTTACTCTGGGTGGAACCGAACTATTTATTTTTCTGCTCACTATCTGCCTTTCTAACCCTTCTCATAATCAATACCCCAACCCTTCGTTCAGTCCAACCAATACCTACAACCCCTGAACACCTATACAGAACACTTAATCTCACACACTCCTTACTAAAAAACTCCAATTCCTCTCTGGCAAGAGACTGCTGGCTCTGCGTATCCCTCCTCTCCACAACATACAATGCAACCCCTGCTCAGCCTATAACTGGACTTCCACCCAAGTAAGCTACCATCCTGAAATCCTCATTAACTGCCCCTCAAACTCGACATACAGGCATTAACAAAAATCTCCCCCAGTTAGCTAGCGAGTTCGGTCCAGGTGTTACAACCTTACATGCCTACTTACGCAACCTGGCCCTACCACAGCTGTGATGAATGCCTATTAGTAGGAACCGTAACAACCCACACAATCTTATCCTATCCAGCACCACTGTGCGCCAGCGACATCCACCCTCAAGCATTCCCCTCAGCCACCTAAATTCCAAACTGTGCAACTTACACCGCACAACTCAAACCCTCCACCGAACAGACTACTCTCAAAGCCACCAACAATAAAGACAGGCTTCGTTTATCTAGCCCCCCAGCCCTTGACACCTCCCACCTCCTTAACAAAAACTCAGAGTACTGCAACGGCCGACACCCCCATTTATCCCTCTTCCCTTGGCTCCCCTCTCCATGCACCATCCCTGCACCCGCCACCTGCGACTGTGTCCTTATCCCAACATTCAGCAACACTCCCACATGGATCTTAGTGGACACAAAATGCTTCCTCTTACGCTGGGAAAAAAGAACCCAAAGCCCCCAGCCTAAAGCAAACACCCTTTACAACCACTCAGAGCAGCAGCTCTAGCTGGGGCCCTAGGAGTATGGATGCATGAGGACAACAAAACAGTACATCTTTTTAGCATACACAACCAGTTCTGTCTACCAAGCCAAGGCATACTTTTCCTATGCAGTACCTCAACTTATATTTGCCTCCCCTCTAACTGGACAGGCACCTACCTGCACCCTGGTTTTCCTCACTCCAAAAATCAATGTTGCTCCAGGAGACCAACCCCTACCAATCCCAGTTAATACCCGCATCCGACACTGCCGTGCTATGCAACTCATACCTCTATTAGCAGTCCCCAGAATAACTACAGGAGGTGGAACTGAGACTGCGGGATTAACCACCTCTGTTTCCTATTACCAATCCCTCTCCAAAGACCTCACAGATAGCTTGGAAGAGATAGCCAAATCCATCACAACTCTCCAATCACAAATAGATTCTTTAGCAGCAGCGCTTCTTCAAAATCACAGAGGCGTAGACCGACTCACAGCCAAAAAGGGAGGACTCTGCCTCTTTCTAGATGAACAGTGTTGCTTTTATCGTAACCAATCTGGCTTAGTACGAGATTTTGTAAAAACACTAAAGGACCGAGCACAAAAAATTAAAGAAAATGTCCCCCGATGGCCAGCGTGGCCCTCCTGGTCCTTTAGTACCTGGTTTCCATGGCTAATGCCCCTCTTAGGCCCAGCCATAACCATTCTTCTTTTTCTAGCATTCAGCCCTTGTCTCCTACGCCTTCTCACTCAGTTTTTACAGGACCGTATCGGAGCCTTCAATACAATACAAGATATGATGCTGCTCCAAGAATACCAACAGCTCCAAGAACGGCAGTCCCTACTGTCCAGCCTTCCCCCATAACCATCACCCCTTCCCAGCAAGAAGTGGCCAGACGCCAACGGCGCCCCTCTTCTATTACCTATTAAAGGGCTGGAATGTTAGAGACAAACTGCCCCAAAAAAGCTTCTTGGTGCTGCCCACCCCTCCCCCTAATGCTCTGCAACCCTTCTCCGTGCGGTTCACCCTTCCCTCAAGCCTCTTTACATTTCTAAGCCTTTATCTAGGCGCCACGGTAAAGCCAGCAGACTTCACCTGTCAGACCTTGCTGTGATAAGCAAACCCCAATTACAAACCATCCAGAACTCACAGCAGGAGGTCGTGGGAAGCATAAACAAACTTTCCCTACACCCTTCTGTAAGTTCCTGCTCTTCATCTAGTTGCTACCACAAACATCACAAGGTGATATGTGGCAAAATTAACCAGCAAACAACCCTGGGATGGCCGGGGCAGTGGCTCACGCCTGTGATCCCAGCACTTTGGGAGGCTGAGGCGGGCGGATCACGAGGTCAGGAGATCAAGACCATCCTGGCTAACACAATGAAACCCTGTCTCTACTAAAAATACAAAAAATTAGCCGGGCGTGCTGGCGGGTGCCTGTAGTCCCAGCTACTCGGGAGTCTGAGGCAGGAGAATGGTGTGAACCTGGGAGGCGGAGCTTGCAGTGAGCCCAGATCGCGCCACTGCACTCCAGTCTGGGCGACAGAGCAAGACTCCGTCTCAAAAAAAAAAAAAAAAAAAACCAACCCCAGGATGCGGCCATACCAAAGAACTCCCTCAAATTCCCCTCCCCAATATAAATCCCTCATTCTATAAGCTTGGGGCTGCTTCCTCTGACTGTCTGACTTGCTTGCCTGACTTTGGGTCTATTTTTCCTTTCTCTCAGCTGACCCTACAGTCAGGACATGGCCATGGGTCTCTCCATTCTGCCTAGTCCCCTCGACCAGGCAGACTCGCTCACACGGAACGCGAGGAACTCAGCCTGGCGTGTGCAGCGACCCTCACCACACGGAACACGAGGAACTCAGCCTGGCGTGTGCAGCGACCTTAGCTGCTGGGAGGCTCCACTCTCCCTTGTGCTTGACCTTTTGTTTCCACTTTACCAATAGGTCCGACATGTGTTTTCTAAGAGGCAAAAGACAGATCCACATTCCGTCATCTGTTCAGCATGATGTCTGTGGTGAAATGTGACTAATTCACAGTAACCGTGATAAATAACCCCACAGTGAGCCTCCCATCGGCCAAGGGGAGTTTTGCTGACAAATTCAGGGTGAGACAGGTCAGGTTTTGTCAACAAATGAGTCCCAAGAAACCTTTTGGTTTCCAGAGCTTTTATAGATTTTGGAATTGTGGGAACAAGATTTTAAACCTGTGCTGGGCGCGGTGGCTCATGCCTGTAATCCCAGCACTTTGGGAGGCTGAGGCAGGCGGATTACCTGAAGTCAGGAGTTCAAGACCAGCCTGACCAACATGGAGAAACCCCGTCTCTACTAAAAATACAAAATTAGCCGGGCGTGGTGGTGCATGCCTGTAATCCCAGCTACTTGGGGGGCTGAGGCAGGAGAATCGCTAGAACCCGGGAGGCGGAGGCTGCGGTGAGCCAAGATCGCACCATTGCACTCCAGCCTAGGCAACAAGAGCAAAACTCCATCTCAAAAAAATAAATACAGATTTTAAACCTGTATAAATAAATTCAATTCATATTACATGCCACAAATAATATTTAAAAATACAGCTCTGGTAGTAGGCCTAGCTTCTATTCCAGAAAATGGCAGGCTCTTGTGACTAAAGGAGAGAGGAGGAAATGCGGGTGAGCAGGAAACAGCTCCAAGTGGGGAGATGAGTGCCTCAGCCCAGTTTGGTGGCTGGTGCACCGTGGGCCGTCTTGTGCGCTGGTGAGATACAGGTGGCCTTGTGCTCCTGACATCTGCCCCCTCCAGATGAACTCACAGGACCTGGGCTCATGGGAAGGGACTCTTGGTTGACACTTCTGGCTGCAGTGAAATTGCCATTCAGCTTTCCAAAATGAAAAGTTACCAGTATGAACCATCTGGATCAAAGGAGAGTATGTCCTGAAGTGCATTTCTGTAGCAGTCTGTTGAGCAGGCGGGACCAGACTTTGACCCCTCAGATGCACCCCCAGACCTTAACCTCACTGCCACCTGCCTGGAGGCCCACTGGGAGCAAGAGGTGCAGCTCTCCACCCCTGTGCGCGTCTTCAACTCAACACCATTCACCTCGGAGTGGGACCGGCCCCCATCTCCTCGTCCCTGGGCCACTGCTCCTTGCCAAAGGCTGGGGGGGAGTGGGGGGTTTGGAGGATGGAGCAGGGAGGGGTGGGATTGGGGCTTTCTAGAGTCCAACTGTGCCAGAAGGTGCCTCATCCTCACACCTGTGGCCAGGGCACCCTACCTAATATGACTGCACCTCTCAGGGGAGGTTTGGCTCACCCCTCCCCACAGCAGCCCCATCAAGCACCTCACAGCAACCCCAAGGAGGCAGCTGCCCACACCACCAGGGTGTGCAGGAGGGAGAACAACTGAGGGCTGGTGCTCTTCTCTGGGAAGGGCAGGCAAGGCCAAATATGTACAACAAGTAAAATGAAAGCCTAGTCAATTTTCTGTTAAATTAAAAACAGTAAAACAGAAAGAAAAACCAGAATGACCATGACATCTGGATTGTAAAGGAAGGAGCACGAGCCTGGCTGCTGCACCGCTCCGCCGCAGGAACCAGGCAGGAGCCTGGCCTGGTGCTACCTGGCGATCTCGTAGAACACACAGCCGGCGCTCCACAGGTCCATCTTGTACGTGTAGAACCCATCAGTGAGGAGACACTCCGGGGCCCGGTACCAGCGGGTGGAGATGTATTCCGTGTACGGCTGCTTGGAATAGACACTCCGGCAGGAGCCAAAGTCCCCTAATTTCAGGACATCCTGCTGGAAGGGGAAAGAAGCAAGGACAAGTAACATCCCATTATGTGGCTATCATAATACAAACCACTCCAAATATTTATGCACCAGCAGGAAAATTACTAGCATCTAAAGTAGTCTGTAAAATACAAATTACTGGCTTTCTGAGCACCTCAAAGTGCCTCCAGCAGATGAGGAAGTGATGTCTATTCAGTGGAACAGGTTTACAAATATTCTGGCTGTTTCACATATATTTCCAAAATGCCTACAGGTTTGGAAACTGGTTAACCCATTGGCGCTTCTACAAATGAACAACACACACTAGTCGTCTGTCCGGTCATGCTGCCAGCTTGCCCAGCAAGGGCTCTTTTAGCCACACAGCCTCAGAGGACTCTGCTGACAGCCAGTGACAGGTGCTGGGAAACAGCAAATTGTACGGTTTAAACACAGGTAGTTTAGTGGCTTGGGAGTGAGACGGACCTGAGCTCAAATCCTGCCTCTGCCACATTTCCCTCTAGAAGGTTTGAACGGCCGTCTGAATAGGGTTCATTTTTGTCTGCGGTGTGAAAATGGTGCTTTCAATTATTTTCTTCCAGGTGCAGTCAGTTATGTTGATGGCATTTATTAAATAAACCATTTTTTACAACCTGAGAGGGAAAAAAATTACTGTAACAAACAGGCTGTCTAGCCGCATGGACTGAAAGTTCCTCTGGTAGGAGGAGAAAACCTTTCGGGAAAGATTTTCTATTCAGCTTTTATTCTGATACCCAGCTTTCATGTAAAAGCTCTTACCTTTATTAGTATATTTTCTGGTTTTACATCTCTGTGAAATATTCCATTTCTGCATTCAGTATAAAGGAAAAATAGAATTACACTTCATTTATTCAAATTCTTGAATCTGAATGTTAACACATTTTATTAATTTCAGAGCTGTCAAATCTCCGAGAGCATACCTGTGAATATGATCCAGGGACTTACATAACTGGTACATATAGTGCATAATTTTTTTTTCTGATAATGGGTATCTTCTCCCTGTACAATCAAGGAAATAGGCAAATACGGTTACTGATGGTACATATCCTCTTTTTTGAAATAAAAATAATCTATTTTTATTTAACAATGTGTGAAAATCTAAGTTCCCCTGTAAAAAATAATCTGAAGTAGTCTTAGGAAATATGTAGTGTGCCTACAAAACATACCATTTAAAATTCCATATACTGGCCAGGGGCGGTGGCTCACACCTGTAATCCCAGCACTTTGGGAGGCTGAGGTGGGTGGATCAGGAGTTTGAGACCAGCCTGGCCAAAATGGTGAAACCCCATATCTACTAAAAATACAAAAATTTGCCGGGTGTGGTGGCGGGTGCCTGTAATCTCAGCTACTTGGGAGGCTGAGGCTGGAGAATCGCTTGAACCCAGGAGGTGGAGGTTGCAGCAAGCCGAGATGGCACCATTACACTCCAGCCTGGGCAACAGGAGCAAAACTCCGTCCAAAAAAAAAAAATCTATATAATGGCATGATCTCATTTAAAATTACATAGCACATACATTTTTAATGGAAAATCCCTTTTTATTTTTCTTTTTGGCAGTTTATAGAGGCTTCTTTTACATCCTCAACTATGTATTAGTAGCACCATGTAATTTTTAGAATTGTCAAATCTGGGGAAACTGCTAAGTTTCCTTCATATCTGAGCTATAAGATTTCATATTTCAAGTTTTCTATGGAGTGAATGCTCTTTAATCTTTGAATTGACCATATTCAGAGTATTCCTAGAAGACATCCCAAATGAGATGGCCAGCAATAATGTAACTATTAATATATGGAAGAGACTGCAAAGCATATAAATGTATCCCAGCCAACCCTTAACAAGATTCCAGACATGTCCACGGCTATTTCACGGTTACGCTAAGAGGGGAAATATGACATAGGAGAGGTTAAAATAGAAGAGATGGCAGTCTTAACTTTGTGGTTGAAATATCTTATTTTTGCAAATTTAACAAAATCTATAAACATGGTGGAGACACCGCAAGGGCCTGTTTTGGAAGCCCCGGGCGAGTCAGCTCTATCAGCTGCATAGTGACTCTGCTGCTGCTCTAGCACACGTGGTTTTTCTGAGTTTTGAAACAGGTGAAGCAGGTTTGGGAAACTGCCAATTAAAAAATTAATAAACAATAAACGTTACTGAAGAATGACAGAATTGTTGATAATTTTTTTCCTTTTTAGTGGAAATGTAGTAATTGTACCTACTAATGGGACCCAGAGAGTGTTATTTTGATCCATACATACAATGTGTAAGGATGAAATCGGGGCAATTAGCACATGCGTCAGCTCTGTGAACATTCAGAGCGCATGTGCTATGGTTTCAGTGGGAACAGCACTGAGCAATCGTCACACAAGTAGCATGGTCTGACAGCCTCAGCCGGCCTCGGAGGCCTTCCAGGACGCTGTCCTTCAGCCTACACTGATTATGAAAATGTTAGGAGTCACTCGTCAACCCAGTGTTCCACTAGGCTTTCCTGTTTATGTGGAGATGTCCACTTTAAAGGGGGACAGATCACAGTTCAAGAAGCAGTTCAACTGCTTTCAGTCACAGTCCACATGTCTTCTTTCACAGGAGAGGCCGTTTAGCGTGGCTGGCACAGTCCCCTGCAGCTGCCCTGTACTCAGCACCTGGGCTGGCTGTGCCTTGGTGCCCGCAGCTTTCTACCGTGCTTGAAGACGTCATACCACATGCCCAGCATCACAGTTTACCCCTGTTCCAGAAGATGTCAATTTTACTTGATTTTAATTTTCAAAGTGTGTGTTTTAAGTTATTAAGTTTTAAATCTGCACAATGACCATGTTCACCTAACAGTTTGGAAATCCACTTCCTCCCTCCATGAGCACATATACCATTTGACACTTTTGGTCCTAAGTTTACAATTTCTTTTGAAAAATTAAAATTATTCTTTTTCTCTACTTAACAAGAATATATAAATAATAGAAAGTAATTTAAATTGTAAAATGTCTAGGTGCAATTAGCTTTTTCTTTTTTTTTTTGGGACGAAGTGTAGCACTGTCGCCCAGGCTGGAATGCATTGGTACGATCTCCGCCCACTGCAACCTCCACCTCCCAGGTTCAAGCAATTCTCCTGCCTCAGCCTCTCGAGTAGTTGGAATTACAGGCACCCGCCACCACTACACCCTGATAATTTTTTTGTATTTTCAGTAGAGACGGGGTTTCACTATGTTGACCAGGCTGGTCTTGAACTCCTGACCTCGAGATCCGCCCGCCTCGGCCTCCCGAAGTGCTGGGATTACAGGCTTGAGCCACTGCGCCTGGCCGCAATTAACTTTTTTGTGTCATACTATCATCTTTTTATTGTTTCACATGATTTATCATCAATTTTCCAGAATTAAAATCAAAAGAATCAAAAGTAAGACCTTTATCAGCTTTCCCAAGCTGATAATTCTGGAATCTTATTAAATTAATATCTATAACAGATAAAAAGAAAGCAACTTTCCATTTGCCTTCACACACGCAGCAGAATGAAGCTGCTGGAATTTCATCTCATCAGGTGCTCCTGGGTCCTGTGATCAAACCCAGTCTCACTGCTCCCGACTTACCCCGGCACTCAAGACCCCCTTCAACCAATTCCTCTCCACCAAAAGGGTTCTCAGACTCCCACGAGTGGGTTGCTAAGACACATACTGTCCCTCCCCATCTCCACCCACATGTCTGATTCAGAAGGTCTGCAATGGGGCCCCACAGTCGCCTAACTAGAGCCCCAGGTGCAGCTACTAGTCTTGGGTCCTCGCTTCGAGAACCATGCCCCACCACCCCCTTCTTGTTTATCGAATGCTCAGGTGAATTCCCTCATGGACTCTTCTCTGGTTGCTCCCAAAGCTCGCCTGCTTAGTACCTATATTCATGATGTTCCATTCCAGGAACGCCCTTCCCAGCCATGTCCACACATTTAAATCTTACTCGTATCATAAAATTGTCATTAGAGTCATCTGAACTTGAACTTGGGAAACGTGGAATCTTTTAGGAAAAGTCTAATCTATCCAATCTTCATAATCACCTAGAAGTCTTTTAAAAAGCTGATTAAAAAGCCTGTAATCCCAGCACTTTGGGAGGCTGAGGCAGGCGGATCACGAGGTCCGGAGATCGAGACCATCCTGGCTAACACGGTGAAGCCCCGTCTCTATAAAAATACAAAAAATTAGCCAGGCGTGGCGGCAGGCGCCTTCAATCCCAGCTACTTGGGAGGCTGAGGCAGGAGAATGGTGTGAACCTGGGAGGCGGAGCTTGCAGTGAGCTGAGATCGTGCCACTGTACTCCAGCCTGGGTGACACAGTGAGACTCTGTCTCAAAAAACAATAAAATAAAATTTAAAAAAAAAGCAGATTTCAAGGCCTGAACCTAGACCTAATGGAGCCACAAACGGGCATGCGGGCCAGGAATCTGTGCTTCTCAGATGCCTTCAGTCCCAGGTAAGAGTCCTCTTCAGGTGCCCACCCTTCCTTGCCTCCCTGGGTCTCCTCCTGGAAACTCCCTATTCACAGCCCTAGGGGTAGGGAGCCGTCCTGGTCCCGGGCCAGTAGTTGGGGGTGTTACTGCTGGCATGAGGTATCAGAGCAACAGTGTGGGCCCAGTAGTCTGAAGTGCTGGAGACCACACCCTTGCAAAGGAAAGCACTGCCTAGCCACTCTCCATAAGCTTCTCCAGAACAAACTTTCCGGGCCCAAGACTATCTGGTTCCCATCAGATTCTTGTTTTCAAACAGTTTGAAACAAGTAAAATAGAGTACAATTAACGAGTTACTCAGAAGTTTCTTATATGCCCCTTAGTGAATTCCAGCAGGCCCCAAAAGCATTTCCCTCATCTGCTCTAGCTATCCTGACCAAGGTAATTTTTACAAGTTAATTTTTACCAAATATTCTCATTAAGAAGGAATGTCATATATGATACTAATAATTTTAAAAACTTAAGTGAACACAGTGATAAACCAAGGCATTCACTGTGACTCAGCACTAACTGAAGGAATACAGCTGCCACTGTAGCCTGCAGAATGACGGCATCCCCAGCACACGCCCCTCCAGCGAGGGTGGAGAGAACTACGAACTAGCCATTCATTAAGGCAAATGAGTTATTATTATTTTTTTTTTTTGAGACAGGGTCTCACTCTGTTGCCCAGGCTGGAGTGCAGTGGTACAATCAGCTCATTGCAGCCTCGACCTCCTGGGCTCAAGCCATCCTCCCACCTCAGCCTCCTGAGTAGTTGGGTCTACAGGCGTGTGCCACCACACCCGGATGCTTTTTTTTTTAATTTTTTGGGCTGGGCACGGTGGCTTACACCTGTAATCCCAGCACTTTGGGAGGCTGAGGCAGGCGGATCACGAGGTCAGGAGATTGAGACCATCCTGGCTAACACGGTGAAACCCCGTCTCTACTAAAAATACAAAAAAAAATTAGCCAGGCTAATTTAGTGGTGGCGGGTGTCTGTAGTCCCAGCTACTCGGGAGGCTGAGGCAGGAGAATGGCGTGAACCCGGGAGGCGGAGCTTGCAGTGAGCTGAGATCGCCACTGCACTCCAGCCTGGGCAACAGAGCGAGACTCCGTCTCAAAAAAAAAAAATTGTTTTTTTGTACAGACAGAGTCTTAGGCTAGTCTCAAACTCCTGTGCTCAAATAATCCTCCCGCCTTGGCCTCCCAAAGTGTTGGGACTACACACGTGAGCCACTGCACCTGGCCCTATGAATTTAACTTGAAACAGTTAAAAAAAAAAAAAAAAGAGCAGAATCAGATACAATTTTGTAAAAGAGTAGCTGCCTCTATAGTCAGAGTATGAGGGAAACTAAACCTCCTTTACGGTTTTTCCTTCATAAATTCCAAGACAGGCTTTCCTACTGCAGATGGCATGAGCCCAGAGCCATAAGCACACGCGCCCAAATACACAAACTAGGATCGCTGGCGGGTAGCCATGCTCTATTCACCCCAATTACTAACTCACGCCAAAGAATTCAGAGACATTCATCCAGAGACAGTGGCGGGCAAAGGGCCTTCGCCATCCCTTCCCCAGGCTCCCACACCACTCTTGCCTTCATGGCACACCCGCAGATTGGCTTGCTCAGGTCCTATCCCAAACCCCCATCTAGCATGCCAGGCCTGAACGTCCAAATGACATTCTTCATGCTGCCTTGCAGCTGAGTGTTCCAGATGTGACTTAGGCTCTGCCTAAATGGGAACACTTGGGAAAGATGCTTCTGGCCCAGGTATGGGGGCAGATGAGAGGAGGGAAGGCATCTATTCTGACGGCATGGATCACGGCTGCCTCCTGATCCTGGCAGAAGAGGCATGATTCCAGGCCTGGTAGCTGCAGCAGCTTTATTCTGCAGAGCGTTGTCAGCGGCAGGGCCAGCAGCCTGATCATGGAGAGCAGAGTTGTGAGAAGCAACTTCCTATAGGCCAAGCCCAGAGTCTGCTTCTTCAGTCCTCCCAACAATTCTGGCAATCTATCCATATCACAGAGTAACCCCTCTTGAGTTAATCAGAGAATAGGGGAGGCTGTTATTTGCAACTAAAAGGGAGAACCAACACATCCACCTACAGCACATTTATTCTTTAAACAGCAACTGGAGAATTCCTTCTAAAAAGATGCTACTCAAAGCACAGTCCATGAGCTGATGATGGTTCAGGGACTGTTACTGGTCTAAGAGGAGATGACATAAATTAAGAATAACTGTTTAGGGCTGGGCGCAGTGGCTCACGCCTGTAATCCCAGCACTTTGGGAGGCTGAGGTGGGCGGATCACGAGGTCAAGAGATCGAGACCATCCTGGCCAACATGGTGAAACCCCGTCTCTACTAAAAATACAAAAATTAGCAGGGCGTGGTGGCACGCACCTGTAGTCCCAGCTACTTGGGAGCCTGAGGCAGGAGAATTGCTTGAATCCGGGAGGCAGAGGTCGCAGTGAGCAGAGATCACGCCACTGCACTCCAGCCTGCCAACAGAGTGAGACTCTGTCTCAAAAAAAAAAAAAAAAGAATACCTGTTTAGAACCACTTATAGCAATTTGACATGCTGTGACATCTAAGCACGTGATCACTTTTCTGGTAATTCATTTTTACTATATTTTACAAAAATTCTGGTCTGCAATATATTAGAAATAAAACAACTGGTCTTCTGTGATCGTTTTGGAAACACTGGTCTAAACACCAATTGAAAACCACCTCTCCCTTGCTTTAAAGCCCAATAATGGCTTCCCATTGAACTTAGAGTAACGAAAATTCTTACCCTCGCCCTACCAGCCTCATCGATGCCTGCCTACTCCGTTTCCTGCAACTCTCCTTCATGTCCTCCAGCCACATGGGCCTCTTCCCTCACGGTGGCCTCAGGGCCTTTGCACTGGCTGTCCCTCTGCCTGAAGTACTCTATCCTCATCACTCTCTAACACATTGGCCTGTTTTATTCACTGACAGCACTTATCCCTATCTGGAATTCTTGATCATTTTGACTGATATTCTTGATAATTTCATTTGTTTCCTGTCTCTCCTCATCAAGTGTGAGCTCCACATGGGTGGGAACTGTGTCTGCTGTGTTCCCCACCATGTCCCTGCCTCTGGAATAGCCCATGGCATGTCACTGCAAATGGGACATCCTCTCCCGCACCTGTCCAATTCTACCACTCCTCCAGGAAAGCCTTATTTTCCCAGCCCACACCATCTCTGCCTCATCTGACACCTGTTCAACAAAAAGAAATCTACCCCAGCAATTCCTTTTCTCTTATGATATCACTTTCATATAGTTTATGTGGACACTACACTATATACTCTTTCAGGCTGGGCGCGGTGGCTCACGCCTATAATCCCAGCACTTTGGGAGGCTGAGGCGGGCAGATCACGAGGTCAGGAGTTTGAGACAGCCTGGCCAACATAGTGAAACCCCGTCTCTACTAAAAGGACAAAAAATTAGCCGGACGTGGTGGTGGGCACCTGTAATCCCAGCTACTCGGGAGGCTAAGGCAGGAGAATCGCTTGAACCCAGGAGACGGAGGATGCAGTGAGCTGAGATCGTGCCATTGCACTCCAGCCTGGGCAACAGAGTGAGACTCCATCTCAAGAAAAAAAAAAAAAAAGACTATATACTCTTTCAATATAAAAAACATGCATCTGACATGCTGCTTCTTTATCTTCCCAGTTCTTGCCAGACCTTGCACACTGCTGTAAAGTAGACAATTCAATAATGGCTATGTGATCGTTCCCTTATTTCATTATTATCTTATTCTTTAGTCTTTAATAGTGCTCCTCAATATTCTAATAACCTGAGAGCAGCAATTTAAGTCACAAAAATTGCCATTCTGGTATCTAAAGCCTTAGTGATTGATTCAGTTTTCACTAAAGAAGCATCATCATCAATAACCGTAAATAATTAGGTGCCTCTGTTCATTTAAGGCACTGAGCTGGGCCCAGAAATAGAGACCCAGGGCAGCAACAGAGCTTAATGCTTAGGATTTCAGAGTCAGGCTTGAGTTCAAATCCCAGTTCTGCCATTTATTAACAGCTTAATTTTGGATTATTACTTAATCCTTCAAGACTCAATTTCCTCATCTGTAAAATGGGAATAATAAATAGTGCCAACCACACAGGGTTGTCATGAGGCGGTATGGGTGGTGGTTAAGAACATGCACTCTAGGATCAGGTTATCTAGGTTCAGCCCCAGTTCTACCACTTACTAGGTATATAACCTTGGACAAGCAACTTATCTCCCCATGCCTCAATGTCCTCATGTTTCAAATGAGGATAATAACAGTATCTGGGCCAGGTACAGTGGCTCACGCTTGTAATCCCAGCACTTTGAGAGGCCAAGGCGGGCAGATCACGAGGTCAAGAGATCGAGACCATCCTGGCCAACATGGTGAAACCTGTCTCTACTAAAAATACAAAACTTAGCCAGGCGCGGTGGCTCACGCCTGTAATCCCAGCACTTTGGGAGGCCAAGGTGGGCGGATCACCTGAGGTCGGGAGTTCAAGACCAGCCTGACCAACATGGAAAAACCCCATCTCTACTAAAAATACAAAATTAGCTGGGGTGGTGGCGCATGCCTGTAATCCCAGCTACTTGGGAGGCTAAGGCAGGAGAATCGCTTGAACCCGGGAGGCGGAGGTTGTGGTGAGCCGAGATCATGCCATTGCACTCCAGCCTGGGCAAAAAGAGCAAAACTCCATCTCAAAAAAAAAAAAAAAAAAACTTAGCTGGGCATGGTGGCGTGCTCCTGTAGTCCCACCTACTTGGGAGGCTGAGGCAGGAGAACTGCTTGAACCCAGGAGGCGGAAGTTGCAGTGAGCAGAAATCACACCACTGCACTCCAGCCTGGCGACAGAGTGAGACTCCATCTTAAAAAAATAAAAAATAACCGTATCTGCCTGACAGGGTTGTTGGAAGGTTAAAATGAGTTAATTCCTATAAAGTATTAAGAACAGTGCCTGGCCATATGGGTACCATTCATGAACTGTTAGCTATTATCATTATCATTATATTTCATCAATTCTAGGACAGGCTTTTTTTTCAAATTTTACCAACTCTAAAATCAGGATGCATATTTCAATATTTACTACCCTACAAGCACTGTTGGCCATTCTCCTTACATTTTAACATCTCTGAACCTAGGATGCTCCATGTTGCTCACAGCATCTCAGAGTTGGTGCACTGAACACACTGCCTGGCCTATGGAAGACAATATTTATATAATGAATGGAGGTCTACTGCGAGGTCTGTTTTCTACAATCGCTGTAGACAGATATTGAAAGAAATAGATTCAATTTCTTCAATTATACAATTCCTCTACTACTGAAAATAAATATAAATGTATCCTAAAAATACATATATTCTAAGGCTGGGCGCAGTGGCTCACTCCTATAATCCCAGCACTTTGGGAGGCCGAGAAAGGCGGATCACGAGGTCAAGGAGATTGAGACCATCCTGGCTAACAAGGTGAAACCCCGTCTCTACTAAAAATACAAAACAATTGGCTGGGCGCGGTGGCTCATGCCTGTAATCCTAGCACTTTGGGAGGCCGAGACAGGCAGATCACGACGTCAAGAGATCAAGGCCATCCTGGCCAACATGGTGAAACCCTGTCAGTACTAAAAATACAAAAAAATAGCTGGGCGTGGTGGCATGCACCTGCAGTCCCAGCTACTCAGGAGGCACAAGCAGGAGAATCGCTTGCACCTGGGAGGCAGAGGTTGCAGTGAGCTGATTGCACCATTGCACTCCAGCCTGGCAACAGAGCGAGACTCTGCCTACAAAAAAAAAAAAAAATTAGCCAAGTGTGGTAGCACATGCCTGTAGTCCCAGCTACTTGGGAGGCTGAGGCAGTAGAATCTCTTGAACCTGGGAGGCAGAGGTTGCAGTGAGCTGAGATCGCGCCACGTCTCAAAAAAAAAAAAAAAAAAAAAAAAAAAAAAAAAATATATATATATATATATATATATATATATATATATATATTCTAAACAAAGCTTTCTCAAGCGTCTAAACACACAGCAACTTGCCAAAAATTCTCCCTTCTTGTTGACTTTTATTTTTTTTTTATTTTCTGTTGAGATGGAGTCTCACTGCGATGTCCAGGCTGGAGTGCAGTGGCACGATCTCAGCTCACTGCAACTTCTGCCTCCCAGGTTCAAGCGATTCTCCTGCCTCAGCCTCCCAAGTAGTTTGGACTACAGACACATGCCACCACGCCCGGCTAATTTGTTTTGTATTTTTAGCAGAGACAAGGTTTTGCCATATTGGCCAGGTTGGTCTTGAACTCCTGACCTCAAGTGATCCACCTGCCTCAGCCTCCCAAAGTGCTGGGATTACAGGCATAAGCCACCACGCCCGGCCTTTTTTATTTTTTATTATTTTTTTTGAGACGGAGTCTCGCTCTGTCACCCAGGCTGGAGTGCAGTGGCATGATCTTGGCTCGCTGCAAGCTCCACCTCCTGTTACACCATTCTCCTGCCTCAGCCTCCCGAGTAGCTGGGACTACAGGCGCCCGCCACCACGCCCGGCTAATTTTTTTGTATTTTTAATAGAGACGAGGTTTCACTGTGTTAGCCAGGATGGTCTCAATCTCCTGACCTCGTGATCCGCCTGCCTCAGCCTCCCAAAGTGCTGAGATTACAGGCGTGAGCCACCGCGCCCAGCCCCTGGCCTTTATTTTTATTTTTTGAGACAGAGTCTCGCTCTGTCGCCCAGGCTGGAGTGCAGTGGAACAATCTCAGCTCACTGCAACCCCCGCCTCCTAGGTTCAATCGATTTTCCTGCCTCAGCTTCCTGAGTAGGTGGGACTACAGGCATACACCACCATGCCCGGCTAATTTTTTTGTGTGTATTTTTTAGTAGAGACAGGGTTTCACCTTGTTAGTCAGGCTGGTCTTGAACTCCTGACCTCAACTGATCCACCCGCACTGGCGTCCCTCCTAAAGTGCTAGGATTATAGGCATGAGCCACTGCACCCAGCTTTATATACATCAACTTTTATGGATGTAGAAAAACTTGGCTACTTATGCTATTTGTTTTGTTAGTAATTTACTATCACACACATATTTTAAGTCACATATAAAATAAATATTGATATAATGCTTTTTCCACTATCCAACTTCATAAAAACAATTTTATTTGAACTCTTCATATATATCTTCAACATCAGTGTCTTCTTCCATCACAAAAATAGTTTATCAATCTAAAAATTTTCCATAGCACATCATCTTCAGTTTGGCTCAAATTGTAAGATAATACACCATCTAAATCATCTATGATGCTGTCACTAAAATTCTTTTCCAAGTCATAAGTAGTCACTCATGTGACAGTAGGACAGTTGTTTTTTATCTGTCCTCTAGGTATAATGTGATTTGTAAAATGTAACACTTGCTATGTTGCTTTCTTAGTGAGATATACAAGGTTCATTTGTTCTGACATCTAACACAACCATTAGTCAGACCCCCAGGAACAATTGGCTCAGTGTGGGCCAGCCTCTCCTTTTCTCCTGTTCCCCTCAGGCAACCTCTATAAGTATCTCAAACCAGCCCTGACTGAGGTCACCTCAGGCAAACATGCTCTCTTAAACAGTGCTTTATTGTTCAGAAAAAAGGAAATGAACGAGCATCCTGGAAAATGGTAGGAGCTTCCCTCACATGCAGGGCAGTATTTTGGAGGGAAAGCTCTGCCTTAAGAGGCATGGAACAGAATGTCGAGCAACAGCAGATCTGGGGAGCAGAGAGGCCCCTGAGCCAGCGGGCCTGCACACACATGCCCACGGCGGGGCTGGCTGCAGGCGCTCTGCAGCAGAGCTGCCCCTGCTGCCTCCCGCCACTCTCCCCCAGATCACATGGGCACCCAGAGGGCCTGGGGCTTCCTTTCTTGTTTGCAGCCATGTTCTGAGTAGATGAGCAGTCAGAAAAATGCCTCCTGGTGAATGAAGTGACCCTGTACTGTGTATTATATATAACTACAGCACTATGGTGACTAATGATGTTGAGAATAACTAAGCATATATGAATTACAAGCCTTAAAAGAGGATCTTAGGTTAGCTTTCAAATTATTCTACGTACCTCGTATTAGCTCATAAATATTCATGTCCATAAGTTCACATATTAGTGCAAGAGAACCAGATTTTCTGTCACTGAAGAAGAAAGCAAGTTTTTAAAATAAATTTTCTGGCCTTAATCAGAAAATATAATCCAATATTTAATTCATTTGTAAACATTTCTAGTAAACATTAGGTACTCCCACATCAAATACTACAGTGTAATTGCTGAAACAGTAAAGGTTTTGATTTTAAATCAGTATTTCAGATAAAATTAACTAAAAATACTAGCAAAACCCAACTTTGAACAAAATTCTAGAAGTTGAAAACAGATATGTCTTGAAAATACATAATTAATTATCAGCAGAAAGAAGAAAAAGGTTGGGGAGTTGGGTAAGCAAAACAATAAAAGAGGCCAGGCGTGGTGGCTCACGCCTGTAATCCCAACACTTTGGGAGCCCGAGGTGGTCGATCACTTCAGGTTAGGAGTTTGAGACCAGCCTGGCCAACATGGTGAAACCCCATCTCTACTAAAAATACAAAAGCTGGGTGTGGTGGCGTGTGCCTGTAGTCCCAGCTGCTCGGGAGGCTGAAGGAGGAGAATAGCTTAAACCCGGGAGGCGGAGGTTGCAGTGAGCCGAGATCGTACCACTGTACTCCAGCCTGGGCAACAGAGTGAGACCCTGTCTCAAAAAAAAAAAAAAAAAAAAGAAAGAAAGAAAGAAAATTAATTCGTGCTCCATGACTGCAAATTTAATTTTAATTTAGCTAAATTCCTTCCATGTAATTGGGATAAATCACAATGGGAGAGTAAAAACCAAAAACCAGTCAGGGGAAAAAGAGAAAAACGAGTCACATCACAAGTGTGTGATATCAACGCTGACACAGAATAGGGACAGAGACTGCTGGCTGAGCCACCAACTTCTGAGTTCAAGCAGGCCCTTAAAGGGTTCCCAGAGTCCTGAGCAAGAGCCTGTATCATCCCAGACCCTACTCTGGGTGCCTCCAATCTGGCTGGAAGAGGTCTCGGTTGTTCCGAGGTCCATGTGAGATTCTGGACAGAGTACTTTGTAAAGTGCGTGGGAAGTGCACGACGTGCATGCAGTGTTGAGACTATTACATACAAACTGCACTCTCTGGACCTGGCCCAAATTGACTTCTAAGAACGCTACAGGACAGGAACCCACACAGTTATAACAAGACATTTCATTTTGAGTTTAAAACTGTTTCATTCTCTGATTAAAATCTACCAGACTTTAACTGGCAGTGAAGTTTAACTGGAGTTCCTTGGCCGATCTTACAGGCCAGGCTCCCTCCGGAGCCACAGCGAAGCTTCTACACTGAGGTGCACCCTCTCAGAGTGTCAGTGCCATTCTAGCCCACAGCAAAGAAGGTCCCAAAACCCTGTAGCCTGACTCCCTGGTTCAGTGAGGTCTGTAAGCACAGCACAGAGCTGTCAGGAAGAAGGCTTCCCAGGCTCAGGCAGGCACCGAGGGACAAGCTGTGCTCTGCCTTTTTGAATGATAGATAAGCCTTATGGAAACTATTCTATAATTAGAACAGAAATGAAAAATCCCCAGAAATGTTATCAATTACAGTAAGAAAGACTACAGGAGACTGTTCAGAAATGGCAACTGGCAGGGACAGAATGAGAATGTACAATCCCTGAAATAACACAAACAGTGCTTTCCCAGTAGGTCAAAATTCACACTCAAGACCTTAGCAGCCTAACTGAGCTCCAGGAGATGAACTGTTTGCATGACGGATGCTTTTATGATGTGGAGTCACCTAAATGAAGGCATTTCCACATTAATTAAGAATCAGATGCTGGCCGGGCACAGTGGCTCATGCCTGTAATCCCAGCATTTTGGGAGACCAAGGTGGGTGGATAACCTGAGGTCAGGAGTTTGAAACCAACCTGGCCAACATGGTGAAACCCCATCTCTACTAAAAATACAAAAATTAGCTGGGCGTGGTTGTGGGTGCCTGTGATCCCAGCTACTCGGGAGGCTGAGGCAGGAGATGGCTTGAACCAGGGAGGCGGAGTTTGTTGTGAGCCAAGATCACGCCGCTGCACTCCAGCCTGCATGACAGAGAGAGAGACTCCTTCTCAAAAAATAATAATAAAAAAAAGAATCAGATGCACATTTTTCCAAATAAAAATGTGATGTAAGATGAAGTAAAAATGGTTACTCTCTGAGCTACAAAGTAAATATTCAAAATGTCTACCATGGTTTTCTTTCTTAAAAAGAGATTATTTTCATCAAATTTAGATAACTTTTCAAGCTCCAAATATACTTACAAAACCACTTCATGCAACATAAGAATGTTTGGGTGCGGATTCAGGCGCCTCAGTGCTTGGATCTCTCGTAGGTTGTTGACTTGCTCAATACTATCGTGTAGGTAAAAATGGATAGCTCATTCACAGTTTAGGTCAACTTCAAAATTAGAGTTACTTATTATCCAGGATCACAATTTTAAAACTCACAAATATTTCAAGCAAGTTAATCAGGTTTTATTTCTCCCATTAGAAACTGAAGTTAAGCATACCTCATTGCTGCATTAAAAAATCAAGGTTCTTATAGCTAGAACATACGTTAAAATTTTTCCCATCTAAGATCCTGAAAGAATACTTGGTAGTTTATTTTACATATTAACAAACATAAAAGTAGACATTAAAACTTATGATTAATTAATAAGATTAATAATTAAGATTTAGTCTTCAGTTTATAGATACACTATCTGAAAATGAGCATTTCAAAGTTCCAAGAAAAGACCCACCCCTCCTTTTTTTTTTTGTTTTTGAGACAAAGCCTCACTGTCATCCAGGCTGGAGTGCAATGGTGCAATCATGTCTCACTGAAGCCTCAACCTTCCAGGCTCAGGTGATCCTCCCACCTTAGCCTCCTGAGTAGCTGGGACCACAGGTGCATCCCACTATGCCCTCTCAAACTCCCAGGCTCAAATGATCGGCCCGCCTCAGCCACCCAAAGTACTGTGATTACAAGCGTGAGCCACTGTGCCCGGCCTCTTTCTTATCTTTAATGATGCTATACTCTTTTTGATTTTTTGTTTTTTTGAAACGGAGTTTCTCTCTTGTTGCCCAGGCTGGAGTGCAATGGTGTGATCTTGGCTCACTGCAACCTCTGCCTCCCGGGTTCAAGCGATTCTCCTGCCTCAGCCTCCCAAGTAGGTGGGATTATAGGCACCCGCCACCATGCCTGGCTAATTTTTTTATTTTTAGTAGAGATGGAGTTCACCATGTTGGCCAGGCTGGTCTCAAACTCCTGACCTCAGGTGATCCACCCACCTTGGCCTCCCAAAGTGCGGGCATTACAGGTGTGAGCTACCACGCCCGGCCCTCTTTTCCATTTCATTCACTTGGTGACAAGCATTCTCTTGGCAGGTGTGCCTTATTGCAGGCTCTTCTTTATGAAGACTGCTCTGCCAATACAAATCATGCCAAAACAGTGCAATCAGGCCCAAGGCCTGAGGCTAGCTATCACTGCCCTCTAGACAGACCTCTTTTGAGAATGCCACTTCACCACGGTAGGCCCATGGGGTCACACCTAATTGAATAATTCAATTCACCAGAAATTTTCATCTCAGGGGCTCCAAAAGGAACTAATTGTGGGACTATTTTTTCAACTGGCAAATTCTGTTCTATAAACTTTTAACATATATTGGAAAGTTCAACATTTGTTTGGTTATTTGAAGAGTACCCAGTAGTAGTATAGGTATAGTTTAAAATCAATATGGCTGAGGCCAGGCGTGGTCGCTCATGCCTGTAATCCCAGCACTTTGGGAGGCCAAGGCAGGTGGATCACCTGAGGTCAGGAGTTCCAGACCAGCCTGGCCAACATGGTGAAACCCCGTCTCTACTAAAAATACAAAAATCAGCCGGGCGCAGTGGCACGTGCCTGTAATCCCAGCCACTTGGGAGGCAGAGGCAGGAGAATCGCTTGAACCCAGGAGGTGGAGGCTGCAGTAAGCCAAGATTGTGCCATTGCACTCCAGCCTGGGCAACAGAGTGAGACTCCATCTCAAAAAATAAATAAATAAATATGTCTGAATATTTTAAGTCACTCTCATGTTAGCCAACAAATAGAAGCCTGATATTTAAGAAGAGCCTGAAAACAGAATAGCCTGAAGAGCCTAAGAATATTTTTGGACTAAAAGTTCTAGCCCCCATTTTCATTTGTATCCTGTATTTCCTCCCTCACATCCAAGTTGGTATTGAAAGTGTTAGCAACTCGCACCCCAGGTCCACAACCAATCAGAAAAGACACAGCCCACCATGCTGGAGCTGGGTCCTCAAAGTGGCCAGAACTAGGGAGTGCTGAACAAGGGGGCTAGGCGAGACTCAGAAGGGTCAGGACAGCAGCTATTTACCAATGAATACAAATCATTCAATATTCTACAATGCACAGAACAGAAAAAAAAAAAAAATTCCAGGCCAAAATGCCAACAGTGTTGAGATAGAGAAATCCTGCTTCAGGTGGAAAGAGCAAGAAGCTAACAAGCTAGCAGTAGTTCCAATTTTTGAACACCCGATCTGAAAAACTTAGTTTTTAGAACCGGGCAGCCAAACAGCTATGCTATTTACACAAATATCCATTCTTCTCCTCTGTAATAGGAAAACCAGTTATCACACCCCAAAACATATTTTGCTTATTGTAGATAGGATTCTTTCATGTCTCCACAGGCATTCACTGAGAAATAATGAGCTAAGACAAATATTTAGAAAGGCACATTTTCCTGGATATTGCTAGATATCAGGATCTAGCAACTGTTCAAATAACAGTGCTTAATAAAATTCAAATCAACTCTGTCCCCTCTTTTAAAATCATGAAAAAAAAAAAATCTAAAAAAACCTGGAAGTAAACTACTTTTCTTTGCCTTGGAGTTGCGTTGAATTTTGTTGTCAGGTGACATTCAGTTTGTTTTTGTTTATTGTTCTGTTGGAAACAAAATACCACAGAACTGAATGTAAGAGGAATGTAGGCAGCCTTTGCTCCGAAAAGAACCAGATGACATTTACCATAAGTGGAATCTACAAATGGAACAAATTATGATCACCAGGACTCAGACTTTTAAAAAAAATGTAAAGATCGGCTGGGCACGGTGGCTCATGCCTGTAATCCCAGCACTTTGGGAGGCCGAGGCGGGTGGATCATGAGGTCAGGAGATCGAGACCATCCTGGCTAACACAGTGAAACCCCGTCTCTACTAAAAAATACAAAAAATTAGCCGGGATGGTGGCGGGTGCCTGTAGTCCCAGCTACTCTGGAGGCTGAGGCAGGAGAATGGCGTAAACCTGGGAGGTGGAGCTTGCAGTAAGCCGAAATCACGCCACTGCACTCCAGCCTGGGCGACAGTGTGAGACTCCGTCTCAAAAAAAAAAAAAAATTATTTAAAGATCAACTATGAAATTTCAACATTTCATTTTATTGGATGAATTTTATGGAAAATAAGTTTATCTAACCAATACAATCTATATGAAGAAAGTCCTCAAAGTAAAGGGGAGGAAGAAATGGTTATATTAATATTAGACAAAATAGACTGCAAAATAAGGATTACTACTACTTATGATTTCATGATGATAAAAAAAGAGTCAATACATTAGGAAGCAATGACAATTGTAAATGTGTATGTGTCAAATAAGAGAATTTTTTTTTTTTTTTGAGACAAAATCTTGCTCTGTCATTCAGGCTGGAGTGCAGTGGCACGATCTAGGCTCACTGCAACCTCCACCTCCCAGGTGCAAGCTATTGTCCTGCCTCAGCCTCCTGAGTAGCTGGGATTACAGGTGCCCACCACTATCCCAGGCTATTTTTGTATTTTTAGTAGAGATGAGGTTTCATCACAGTGGCCAGGCTGGTCTCGACCCCCAACCTGAGGTGATCCACCCGCCTTGGCCTCCCAAAGTGATGAGCCACCACAACCAGCTTTTTTTTTTTTTTTTTTTGTGAGACGGAGTCTTGCTCTGTTGACCAGGCTAGAGTGCAGTGGAGTGATCTTGGCTCACTGCAATCTCCATCTCCTGGGTTCAAGTGATTCTCCTGCCTCAGCCTCCCAAGTAGCTGGGATTATAGGCACCTGCCACCATGCCTGGCTGATTCTTATATTTTCAGTAGAGACAAGGTTTCACCATGTTGGCCAGGCTGGTTTCAAACTCCTGATCTCAAGTGATCCACCTGCCTCAGCCTCCCAAAGTACTGGGATTACAGGCGTGAGCCACTGTGCCTGGCCTAAATGAGAAAATTTTAATATACATAAAGGAAAAGTTGACAATACTAAAGAAAGAGATGAAGATTTTAACACCTTACTCCCATAATTGATTGAACAATCTTTCAAAAAAATCAGTAAAGATACAGAAGATCTTAACAGCATTATTAACTACCTGTCCTAATTGACATTTACAGAACAGTATATTCAACAACTGTATATAAAATATTCTTTTCAAGTATATATGAAACATTCATCCATATAGATAATGTGCTGGACCATAAGGTAAGTCTCAATACATTTCAAGACTGAAAACTTTACACAACATGTTCTCAGACCACAATGGATTAAATTAGAAATCAGTACAGTAAGTTATCTAGAAAAGTCTCAAATATTTGGAAATTAAACAGTAAAGAAGAAATCACAAGGGAAATTAGAAAACATTTCAAACCAAATAAAGCACAACATATAGAAATTTATGAGATGCAGCTAAAACAGGATTTAGAAAGATACTTATGTGTAAATACTAAAGGAAGAAAGGGTT
Source organism: Homo sapiens (assembly GCF_000001405.40). Classification (NCBI taxonomy): domain Eukaryota; kingdom Metazoa; phylum Chordata; class Mammalia; order Primates; family Hominidae; genus Homo; species Homo sapiens. The sequence continues at coordinate 102,270,293 of NC_000014.9, forward strand.
AAAATCAATTATCTAAATGTCCCCCTTGGCCGGGTACAGGGGCTCACGCCTGTAATCCCAGCACTTTGGGAGGCCAAGGTGGGTGGATCACGAGGTCAGGAGTTCGAGACCAGCCTGGCCAACACAGTGAAACTCTGTCTCCACTAAAAATACAAAAATTAGCCAAGCGTGGTGGCAGGGTGCCTGTAATTCCAGCTCCTCAGGAGGCTAAGGCAGGAGAATCAGTTGGACCTGGGAGGCAGAGGTTGCAGTGAGGCGAGATTGTGCCATTGCACTCCAGCCTGGGCAAGAGCAAGACTCCATCTCAAAAAAAAAAAATTAAATAATAATAATGAGAGTATTACAAATAACTGTATGCCAATAAATATGACAATTTAGGGTAAACAAATTCCTCAAAAAACACAGTTACCAAATCTGACACAAAATAAAACTGGAAATTGAAACAGCCCTATTTAATAAAATAGCCCTATTTTATTCTTATTAGTTGTTATCAAAAACCTCCCAACAGATGATGAAAGTGTTCTAAAACGGAATTGTGGTGACAGTTGCACAGCCGTATAAATGTCCTGAAACTCACTTACAATAGCTGAATTTTATGAAAGGAAAATTATACTTCAGGCTGGGCACAGTGGCTCACGCCTATAATCCCAACACTTTGGGAGGCCGAGACGGGTGGATAACCTGAGGTCAGGAGTTTGAGACCAGCCTGGCCAACATGATGAAACCCCATCTCTACTAAAAATACAAAAATTAATGGTGGCAGGTGCCTGCAATCCCCACTACTCAGGAGGCTGAGGCAGGAGAATTGCTTGAACTCAGGAGGCAGAGGTTGCAGCTAGCCAAGACTGCACCACTGCATTCCAGCCTGGATGACAGAGCGAGACTCCATCTCAAAAGAAACAAAAGGAAATCATCCTTCAATAAAGCTTTTAAAAAATCATATGGAAATCCTTCCAAATTATTTGGCATAGTTCTGGTTTTTTTCTTTAATATTCCTTGATACAGATGTGCCTTGAGGTCATTCCTTGTTCCACCACTTCGTCGTGATCCCATCTTTTTATCACTACGAATGATGTTATAATAAACATCATTGTGGGAGGGACCTTCCCCACAAGGAAAACTCCTAGACCAGACAATTTCACTGGTGAATTATTTCAAACATTTAAAAAAGAAATACTCTTACACAAACTTTTTCAGCAAAAAATGGAGGAATGAACACTTCCCAACTTGTTCTGTTAGACCTGAAAACCTTTATACCAAAACCTAACAAAAACTTTTTTTTTTAAGACAGATTCTCGCTCTGTTGCCCAGGCTGGAGTGCACGAGCGCAACCTCGGCTCACTGCAAACTCTGCCTCCAGGGTTCAAGCCATACTTGTGCCTCAGCCTCCTGAGTAACTGGGATTACAGGCATGCACTACCACGCCCACCTAATTTTTGTAGTTTTGGTAGAAACAGAGTTTTGCCATGTTGGCCAGGCTAATCTCAAACTCCTGGCCTCAAGTGATCCACCCACCTCAGCCTCTCAAAGTGCTGGGAATACAGGTGTGAGCCACTGCACCCAGCCGCAAAACCTAATAAAGACTTTTTTCTTTTTCTTTTTTTGAGACAGGGTCTCACTCTGTGGCCCAGGCTGGAGTGCAGTAGTGTAATCACTGCTTACTGCAGCCTTGACCTCCTGATCTTAAGCCATCCTCCTACCTCAGCCTCCCAAGTGGCTGGGACCACAGGTGCCTGCCACCATGCCCAGCTGTTTTTTATTTGTAGAAACAAGGTCTCATCTTGTCCAGGCTGGCCTCAAACTCCTGGGCTTAAGCCATCCTCCCACCTCAGCCTCCCAATGTGCTGGGATTAAAGGTATGAGACGCCACGCCTAACTCCCTAACAAAGACTTTTATATAATAAGAAAAGTATAGGCCAAGCATGGTAGCTCACGCCTGTAATCCTAGTGCTTTGGGAGGCCAAGTCTGGCGAATTGCCTGAGGTCAGGAGTTCAAGACAGCCTGGCCAACATGGCAAAACCCCATCTCTACTAAAAATACAAAAATTAGCCAGGCATGGTGGCACGCGCCTGTAATCCCAGCTACTTGGGAGCCTGAAGCAGAATTGCTTGAGGCGGAGGTTGCAGTGAGCCGAGATCACGCCACCACACTCCAGCCTGTGCAACACAGCAAGACTCCATCACGAAAAAAAAAAAAGTATCCCTTATGAGTACAAATACAAAAATACTTGACAAAATACTATCAAATCCAGGAACATGTAAAACTGATCATATGTTATGACTAAGTGGGGAATCCCAGCTATACTGGGAATGCAAGGTTGAGTTATTATTCAAAAATGAATGAATGTTATCCACCACAATACAAGAAAAAGGAAAAAATAATAATACCAAAAAGTCATTTGACAGAATTCGATACCAATTCAGGACAAAAATTCTCAGCAAGCTATTCATGAAAGGGAACTCTGTCAATTTGATAAAAGACATATACAGCAAACATCATGCTTCTAATGTTGAAATGCTGAACACTTCCCCGCTACTTGCATTCAATATTGTACTGGAAATCTGAACTAATGGGAAAGGCTAGAAAAAAAGTCATGGGCCGGGCACAGTGGCTCACGCCTGTAATCCCAGCACTCTGGGAGGCCAAGGTGGGCAGATCACAAAGTCAGGAGTTCGAGACCAGCCTGGCCAATACGGTTAAACCCTGTCTCTACTTAAAATACAAAAATTCGCCAGGCGTGGTGGCGGGTGCCTGTAGTCCCAGCTACTTGGGAGGCTGAGGCAGGAGAATCACTTGAACCCGGGAGGTGGAGGTTGCAGTGAGCTGAGATCGCGCCACTGCACTCCAGCATGGGCAACAGAGCAAAACTCCGTCTCAAAAAAAAAAGTCATCAACATTGGGAAAGAAGAGTAAAACTGTCTCTATTTGCAGGTGACATATTTCTTTAAGTAAAAAATCCTAAGAAAGCAACCAAAACATACTAGAACAAAAAAAAAAAAAAAATAAGTGAATCCTGAGAAATTTCTCAAAATACAAAGTAAACAAAAATTAATTGCATTTCTACATACTTATGGCTAACAATGGGAAATAAATGTTTAAAATATCCTTTTATAATAATGTTATAAAACATAAAACACTTAGATATAAATTTAACAAAAGACACGTAAGACCTTTTCAGTGAAACTACAAAACAGCTGAAACCGTCCAGGCAAGGTGGCTCACACCTGTAATCTGAGCACTTTGCGAGGCCAAGGTGGGCGGATCACCTGAAGTCAGGAGTTCGAGACCAGCCTGGCCAACATGACAAAACCCTGTCTTCTACTAAACATACAAAAATTAGCTGGGCATGGTGACACGTGCCTGTAATCCCAGCTACTTGGCAGGCTGAGGCAGGAGAATCTCTAGAACCTGTGAACCCGGAAGGCAGAGGTTGCAGTGAGCTGAGATCATGCCATTGCACTCCAGCCTGGGCAACAAGAGCAAAACTCCGTCTCAAAAACAAAAACAAAACATAGCTGAAACTAAAGCAAACTGAAATAAATGGAGAGACGGTTATACCATGTTTATGAATTGCAAAGTTCAATATTGCTAAGATATGCATTCTCTCCCAAATTGAACGATAGACTCAATACAATCCTATTCATAATCTCAATAGTTTTTTTTTGTTTTGTTTTTCTTTTTTGAGACAGAGTCTCACTCTGTCGCCCAGGCTGGAGTGCAGTGGCCCAATCTCCACTCACTGCAAGCTCCACCTCCTGGGTTCACTCCATTCTCCTGCCTCAGCCTCCTGAGTAGCTGGGACTATAGGCGCCTGCCACCACACCCGGCTAATTTTCTGTATTTTTAGTAGAGATGGGGTTTCACGGTTTTAGCCAGGATGGTCTTGACCTCCTGACCTCATGATCTGCCCGCCTCGGCCTCCCAAAGTGCTGGGATTACAGGTGTGAGCCACCGTACCTGCATTTTTTTTTTTTTTTTTGAGACAGGTTCTCACTCTGTCACCCAGGTTGGAGTGCAGCTGCATGATCTTGGCTCACTGAAGCCTCCACCTCCCAGGCTCAAGCAATCCTCCCACCTCAGCCTCCCAAGCAGCTGCGACTACAGGTGTGTGACACTACACTTGGCTAATTTTTGTTATTTTCAATCGAGATGGGGTTTCACCATGTTGTTCAGGCTGGTCTTGAACTCCTGGGCTCAAGTGATCAGCCCACTTTCAGCCTCCTAAAGTGCTGGGATTACAGGCGTGAGAAACTGTGCCCGGCTGGTTTTATTTTTTAATAGAATTGATGAGCTATATTCCTAGAATCCTCACAGAAAAAAAAAATTGAGCTGATTCTAAAATGTATGTGGATGTACAGAGGACCTACAGTAGGCAAAACTGTCTTTAAAAAGATGAAGAGGCCGGGCACGGTAACTCACGCCTGTAATCCCAGCACTTTGGGAGGACGAGGCAGGCGGATCACCTGAGGTCAAGAGTTTGAAACCAGCCTGGCCAACATGGTGAAACCCTGTCTCAACTAAAGATACAAAAATTAGCCAGGCATGGTGGTGGGTGCCTGTAATCCCAGCTACTCAGGAGGCTGAGGCAGGAGAATTGCTTGAAACCAGGAGGCAGAGGTTGCAGTGAGCCGAGATGACACCACTGCACTCCAGCCTGCATGACAGAAAGAGACTCTGTCTCAAAAAAAAAAAAAAAGAAGAAGAAAGACTTTTAGTATCTGACTTCAAAACTTACTGTTGAGCTACATTAATCAAAACAGTATGGTATTGGCATAATGACAGTCAAAGAGAGCAATGAAACAGAATAGAGAGTCCAAAACAGACCTATACTTTTACAGTCAATTAGCTTTTGACAAAATAATCCACTGAAGGCAAGGAAAGTCTTTTTTTAACAAATGATGCTGGAACAACTGGATATTCATTTGGGGGAAAAAACTGATGCTTGATCCCTACCGCTCACCATTCACAAAAATTAATTTAAGATGGATTGGCCGGGCACGGCGGCTCACGCCTGTAATCCCAGCACTTTGGGAGGCCGAGGTGGGTGGACTGTGAGGTCAGGAGATCGAGACCATCCTGGCTAACACGGTGAAACCCCGTCTCTATTAAAAATACAAAAAATTAGCCGGGCGTGGTGGTGGGCGCCTGCGGTCCCAGCTACTCGGGAGGCTGAGGCAGGAGAATGGAGTGAACCTGGGAGGCGGAGCTTGCAGTGAGCAGAGATAGCGCCACTGCAGTCCAGCCTGGGTGACAGAGCGAGACTCCATCTCAAAAAAAAAAAAAAAAAAAGATGGATCACAGACCTAAATGTAAAAAGTTAAAATGATAAGGTTTTTAGGAGAAAATACAGGAGAATACATTCACAACCTAGAAGTAGACAAAAATTTCTTCTAAGACAGAAAACAAAAAACAATAACCACAAAAGAACTCCATAAATTGGACTTCACTGACATTAAAAAACTTCAGCACATGGAAAGATGCCATAAAGAAAATGGATAGGCAAACCACAGACTTGGAGAAACTACCTGCAAAACACATTTAATAAAAGACTTCTATACAGAATATATAAAGAACTCCTAAATTCAATAAAAAGGCAAACAGCCTAATTTTTAAAATTATTTTTTCTTTTTTTCTCCCTTAGGATGGCTTGTTTCTTAAGGTCTAAATTTTTAAAGGGACAAAAACTTGGACAGGCAATTCATAAATGAAGATACATGAATGGCCAATAAGTACATGATCAAGTGTTTATCATTAGTCATCGGGGAAGTAGAAACTAAAACTACCATGAGATAATTCCACACAATCATCAGAATGGCTTAAACTTAAAAGAATAACAACATCAAATGCCGGTGGGAATATGGAGCAACTGGAACTTTCATTCTTTGCCGGTGGTAATATAAAAAGCTACAGGCCGGGCGTGGTGGCTCACGCCTGTAATCCCAACACTTTGGGAGGCTGAAGTGGGCGGATCACAAGGTCAGGAGATGGAGACCATCCTGGCTAACATGGTGAAACCCCATCTCTACTAAAAAATACAAAAAAAAAATTAGCCGGGCGTGGTGGCGGGCGCCTGTAGTCCCAGCTACTCAAGAGGCTGAGGCAAGAGAATGGCGTGAACCCAGGAGTCAGAGCTTGCATTGAGCCGAGATAGCCAGCCTGGGTGATAGAGCGACACTCTGTCTCAAATAAATAAATTAATTAATTAAATTAAATAAAAAAATAAAAAGTTACAATCACTTTGAGAAAAGGCTTGTCAGTTTCTTATAAAGTTAAACATATACCTACCCTTTGACCCAGTGATTCTGTTTCTAGGTAACTGCCTAAGAAAAAATGAAAACATACAAAAAATTAGCCGGGTGTGATGGTGCATGCCTGTAATCCCAGCTACTCTGGAGGCTGAGGCAGGAGAATCACTTGAACCCAGGAGGCGGAGGTTGTGGTGAGCTGAGATCATGCCAGTGCCCTCCAGCCTGGGCAACAAGAGCGAAACTCCGTCTCAAAAAAAAAAAAAAAGAAAAAGAAAAAATGAAATATGCACCAGTAGAATTTCTGTATTTCTTTTGTTGTTTTTCTGAGACAGGGTCTTGCTCTGTCACCTAGGCTGGAGTGCAGTGGTGTGATCATGGCTCATTGCAGCCTCAACTTCCTAGGCTCAGCAACGCTCCCATCACAGCCTCTCAAGTAGCTAGGACTACAGGAGTGAGCCACTATGCCCTGGTCTTTTTTTTTTTTTTTTTTTGTAGAGGAAAAAAAAAGATACTAAAAGTCTTTCTTCATACGACATACAGACCAGGCTATATGTCATCCAGCCTGGTCTCAAATTCCTGGGCTCAAGCAATCCTCACGCCTCAGCCTCCCAAAGTGCTGGGATTACAGAAGCAAGCCACCACACCCAGCCTAAGAAGTCGAATTTCATAAGCAGCTTTATTCATGGTAGCCCAAAACTGGAAACTATCAAAAAGTCCATTAACAGGAAAATGGATAAAGAAATTGTGTTGTACTCACAGATTGTAATGAATGTTGCTCAGCATTAAAGAGGCATAAACTGGCCAGGTGCAGTTGCTCACACCTATAATCCCAGCACTTTGGGAGGCTGAAGCGGGTGGATCACCTGAGGTCAGGAGTTCAAGACGAGCCTGTCCAGTGAAACCCCGTCACTACTAAAAATATAACAATTAGCTGGGTGTGGTGGCACAGGCCTGTAGTCCCAGCTACTTGGGAGGCTGAGGCAGGAGAACTGCTTGAACCTGGGAGGCAGAGGTTGCAGTGAGCTGAGATTGTGCCACTGCACTCCAGGCTGGGCAACAGAGCAAGACTCCGTCTCAAAAAAAAAAAAAAAGAGATAAACTACTGAACAACAGTAATGATGAATCTCAAAGACATGATGCTGAGTTAAAGGAGGTGGACACAAGAGCACATACTAGTGATTGCCTGGGATGGCAGTGGGAAACTGAAAAGGAACAAGAAGAACTTTCTAGGGTTATAGTAATGTTCTACATCTTGATTACACGAGAATATCCATTTGCCAAAATTGTACAGATAAACAATGTGCACTTCAAGATATACAAATTTTGACTTTAAAAAACTGTATAACGTTATAGATTGCATGTTTGTGTCCTCTAAAATTCATACGTTGAAACCCTAAACCCCCAATGGGATGATATGAGGAGGTGGGGCTTTTGAGAGGTAATTAGAGCACATGGCATTAGTGGCTCTAAGAAGAAATGCCAGAAAGACTCTAGAGAACATGCGACCTCTCTCTCTCTCTCTGCTATCTGTCATTTGAGGACAAAGCAAGAAGAGGGCCACCTGCAAATCCTAAAGCAAGCCCTCGCCAGATACCAGACCTGTCTGCCAGCATCTTAATCTTGTACTTATCACCCTCCAGAACTGTAAGAAATAAATGTCTGCTGTTTAAGCCAGACAGAATACAGTATAATTTGTTATAGCAGCCCAAGTAGAGGAAGGACACTGGGTGGAGGTATAGATTAAATAAAAATAGCAGGGATGTTGATTCTGGCTGCTGGATACCTAGGGCTGCTGTTCATTTTGTATATGCTTGAGGTTTTTCATATTATACTTTTAAGTAAAAAAAAAAAAAAAGGCTTTTAGAGAGACTAATAAATTCCTTGCCTTTGTTTCTATTTATAACCTTACACAGCAGACTTTTTGTTTTTGTAAAAGTAATTTGAGGACTGCTTAGAGGTGTGACTTGAGAAAAACCATGTACCACATGTAGACCTGACGTTGGCATCAGCATCTGCAGCTGGGAAGAACGGTGGGAAGATCACCAGCTCAGGACCTATACAGACCTGGGCTCAGAGTCAGCTCCACGACGTGTAGGTTGGGTAGCAACGGGCCAGGTGGGGAACTTGATCTCTCCGAATTTCAATTCCCTAGTCTGAAAGATGTAACAATGGATCTTCCTCCCAGGGCCGCAGTGAGGATTCAATGACACATGCATATAATTCACCTAGTACTGTTCATGACACCAGATATGTAGTGAACAACTGCGGTAATCTTACTATTATTATCTCACGTCCATCTCCAAAATAGTCTTCAAGCTCTGCTAACTTGTATTATCTGTTATGGAAAAACTGATTTACATAGCAAGTTGCTTTATTACGGTGTGCCAGCACTGCACTAAGTGCTTCATCTGCATTATTTAATTTGACCCTCACAACAATCTTATGGGGTAGATACTGTGGTTATCCCCATTGTATAAAGAAAGAAACAGAGGCACGGAGAAATTAGGGAATTGTCCAAGATTGCATGAACTAAAATGGAGGAGCTGCTGGTTCCGACCTTTAGAGTCAGAGCTGGTAACCCTACACTGAACCCCGGGTTTAGCAGACTTGTGCCAATGTCACTGCCTCGGGGCACAAAGGGAGATCCTACAAATACCAAGACTAGGGATTTTTTTTAAGAGACTCACTCCATTTCTTCTATTTCTATAGGAAAAATATAGACTAAAAGCATAGCAAGAGAACCGTTGTTGTTGTTGTTGTTGTTGTTGTTTGAGACAGGGTCTTGCTCTGTCACCCAGGCTGGAGTGCAGTGGCACAATCATGGCTCACTGCAACCTCAACCGCAACCTCCAGGACTCAAGCAATCCCCCCACTTCACCCTCCTGAGTAGCTAGGACTACAGGCACCACCACTATGCCCAGCTAACTTTTTTATTTCTTTTTTTGGTAGAGCGGGGGTTTTGCCATGTTGCCCAGGCTGGTCTTTAACTTCCAGGCTCAACTGATCTGCCCACCTTGGCCTCCCAAAGTGCTGGGATTATAGGTGTGAGACCCACTGTGCCCAAAGAGAGCCTATTCTTAATTGTGTACTTTTGGCAAGTATTGGTGGAGGAAAATTCTGAGGATATACCAGAAAAGATACAAAACGACTCAGTTCTGTTGAGGCCTCAGGCAAGTAACTAACTTCCTTATCCCTAACTAAGTCCTTGAGTGACTCAAAAGGCAAACAATGCTCAGGAGTGAAAGTGCCCTCCCTGCCACAGTACTAATCCATTATGTGTATTTTTTTACCTTTCTTTAACTTCATATTAACTAAGATTACTGCAAAAGCCATCCGTTTCTATTTGAATTAAAGCATAGGAAAGGAGCAGAAGTAATACTGGAGGGGGTAGGGGTCAGAGGCTCCAAATACCAACCTCATGCTGCCCAAGTGACTCAGTATGACTTTCTGCTACTAATGCTTCACATTCCTCACACCACCCACACAACTGTGCAAGGTGACTCTGGGGATTCACTTACACAATGATAAGCAAGCAGAAACGGATTTTTGCGTGTGTGCGGTTACCTAACGGACATGGTTTCCTGGTGGTGAGGTACATCCTGGATCTGCTTTCTGCCAAATCCCTCGCATACCAAAAGTGCCTGGTCCAGCGGAATTTCGGCTTCCTTGTCAAAGAAGGCAGAGTGAGACAGGGTCTCACTCTGTCACCCAGGCTGGAGTTCAGTGGCACAAGCACAACTCATTGCAGCATCACCTTCCTGGATTCAAGAGATCCTCCCACTTCAGCCTCCCAAGTAGATGGGACCACAGGCACACACTACCGCGCCCGGCTGATTTTTAAAATTTTTTCATGGAGGCAGAGTTTCTCTTTGTTGCCTGGGCTGGTCTCAAACTCCTGGGCTCAAGCAATTCTCCCACCTAGGCCTTCCAACGTGCTGGGATTACAAGGCATGAGCCACCATGCTGGGCCAACCTGTGGGATGTGTTCTAATCAACTGCTTTTGAAGTTAAAGGCAAAGAACATAAATTGTTTCTGAAATACAACGAATGATTCTGCATACAGTAAGGAAGGCCAGCATCCACTGCACATTTGCCATGTGTCCCACCTTGTTAGCTTTCTGTTCATTCCTTTGCTTAGTCGTCAAGCACTATGACAAGGAAGCCAAGATTCTGGTGGACCAGGCACTTTTGGTGTGTGAGGAATCTGGCAGATGGCAGACCCAGGATGTGCTTCATCACCGGGAAACCATGTCCGTTACGTAACCACACAATCTTCCCAGGGGCTGAGGAGGCATGAGAAAGAACTTCAATAAACTGAGCGTTCTTCACCCGCTAGAGAACTGCTCCTTAGAACATTCTAAACTTATCTGATAGAGGCTGGACCCAGGACTGTAATCCTAGCACTTTGGGAGGCCAAGGCAAGTGGATCGCTTTGAGCTCAGGAGTTCGAGACCAGCCGCAATATGGCGAGACCCTGTCTCTACAAAAATACAAAAATTAGGCTGGGCATGGTGGCTCACACCTGTAATCCCTGCACTTTGGGAGGCCAAGGTGGGCAGATCACTTGAGGTCAGGAGTCTGAGACCAGCCTGGCCAACATGGTGAAACCCCATCTCTACTAAAAATACAAAAATTAGCCGAGTGCTGTGACGCACGCCTGTAGTCCCAGATACTCGGGAGGCTGAGGCAGGAGAATTGCTTGAACCTGGGAGGCAGAGGTTGCAGTGAGCCAAGATCACGCCACTGCTCTCCAGCCTAGGTGACAATGCGAGACTCTGTCTCAAAAAAAAAAAAAAATTACAAAAATTATCTAGGCATTTGGTGGCTTGCACCTGTAGTCCCTGTTACTCATGAGGCTGAGGCTGGATAATCGCTTGAGCCCTGGAAGCAGAGGTTGTAGTGAGCTGAGATCACACCACTGCACTCTAGCCTGGGCAACAGAATGAGACCCTGACTCAAAAAAAAAAAAAAAAAAGAAAAAAAAAAGCATCACACCCTACTGTTCAAAATCCTGTACTGGCAACTTTGGGTCAAAGGTGGCTGTTTAAGGAAGTCTGTTTTTTTGTGTTTTTTTTTTAATTTTTGTAGAGATGGGGTCTTGCTATGTTGCCCAGGCTGATCTTGAACTCCTGTGCTCTAGCAATCCTCCTGCCTCAGCCTCCCAAGTAGCTGGAATTTCAGGTGTGAGCCACAGCACCCAGCTGTCTGCTCTTTAGATACGGGATAATCAGTATACTGTGCATCAAATCCTCTCTCATCAGTGGTTTACAAGTAAAGATGGAGTCGGGGAAAGATAAAGAAACACAGAGAATGCAGAATGCATAGAGAGGAAGAAGTGCTAGAAGAGAAGGAGCAGAACACCTGGTGGCTTCAGTCTTCCTAGTGGTAGGTAAACTACCGTATGCATTGGGCAGTGAAGAACAAGGATTTGCCTTAGCAGAATCTGGGTTCACATCTGGCTCTGCCCACCCAGTAATCTAGAAAAAATGTCAAATTACCTCACATCTCTAAGCACCTATCCTCATATATGAAACAAGGATAACTACCCTATCCAGATGTCATGAGGATGAAATTACTGTTCTTGGCCAGGTGTGGTGGCTCACACCTATAATTCCAGCACTTTGGGAGGCTGAGGCAGAAGGATCACTTGAGCCCGGGAGTTCATGGTCAGCTTGGGCAACACAGTGAAATCCCATCTCCATTTTAAAAGTTAACTAATTAATTAAAAAATGAAGGCTGGGTGTAGTGGCTCAGGCTGAGCGTGATGGCTCAGGTTGGGCATGGTGGCTCATGCCTGTCACTTATGTTATATTAATATAATATTAATATATTAATTTATTCACAGTTAGTTAAATTGCAAGGACCTCTAATACATTTAGACTAAGGTTGCATTTATAGAAGTCCAACACACAGCCAGGCACAGTGGCTCATGCCTGTAATCCCAGCCCTTTGTGAGGCTAAGGCAGGCAGATACCTTGAGGTCAGGAGTTCAAGACCAGCACGGGCAACGTGGTGAAGCCCCGTCTCTATAAAAAATACAAAAATTAGCCAGGCGTGTGGTGTGCTCCTGTGGTCCCAGCTACTCAGGAGACTGAGGTGGGAAGATCACTTAAGCCTGGGAGGTGGAGGCTGCAGTGAGCCAAGATCGAGCCATTGCACTCCAGCCTGGATGACAGAGTGAGACCCTGTCTCAAACAAAACAAAACACAAAAACAAACAAAATCAATGGGCTAGGCACAGTGGCTCACACCTGTAATCCCAGCACTTTGGAAGGCCAAGGCGGGCGGATCACTTGAGGCCAAGGAGTTCAAGACCAGCCTGGCCAACGTGGTGAAACCTGATCTATACTTAAAAAAAATAATAATTAGCCGGGCTTGGTGGCACATGCCTGCAGTTGCAGCTACTAGGAGGCTAAGTCACGAGAATCGCTTGAACTGGGGTGGCGGAGGTTGCAATGAGTCAAGATTGTGCCACTGCACTCCAGCCTGGGAGACAGAGTGAGACTCTGTCTCCAAAAAAAAAAAAAAAAAAATCAATGGATCATAAAATCAAATGGATCATAAAGGGTTCACTTCCGAGCTCTCTATCCTGTTCCATTGGTTGATATATCATTTTTTTGCTGTTTTTTTTAATTAAAAAAAAAAGAAATCCAACACATTTATAACTTTTAGGAACATACAGACTGTTTAAGGTGAGACACACTTTTGAAACTTAAACTTTTTTGTGGTCATTCATCACTGATATTACAGTAAGCCTGGATATGAGTAAACTCCAGTATGATAAACATAACATTAGCATATAACCCTCACTGCCCAAAGAAATCTGATTGTATCTTACATATTATTAAATTAATAAAGCTCCCCCCTAATATTAAGTTGCCGTTATTGACTGAAACTTGGATCTGTGTTTGGTCCCAAGTGCATCTCTGTAGCCTACCTTTCAAAGCGCTGCTTCATTTGTTTACATGCATAGTAGTTTCCATCTCTCAGGCTTTGCATCTTCATAACTTCAGAAAACGTTCCCTCTCCTATTTTGCCAATTGCTTTATAGTCTATAAATAAAAATGATTACAAAAATAAAATGTTATTTATGCATACACTTGTATTCACTTCCAGACAGCAAACTTTTAATCTATAAGATAATTTAAACAGCAATATACTGAGAATTGTTTCTCCTATCTTTGTAAGATTTAGTGGTCCCCTCAACTTTAGGGGAAGCTGGAACAAAGCATCATTTCCTTCCAGTCTGTGCCCTCCCTTGTATAGCAGGAACCACCTTACCTGGATCCTGGCCAGTGAGGAGAGGCTCAGCTACCCTACAAGATTCAGAAGATAGAGGAGCAGCAGACGTGGGATTCTTCCAGCAGGGGTGGGCATGGGCATGAGCTTAGGCTCTGGGCTGATGTCATATTGCAGCAGCAGCCTCTAAGGACCCTCCTGAAATTGACCTTCCCTGGTCCTATAGAGGGCCCAGCTGATCCGCAACAGTTTCCTACAATTCTTGCACTTCCTAATTTTCTGAAAGCTAACAGCAACTTTCCCTGGGTGTGCTGCCACCACATCACCCCAGCCCTGATAATGGTTTTGGAAGCCTCTAGATCACTATGTTAAATGCCTTCCTGCTTGATACCTAGGGTAGTTTCCATTTTCCTGACCAAACCCTGACTGACAACAAATGAGCACCTTGATGTGGGGTGCTGCTGTGAACAAAAGTCTAAAATATGTTAGTTTGGCTTATTGGTCAGGTGGCAAAATGCTAGAGAGCCTGGCATATCATGATGAAATATCGCCCACTTAAAGGAATGCCTGCACTCACTGCTGCCTTTCATGGACCCAGTGTCCGCTGAGCCTGCTGGCCTAAGGAAAGTGGTGGGAAGAGTCAGAATGATGGAGTACGCTAATTACTACTGACTGCCTTAACAAGCTATTTCAAGACAAAGATAAGTACAGGCAAGAATGGCTATACCACTTTTCAAGCAGAAATGGAAGGAATAAGTAAAATCTAGAGAGCAAAAGTCTCACCAGTTGTAAAAGTTTCTACAGCCCAAATAATAGGAGAGTAAGACTGCAACAACATTGGCAGAGAACGGTCTGTGAGCCTTCTCCATTGAACAAATGGCTCATCTTTGCGGCAGAGATCACAGGAAGGCTGTTACAATCTCTGGGCATTTGTTTCAGAAAGCTTCAAGGAAGCTCCTACAAATTGAGACCCAGAGGCATATGAGCGAGGCCACAAAGAAATAAGGCAGGCTTGGGGCCAGGCGCGGTGGCTCACGCCTGTAATCCCTGCACTTTAGGAGGCCGAGGCAGGCAGATCACCCACCTGAGGTCAGGAGTTCCAGACCAGCCTGGCCAACATGCCAAAACCCTGTCTCTACTAAAAATACAAAAAATTAGCCAGGCGTGGTGGCATGCACCTGTAGTCCCGGCCACTTGGGAGGGTGGGGCAGGAGAATCCCTCGAACCCAGGAGGTGGAAGTTGCAGTGAGCCAAGATCACACTACTGCACTCCAGCCTGGGCTACAGAGTGAGATGTCATCTCAAAAAAAAAAAAAAAAAAGAAAATGCAGGCTTGAGAACTAGATCTAGAAGAGAACCTTGGGTGTGGAACTGACCAGAAGCAAACAGACCAGAAATCTTTAAACATCACTTAGATTGTGGCAGAAACAAGCCTAGAGTAAAAGAGGCCTTCACTTCAGGCCCCAAACCTGCACCTGCACAAAGCAGATGGGGTCTTGCTATGTTGCCCAGGCTGGCCTCAAACTCCTGGGCTCAAGCCTAAACTTCTACCTCAGCCTCCCAAGTGGCTAGCATGAGCCACTGCACCCAATTCACAGGTTTTCAAAACTGCAGCGCTGAAGGTGGGCATCCTCTTCAGTATTCCTTTCCACATGCACATTTCAAATGCCTTGTCTGAATTCTGATTTGAACAAACCATCGGTAAAAAGGTACTCATTTTTCAGAAGTGATAACGGTTATGTCAAAACACAAAAAATGTCCTTATCTGTTAGCAAGAAATACAGAAGTATTTCCAGGTGAAAATGATACAATAATTGGAATTTACTTTAAAATATCCCTGGCCGGCTCACACCTGTAATCCCAGCACTTTGGGAGACCCAGGTCGGTGGATCACTTGAGGCCAGGAGTTCGAGACCAGTCTGGACAACATGGTGAAACCACGTCTCTACTAAAAATACAAAAATTAGCTGGATGTGATGGTGCGCACCTGTAATCCCAGCTACTTGGGAGGCTGAGGTAGAAGAATTGCTCAAACCCGGAAGGCAGAGGTTGCAGTGAGCCAAGATCGCACCACTGCACTCCAGCTTGGGGGACAAGAGCAAAACTCTGTCTCAAAAAATAAAATAAAATACAATACCCCTGTACATTCCCATTCACTACTGCTGAAATTATAAACTGGCATAGTCTCTTTGGAGGGCAATTTGGCAGCAGCTATTAAATCTTTAAGATGTGCATCCGGGCCGGGCGCGGTGGCTCACGCCTGTAATCCCAGCACTTTGGGAGGCCGAGGCGGGCGGATCACGAGGTCAGAAGATCGAGACCATCCTGGCTAACACGGTGAAACCCCGTCTCTACTAAAAATACAAAAAATTAGCCGGGCGTGGTGGCGGGTGCCTGTAGTCCCAGCTACTCGGGAGGCTGAGGCAGGAGAATGGCGTGAACCCAGGAGGCGGAGCCTGCAGTGAGCCGAGATCGCGCCACTGCACTCCAGCCTGGGCGACAGAGCGAGACTCCGTCTCAAAAAAAAAAAAAAAAAAAAAAAAAAAGATGTGCATCCTCCGGCCGGGCGCAGTGGCTCACGCCTGTAATCCCAGCACTTTGGGAGGCCAAGGTGAGGATCACTTGAGCCCAGGAGTTCAAGGCCAAGTTGGGCAACATAGACCCCGTCTCTACAAAAAATAATTAGCCAGACTCAATGGCACACGCCTGTCATCCCAGCTACTCAGGAGGCTGAAGTGGGAGAACCACTTGAGCCCAGGAGTTTGAGGCTGCAGTGAGTAGGGATCGCACTACTATACGCTAGCCTGGGCGACAGAGGGAGACCCTGTCTAAAAGAAAAAAAAATAACTTGCTCAAGTACATATGACAGGAAGATTAATGATTGCACCATTAATCAATACAGTAAAGCTGATAACCCAAATGGCCCCCATAGGAAACTGGATTAATATGGTTTACCTGTATAACGGAATATACTGTAAATATTTAAAATAATGGGTGGCAGGTGCCTGTAGTCCCAACTATTTGAGAGGCTGACGCAGGAGAATCACTTCAACCAGGGAAGTGGAGGTTGCAGTAAGCTGAGATTGCGCCACTCCACTCCAGCCTGGGCAACAAAGTGAGACTCCGTCTCAAAAATAATAATAATAATAATAATAATAATAATAATAATGTCCTTAAAAACTATACACACACACAGAATTAATACTGGCTCTGTCTGAGGTTACAGGTGTCTCATTTTCTAAGTTAGATATTTTCCACAATGTTGTTTTTTGAAATAAGAGCATGATTTTCACTGTTTTATTTCAAAATAACAAAAACTAAATACTCCTCCCCCAGAAAAGATGGTGGTGGGGAAAATGGTAAAATGCTGATCACTGCTGAAATTCGGTGATGGATTTATGAGGGTTCAGTGGGCGTGGTGGCTCACGCCTGTCATCCCAGCACTTTGGGAAGCCGAAGCAGGCAGATTACCTGAGGTCAGGAGTTCGAGACCAGCCTGGCCAACATGGCGAAACTCCATCTCTACTACAAATACAAAACTTGGCCAGGCACAGTGGCACATGCCTGTAATCCCAGCACTTTGGGAGGCCGAGACGGGCAGATCACGAGGTCAGGAGTTCAAGACCAGGCCAGCCTGACCAAGATGATGAAACCCCATCGTACTAAAAATATAAAAATTAGCTGAGCATGGCAGCGCTATATATCTGATAAGAAACTTATATCTAGAATATATAAATAAGTCTTATAACTCAATACAAAGACAATCCAACTAAAAGGTGATCAAAAGATTTGACAGATATTTCTCCAAAGAAGACATAAAAATGACCAATAAGCTATGAAATGATGCTCAACATCATCAGTCATTAGGGAAAAGCAAGTTAAAACTATGATGAGATACCACTTCACACTCACTAGAATCAAAAACATAGATAATAACAAGTGTTGGTGAGGATGTGGAGAAATTGGGACCCTCATACATTGCTGGCAGGAATGGAAAATGGTGCAGACACTATGAAAAACAGTTTAGCCAGTTCTTTGAGATTTTTTTTTTTTTTTTTTTTTTTGAGACGGAGTCTTGCTCTGTCGCCCAGGCCGGACTGCGGACTGCAGTGGCGCAATCTCGGCTCACTGCAAGCTCTCCGCTTCCCGGGTTCACGCCATTCTCCTGCCTCAGCCTCCCGAGTAGCTGGGATTACAGGCGCCCGCCACCGCGCCCGGCTAATTTTTTGTATTTTTAGTAGAGACGGGGTTTCACCTTGTTAGCCAGGATGGTCTCGATCTCCTGACCTCATGATCCACCCGCCTCGGCCTCCCAAAGTGCTGGGATTACAGGCGTGAGCCACCGCACCCGGCCTGAGATGTTAAACAGAGTTACCATATGACCCAGCAATTCCACTCCTACATATATGCCTAAGAGAAACAAAAACGTATGTCCAAACAAAAACCTGTAAGTGAATGTTCACAGTAGCATTATTCATAATATCTGAAAGGTGGAAAGCATCCAAATGTCCATCAGGAGATGAACGGATAAACAAAATGTGGTCTATCCATACAATGGAATATTACTCAGCCATGAAAAGGAATGAAGTACTGATACATGCTACAGCATGGATGAGCCTTGAGGACATTATGCTAAGTGAAAGAAATCAGGCACAAAATGCCACATATTATGTGATCCCACTTATATGAAATGTCCAGAATAAGCAAATCTATAGAGGCAGGAAATAGATTTGTAATTGCCTAGGGCTGGTGGAATGTGGGATAAAGGAGTAACCACTCCTTATTTCTTTTGGGGTACAGGTTTCTTTTGGGGATGATGAAAATATTTTAACATTAGATTATAGTTATAGTTACACAACTCAGAAAATATACTTAAAATCACTGAGCAGTATACTTTAAATGAGTGAACGTTATAGTATGTATATTTCAATAACTCCATTAAAACAGACAACTCTGTGGTGTTGGAAATCAGAAAGTGGTTACCCTTGTGGGGTGAAGTGACCAGAATGGGCTGAAGGGGACACCCATGATACCAGTAACACTCTGCTTCTTGATCTGGAAGCAGGTTTCATTGGCATGTTCACTTCACCAACTTGTATACTTAAATGTAAGTGCAGCTTTGTTTTGTTTTGTTTTGTTTTGAGACAGGGTCTCACTCCGTTGCCCAGGCTGGAGAGCAGTGGTGCAACCTCGGCTCACTGCAACCTCCACCTCCTAGGCTCAAGCGATCATCCCACCTCAGCCTTCTGAGTAGCTGGGACTACAGGCACCCGCCACCATGCCCAGCTAATTGTTTTGTATTTTTTGTAGAGACAGGATTTCACCATGTTGCCCAGGCTGGTCTCAAACTCCTCAGCACAAGTGATCCGCCCGTCTTGGCCTCCCAAAGTGCTGGGATTACAGGCACGAGCCACTGCGCTTGGCCAATTTGTGCAGTTTTCTGTATTATGTTATACTCCAAAATAAAATCAGAAAAAAAAAACAGAGTTAGGAATAAGCAGAGAGTATAAGGAACAGAAATGATACACAGTAAAAGTATATACAGGGAAAATCACAAAGAAACACAGACTGAGAAATCTCATTAATGGCAGAATATGCACGTCTACAAATCCCTACTGCTAAGGTGCAAAACAATCTGCTTTCAATACTATTCTAGTTCCTAAGAGGGCCAATTCCCTCCTGCTCTCGGGTTTTCCTATTTTTAAGCTCCTGTTTTTTATTTTTATTTTATTTTATTTTATTTTGAGACAGAGTCTCACTGTGTTGCCCAAGTGATCTCGGCTCACTACAACCTCCATCTTCCAAGTTCAAGAGATTCTCGTGCCTCAGCCTCCCAAGTAGCTGGGATTACAGGTGTGTGCCACCATACCAAGCTAATTTTTGTATTTTTAGTAGAGATGGGGTTTCACCATGTTGGCCAGGCTGGTCTCGAACTCCTAACCTCAGGTAATCCACCCGCCTCAGCTTCCCACCCGCCTCACCCTCCCAAAGTGCTGGGATTATAGGCGTGAGCCACTGCACCCAGCCCTCAAGCTCCTTCTTTGTCAACAGTTATAATAATATGTCTCCATACTGTGAGGTGTAAGGAGATTTACTGGTCCTTACAATTGAAACTAAAACAATTCTCTTAATAAGAACTAAAGGATAAAGAACACTTCTTCAACAGTCTTCCTAACAAGGAGACTAGATTCTTTTTCTCCATGGTTAGAACGAGACATCCTCTTCTGGTTTCTCAAAACAGGTCTCCACCCTATTTCCCAGGTGGCTTCCTTGTTCGAAATGAAAACCCTCTGGGAAGGGTTTGAGTATTACTTGGTCCTGGAAACTTACAAGAAGCAGGAGATAAAATGCATTACACTTAGAGAAAAAAAAAAAAAAGACTAGGTATGGTGGCTCACGCCTATAATCCCAGCACTTTGGAAGGCCGAGGTGGGCAGATCATCTGAGGTCGGGAGTTCAAGACCAGCCTGACCAACATGGAAAAACCCCATCTCTACTAAAAATACAAAATTAGCCGGGTGTGGTGGTGCATGCCTCTAATCCCAGCTACTCAGGAAGGCTGAGGCAGGCGAATCGCTTGAACCCAAGAGGAGGAGGTTGCGGTGAGCCGAGATCACGCCACTGCACTCCAGCCTGGGCAACAAGAGCAAAACTCAGTCTCAAAAAAAAAAGAGAGAAACAAACAAACAAAAAAAATAGTAAAAATGAACAAAAAAGGCTTGGGGAATGGAACATTAACCATTCAATTTGTGTATAAGTAAATCGGTATATTAAAAGTCACAGCCTGAGACAGAGCCAAGTGTCACAACTGGTCTGTGTTATGAGCAAAAGAAAGGTGGCCTACTGCACCAGGAAGGGCTGCTCTCCATTACCACTTCCAGGAAAAACAACCTGAGGATGCTGAATCTCCAGACTAGCATTTTCCAAACTGAGTACTACAAAACACGAGGATCCCTGAACCCTAATGGGTATTCCACAAAAGAGGGTTCCATAAGCAAATAAATTTAGGAAATACAGAGTTAAATACGGCAAAATGTGTTTGCAGAATTCCTCAATGCCTTTCCCTGCATATGAGATGAGTCTCCAAATGGAGGTGGGGTATATGAGAGGGGTGTGAGATACAACCAGAGAACACCAGTTAACATCCCCCAGCACCGCTCTAGATCCCCAAACCGAAGATCTTCAAACTATGCTATTAGAATCCCTTTTATCCAAGTTTTCCCTGAATAAAAGAGGAACTAATCTAGCTCCCAGCAAGGCAGGGTTTCAGAACTATTCTGCTAGCTTTATTGTTCTCACTTGCCTTCTGGGAGAAACTGGCTAATGTAAGGCAGGAGTGAGCCCCGCTGAGGCTTCAGGACAGAGCACGGTACCATATCCCTTCTGACAAAAAACCGGAAGCCATAACTTGCTTGACAACTATAGCTTAACTAAGTCCCAGAGCCTCTCTACAACTGGAAACCTAATTAAATTCCATTAAATCCTAAAACCAGGCAATAAAGATTCTTTGGTGCATCTCCAAGAAGCTTCTGCAAAAGAAATGGACCAAAATACAGGCCCTGGCCCTGACCACTAATTTGTACAGTTTAAAACCTCATTAAGTAATTTTGACAAGTTTCTTGAGGAGCCTCCAAACTTGAAACTTTGTGGGAAAATTCAACAGCCTAAACATCTTCTGCCCTCAAGCAGACCCTCATACTGACCTACCAGGCCCTGTTCATACTAGTCAAGGGATAGCTGTTGCTTGCTAAAACACCACCAAAATTTACCCCTTCTCTTAAATGAATTAAACTGGAAAGCCCAGAAATTTCTCTACAAGAAGATCAGTGTCTTCATTGTGCAGAAGAGCTCACACAGCAGGCCTGGGACTTCTCTCCTTAGAAAGGTCTGCTTGCAGCCAAGTGCGGTGGCTCACACCTGTAATCCCAGCACTTTGGGAGGCCAAGGTGGGCAGATCACCTCAGATCGGGAGTTTGAGACCAGCCTGGCCAACATGGTGAAACCCCATCTCTACTAAAAATACAAAAAATTTTCCAGGCATGGTGGCCTGTGCCTGTAATCCCAGCTACTTGGGAGGCTGAGACAGAAGAACTGTCTGAACCTGGGAGGCGGAGGTTGCAGTGAGCCGAGATCACGCCACTGTACTGAAGCCTGGGCAACAGAGCAAAACTCTGTCTCAAAAAAAAAAAAACTAACAATAATAATAATAAAGACTTCTTAGCACCAGCTATATACCACACACTGTGCCATGCACTGTAGACACAAATATCATTAAGACGTAATCCCTAGTCTTGAGAATTTACAGTATGTCCCTATACCCCTAATTTTAGGTCCTTTCCTTATAAAAGAGGGAGGGAGGAAATGGAACATTTTTGTTTAGAAAATATCAATGGTCAAATTATGGAGTACATAGGCCGGGTGCGGTGGCTCATGCCTGTAATCCTAGCACTTTGGGAGGCTGAGGCGGGTGGATCACAAGGTCAGGAGATCGAGACCATCCTGGCTAACACGGTGAAACCCCATCTCTACTAAAAATGTGAAAAATTAGCCGGGCATGGTGGCAGACAGCTGTAGTCCCAGCTACTCAGGAGGCTGAGGCAGGAGAATGGCGTGAACCCAGGAGGTGGAGCTTGCAGTGAGCCGAGATAGCACCACTGCACTCTAGCCTGGGCAACAGAGCAAGACTCCATCTCAAAAAACAAAACAAAACAAAACAAAACAAAAAAACAACTAATTATGGAGTACATAGTGTGTAATACCAAATACATGGTGCTCTGGATTCCAATCTTCCAGGACCGGCCTGGGAAGCTTTCAAGCAGATGTCTTTCTTCCTTCTGTGTGCACCTTGTCCTCCTGTTACAGAACTGCTCATGCTCCACTATGCACCTTCTCCTCATAAAGCCATAAACCTCTTAAATAGAAAGTCCACAATCTGTTCTCTCTTGTGCCATTACACTTAGAGAAACAAAAACCAACAGGAAAAAAAAAAAGCTTGGGGAATTAAATATTATTTTAGTATTAAAACCATTCAATTTGTATATGAGTGAATCTGTACATTAACAGCCACATTGAGGCTGGGTGTGGTAGCTCATGCCTGTAATCCCAGCACTTTGTGAGGCTGAGGTGGGCAGATCACCTGAGGTCAAGGGTTCCAAACCAGCCTGGCCAACATAATGAAACCCCATCTCTACTAAAAATACAAAAATTCGCCAGGAGGGTGGCGCACACCTGCAATCCCAGCTGCTAGCAAGGCTGAGGCATAAGAATCGCTTGAACCTGGGAGGCGGAGGTTGCAGTGAGCGGAGATTGTGCCACTGCACTCCAGCCTGGGTGACAGAGCTAGATTCCATCTCAAAAACAAAAAACAAATGAACAAACAAAAAACTTCATAAACAAAGATGGTATTCACAGTGTCACAAAAGTAAGAATGCCAGAAACTTAAATATCCAGTATCAAGGAAATGTTCTAACAAACTATGAAATAGCCACAGACTGAAATATTATGTAACCATTGATAACGATGCTTTCAAATAATATTTCATGACATGGGAAAATGTTCAGCCATAATTTCATGTTAAGTGAAAAAAAGGATGATAATGATCATACACACAACACATGCACAGAGAAAGACTGAATACAGCTGGGTGCGGTGGCTCACGCCTGTAATCCCAGCACTTTGGGAGGCTGAGGCAGGCGGATCACCTGAGGTCAGGAGTTCGAGACCAGCATGACCAACATGGAGAAACCCTGTCTCTACTAAAAATACAAAATTAGCCAGGTGTGGTGGTGCATGCCTGTAATCCCAGCTACTCGGGAGGCTGAGGCAGGAGAATCACTTGAACCCAGGAGGCGGAGGTTGCGGTGAGCCAAGATCATAGCACCATTGCACTCCAGCCTGGGCAACAAGAGCGAAACTCCATCACAAAAAAAAAAAAAAAAAAAAAAAAAGAAAAGAAAAGAAAAAAAAGAAAAAGACTGAATATAAATATGTAATTTTTTTAATGTATCTGAGTGGGACTGAAGGTGATTTAAATTTTCTTCATTATAATTATCTACATTACTCAATGTTCGCAATGAATACACATTACTTTAAATGTGTGTAAAGGTGAACATTTCAAGAATTTTAAGAAATCAGTGAAAGTGTTGGCTAAGTGCCACGAAAAACATGAACTTAAAATGAACTGTCTTAAAACTACAATATCCTTTTAAAGGAAGACAGTCATAAAGATCACGGGAAGGGGCCAGGTGTGGTGGCTCATGCCTGTAATCCCAGCACTCTGGGAGGCTTAGGCAGGCGGATCACCTGATCCCAGGAGTTTGAGACCAGCCTGGGTAACATGGTGAAATCTTGTCTCTACCAAAAATACAAAAAAATTAGCCAGGTGAGGCCGGGTGCGGTGGCTCATGCCTGTAATCCCAGCACTTTGGGAGGCCAAGGCGGGCGGATCACGAGGTCAGGAGATCAACACCATCCTGGCTAACATGGTGAAACCCCGTCTCTACTAAAAATACAAAAAATTAGCCAGGCGTGGTGGTGGGCACGTGTAGTCCCAGCTACTCGGGAGGCTGAGGCAGGAAAATGGCATGAACCCGGGAGGCGGAGCTGGCAGTGAGCCGAGATAGCGCCACTGCACTCCAGCCAGGGTGATAGAGCGAGACTCCGTCTCAAAAAAAAAAAAAAAAAAAATTAGCCAGGCATCGTGATGCGTGCCTGTAGCCCCGGCCACTTGGGAGGCTGAGATAGGAGAATCCTCTGAGCCCGGGAAGTCAAGGCTGCAGTGAGCCATGATGGTGCCACTGTACTCCAGCCTGAGTGACAGACAGCGAGAGACCTTGTCTCAAAAAGAAAAAAAAAAGAAAATCAAAGGAGGGATTGGAGGTCAATCACTCAAAGTCAAGCTGTGGACTAAGGAATTCAGATTTAAGAGAAGAGGGAATTTACACAATCAATTCCAATTTGTGTTTCATCACAGATAAATTAAGCAGACTTGCTTTAAAAAAAATAGGTCAACTGTGAACTGTAAAGTGGTTTCAGCACACAAATTCAGTGTGTGCCAATGTCCCAGGCTGGCTCGAAACCATCACAACCAGCAATAAATGGAACTTGCCGCACTGGAGGTGTCTGTTGGTAGATAAAGGGGTCACTTGTTTCCCTCATGGCTCTTCTAGTAGGCAGAAAGTATGGGGTATAAAACAAGGATAAGAGGCAGGGATTAAAAAAGAAACCACCTCTATGAAAAAATTCCTGGGAAAAGTTCCTGTTCTCTCCAACAAGATCTGGCGTATTTTCATAGGCCTTCAAAATTAAACAAGAAACACTGAAATGCAGACAAAGCATGATACAAAGCTCTGAAGGGAACAGAGCTATGATACTGTAAATGAACGTCATGCCCCACATTATTGGGAATAGAGTAAACAAGCACCAAAACAAAAAGAAAAACAGACTCAAGGACAAAGGGGTTAAAATAACAGAGCTGGATGAAAAAGGGAGAACAAGGGAGATAAATGAATACCTCTGTATTAAGATTCTATGCACATTTATTAAACCAAGGCTTGTTTGTTGAAGTGGAATTTAAGCCTTATTTAACAAGTGAAAATGAAGGTCAAATTCACTTTTTGTGAAATGCAAAACTTGTCACGTTCAAGTCCAAACATTTTTATTCATGTGCTGTTTATAAAGTTCTTAATCAGGGTGGGTGACAGGCATCAGAGCTATGGGGCTTCACCAGTAGAGGGAGGAAAAGAATTGGGGGAGGTTAATTGCTGACTACAACTAGAGTATGCGAGGAAGAAGATTTCAGCTTCTTACTAATTTCCATTCTCTTCGAGAGATTAAACAGTTCAAACCAAATTACTAAAACAAGGTCAGGAAGCTTCAGTGAAGAGGAGCTGTACACAATTAATTATTTGATATAGTGAGGAAAATTATGACCTGAATTACTAAACATTGTGAAAACAGAAAAGAACACAAAACTATTCAAAAATTCTTAAAATTTTAAAATTGAAATTACACCTATTAACCCAGTAAGTCCACTGTTAATAAACTTGAAGAATTATTCAAAGATCTATGTTCTGGACTGGGCGTGATGGCTCACATCTGTAATCCTAACACTTTGGGAGTGCAAGATGGGAGGATCACTTCAGATCAGGAGTTCATGACCAGCCTGGTCAACATAGCAACACCTGGCTAGGCATAGTGGCTCATGCCTGTAATCCCAGCACTTTGGGAGACCAAGACGGGTCGATCACCTGAGGTCAGGAGTTCAAGACCAGCCTGGCCAATATGGTGAAACCGAGTCTCTACTAAAAATACAAAAATTAGCCAGGCGTGGTGGTGCCTGCCTGTAATCTCAGCTACCTGGAAGGCTGAGGCAGGAGAATCGCTTGAACCCAGAAGGTGGAGAGTACAGTGAGCCAAAATCACGCCACTGCACTCCAGCCTGGGCAACAGACTGAGAGTACGTCTCAAAAAAAAAAAAAAAAAATAGCAAGATCTATTACAAAAAAAAAACTATGTTCAAGCATCTTCATAGATGCATCATCCTACAAGCTACAATACAACATATTTAATGTAATCCCATTTGATTTTGGGTAAGGAACAACCATATATTTATATGTATATACACACACACCAATATATAAAACTTGTGTGTATATACACAAAAATATGCATAGAAAATGTATGAATGTCCATCTAAGACAATGTTAACCAGGATTTACTGTGGCAAATAGGGGAAGGTCCTGAGGCTAACTCAAAACCTTCTATGGTTTGGATTTATCACAAAGCCAGTATTAAGTTTACCTCATTTTGTTTTTATTTCAAGAGAAACAGTTGCTAGATAATGCATCTACTTATAAAAACAGAAAGTGGCCAGGCACAGCTGTAATTCCAACATATTGGGAGGCCGAGACAGGAGGACCACCAGATCCCAGGATTTTGAGACCAGTCTAGGCAACATGGTGAGACCCTCATCTCTAAAAAAATAATAATAATAAATAAGTAAAATAAAATGGCTCACACCTGTAATCCCAGCACTTTGGGAGGCTGAGGCAGGTGGATCACAAGGTCAGGAGATCGAGACAAGCCTGGCCAATATGGTGAAACCCTGTCTCTACTAAAAATACAAAAATTACCCAGGCGTGGTGGCAGACACTTGTAGTCCCATCTACTTGGGAGGCTGAGGTGGGAGAATACCTTGAACCCAGGAGGCAGAGGTTGCAGTGAGCTGAAATCACACCACTGCACTCCAGCCTGGGCAACACAGCGAGACTCTGTCTCAAAAAATAATAATAAATAGGCTGGGCACGGTGACTCACGCCTGTAATACCAGCACTTTGGGAGGCCAAGGTGGGCAGATCACGAGGTCAGGAGATCAAGACCATCCTGGCTAACACGGTGAAACCCCATCTCTACTAAAAGTATAAAAAAATTAGCAGGGTGTGGTGGCGGGCGCCTGTAGTCCCAGCTACTCTGGAGGCTGAGGCAGGAGAATGGCATGAACCCAGGAGGCGGAGCTCACAGTGAGCCAAGATTACGTCACTGCACTCCAGCCTGGTCCACACTGCAAGACTCCGTCTCAAAAATAATAATAACAATAACAAATAAATAAACAAATAAAATAAAAACAAAAATTGATGCTCACAGAAGGAGATGAAAAGGATTATTTGAGGTACCTTTTTTGATTCCATGAAAATACTAGTGAGAGGTGATAGCGTGCTGGCAGCCCTTGAAGCCCTCGCTGGCTCTCGGCACCTCCTCGGCCTCGGTGCCCACTCTGGCCACGCTTGAGGAGCCCTTCAGCTCGCCGCTGCACTGTGGGAGCCCCTCCCTGGGCTGGCCGGGGCCAGAGCCGGCTCCCTCAGCTTGCGGGGAGGTGTGGAGGAAGAGGCACCGCGAGGTGTGGAGGGAGAGGTGCAGGCGGGAACCGGGGCTGCACGTGGTGCTTGCGGGCCAGCATGAGTTCTGGGTGGGTGTGGGCTCAGCGGGCCCCGCACTAGGTGCGGCCAGCTGGTGCTGCTGGCCCCGGGCAGTGACGGGTTTAGCACCCGGGCCAGCAGCTGCTGAGGGTGCACCGGATACCCTGCAGTGCCGGCCCACCGGCCCTGCCTGTGCTCAAATTCTTTCTGGGCCTCAGCTGCTACCCACGAGGCAGGGCTTCAGACCTGCATCCCGCCATGCCTGAGCCTCCCAACCCCCGCTGTGGGCTCCTGCGCAGCCCAAGCCTCCCCGAGGAGCACCGCCCCCTGCTCCAGGGTGCCCAGTCCCATCAACTGCCCAAGGGCTGAGGGGTGCAGGCACATGGTGTGGGACTGGCGGGCAGCTCCACCTGCAGCCCTGGTGTGGGATCCACTAGGTGAAGCCAGCTGGGCTCCTGAGTCTAGTGGGGACTTAGAGAACCTTTATGTCTAACTAAGGGATTGTAAATACACCAATCAGCACTCTGTGTCTAGCTCAAGGTTTGTAAATGCACCAATCAGCACTCTGTATCTAGCTAATCTGGTGGGGACTTGCAGAACCTTTATGTCTAGCTAAGGGATTGTAAATACACCAATCAGTACTCTGTGTCTAGCTCAAAGTTTGTAAACACACCAATCAGCACCCTGTATCTAGCTCACGGTTTGTAAATACACCAATCAGCACTCTGTATCTAGCTCAAAGTTTGTAAACACACCAATCAGCACCCTGTATCTAGCTCAAGGTTTGCAAATGCACCAATCAGTGCTCTGTGTCTAGCTGATCTCACGGGGACTTGGAGAACTTTTGTGTCTAGCTCAGGGATTGTAAACGCACCAATCAGCACCCTGTCAAAACGGACCAATCAGCTCTCTGTAAAACAGACCAATTGGCTCTCTGTAAAATGGACCAATCAGCAGGATGTGGGTGGTGCCAGATAAGAGAATAAAAGCAGGCTGCCCAAGCCAGCAGTGGCAACATGCTCCAGTCCCCTTCCACAATGTGGAAGCTTTGTTCTTTCACCCTTTAAAATAAATCTTGCTGCTACTCACTCTTTGGGTCCAGGCTGCTTTTATGAGCTGCAACACTCACTGCAAAGGTCTGTAGCTTCTCTCCTGAGGCCAGCAAGACCACGAACCCACCAGGAGGAATGAACAAGTCCAGATGCGCCGCCTTCAGAGCGATAACACTCACCGCGAAGGTCTGCAGCTTCACTCCTGAAGCCAGTGAGACCACGAACCCACCAGAAGGAAGAAACTCTCAACACATCTGAACTTCAGAAGGAACAAACTCCAGACACACTGCTTTTAAGAACTGTAACACTCACCGTGAGGGTCTGAGGTTTAGTTCTTGAAGTCAGTGAGACCAAGAACCCACCAACTGCGGACACACCAGCATTTAAGAAAGACAAATTACTTGACTCTTTCCATGGCGGAAAAAAAAAAAGACAGTTTAAACCTCATTGTAATTACAACAG
This sequence comes from Homo sapiens, assembly GCF_000001405.40. NCBI lineage: Eukaryota > Metazoa > Chordata > Mammalia > Primates > Hominidae > Homo > Homo sapiens. The sequence continues at coordinate 102,299,210 of NC_000014.9, forward strand.
ATACTTTTAAAAATTCTCTCTGGGCCGGACGCAGTGGCTCACGCCTGTAATCCCAGCACTTTGGGAGGCCGAGGCGGGCAGATCACCTGAGGTCAGGAGTTCGAGACCAACCTGGCCAACATGGTGAAACCCCATCTTTACTAAAACTACAAAAATTAACCAGGTGTGGTGGTTTGCACCTATAAATCCCAGCTACTCGGGAGGCTGATGCATGAGAATTGCTTGAACCCTGGAGGCAGAGGTTGCAGCGAGCCAAGATCATACCACTGCACTCCAGCCTGGGCAACAGAGTGAGACTACCTACAAAAAAAAAAAGAAAAATTCTCTCTGATACAATAGCAAACTGTTACCGTCTTCAGAGTGTAACTTCTCTGGGTTTTTGTTTTATTTTTTTGAAACAGGGTCTTCCTTTGACATCCAGGCTGGAGAGCAGTGGTGTGATCCCAGCTCACTACAGCCTCAAACTCCTGGGTTCAAGCAATGCTCCTCCCTCAGCCTCCCGAGTACCTGAGACCACAGGCATGCACTGCCATGCTTGGCCAATTTTTAAATTTAGTAGAGACAGAGTCTCGTCATGTTGCCCAGGCTGGTCTCAGACTCCTGGATTTAAGCAATCTCTTGCCTCAGCCTCTCGAAGTGCTGGGTTTACAGACATGAGCCACCATGCCTGGCCACTTTTCTCTTTTTATAGGTATGTTTTGAATAATTCATTAAAAAGTTGAGACAGGACCAGGCACAGTGGCTCATGCCTATAATCCAGGAGTTCAAGACCGGCCTGGGCAATATAGGGAGACCCCCATCTCTAGTAAACAATTAAAAACTTAAGCCGGGGAGCCGGGCACAGTGGCTCATGCATATAATCCCAGCACTTTGGGAGGCCAAGGCGGGCAGATTGCCTGAGGTCAGGAGTTCGAGACCAGCCTGGCCAGCATGGTGAAACCCGATCTCTACTAAAAATACAAAACTTAGCCAGGTATGTTGGCAGGCACCTGTAATCCCAGCTATTTGGGAAGCTGAGGCAGAAGAATCACTTGAACCCGGGAGGTGGAGGTTGCAGTGAGCCGAGATCGCGCCATTGGACTCCAGCCTAGGCAACAGGGCAAAACTCTATCTCAAAAAAAAAAAAAAAAAAAAAAAGCCTGGGCTGGGCAACACAGCAAAACCCCATCTCCACCAAAAAAAAAAAAAAATTAGCTGGGCGAGGAGGCACATGCCTGTGGTCCTAACTACTCAGGAGGCTGAGGTGGGAGGATTGCCTGAGCCCAGGAGATGGAGGCTGTCGTGAGCTGTGGCTACACCACAGCACTCCAGCCTGGGCAACAGACTCTATCTCAAACAAAAAAGAAAGTTCAGACAGGAAAAAAGAGTGGTACTTTAACTAGACTAGATAAGGGGAAACTTTTCCAAGTCAGGATCTGACTGATGTTTTCATTCTTTCCCTTTTTATATCCCTGCCTTCCATCTGCTGAAATAGCAAATAATAATTCATTCACAATTTATCATGTATCAGACACTGTGCTATGAGCTTTATATAGATGATTTCACTTAATCTTTGAAACAATGCTATGTGATTGGTATTATCATCCCTGTTTAAAGATGAATGTGGGCTGGGCACACTGGCTCACACCTGTAATCTCAGCATTTTGGAAGGCCAAGGCAGGTGGATCACCTGAGGTCAGGAGTTCTTGACCAGCCTGAACAACATGGTGAAACCCCGTCTCTACTCAAAATATAAAAATTAGCCAGGTGTGGTGGTGCGCCTAAAATCCCAGCTACTCAGGAGGCTGAGACAGGAGAATCGCTTGAACCCAGGAGGCAGAGGTTGCAGTGAGCCAAGATTGTGCCACTGTACTCATTCCAGCCTGGCCAACAGAGTGAGACTCCATCTCAAAATAAAAAACAAACTTTTAAGATGACTTCAGCTCCAGCCACCATCTGAGTGCATGAGAGACTTCCAGTAAGACCTGCCTAGTTGAATCCAGGCAACCTGAAGAACCACAAGAAGGACTGTTGTTCCTTTAAGCCACAAAATTGAAGTGATCTGTTACGCAGCAATAGATAACCGGAACAATGAAGAAAAGCAGTATAAGAAAAAGTAACATGCCTGAAGCTGCCATGCCCACCCGGTTCCAAAGCCCACGCTCTTATCAACTGCACTGTGTCACTCTTTGCTCTCTACTGTTGCAAACGATGCCAAATAAAAAGAAGGACAGGAATACTCCACAGAATAACACACCCCTAAACACAGGGCATCACCTAGAAAACAAGTACAAAAATATACCTAGAAAATCCTGACAGACCCCTGTAATAATCTAGCATTCCCAGCCCCACTCTGACCCCAAGCTATGGATCCAATTTCACCATTACTCACTTTTCCTGATCATTCTACTTCTATAACTCTGTCTCTGTGATTTCCAGTTCTGGAATATTCTCTCCATTGTTAACTATTTTTAAATCATTTATTTAATGATCAGGATGTAAACCAGGGGGATAAAAGGTTACAATAATTCTTAGAGTACATTTTAAGGTAGAAGGAAGAAAGGGAGAATAAAGATGTCACCACTAAACCAAGTAACCGAAAACTACCAAAATGACCATCTAAAAGAACATACCAAACAATACTAAATATACTTTAAAAACAAAAGTTTACAAGAAGTAAATCATAAATGTACATTTTTTGTGTATTTTGTTTTGTTTTGATTTTTTTTTTCTTGTATTTTTTGGTTGAGATGGGGTTTCACCACATTGGCCAGGCTGGTCTCGAACTCCTGACCTCAAGTGATCAGCCAACCTCGGCGTCCCGAAGTGCTGGGATTACAGGCGTGAGCCACTGCACCCGCCCCATAAATGTAAATTTTATATGTATACACACATATACTTTTTTTTTTTTTTTTGCTCTGTTGCCCAGGCTGGAGTGCAGTAGTGCGATCTCAGCTCACTGCAACGCCCCCCTCCCAGGTTCAAGCGATTCCCCTGCCTCAGCCTCCCAAGTAGCTGGGATTACAGGCACCTGCCACCACGCCTGACTAATTTTTGTATTTTTAGTAGAGACGGGGTTTCACCATGTTGACCAGGCTGGTCTCGAACTCCTGACCTCAAGTGATCCACCCACCTCAGCCTCTCAAAGTGCTGGGATTACAGGCGTGAGCCACTGCACCCGGCCCACAAATGTAAATTTTATATATATATACGCATATATACATATTTATTTTCTTTTTTTTTGAGACGGAGTCTCTTGCTTTGTTGCCCAGGCTGCAGTACAGTGGCCCGATCTCAGCTCACTGCAAGCTCTGCCTCCCAGGTCCACGCCATTCTCCTGCCTCAGCCTCCCGAGTAGCTGGGACTACAGGTGCCCACCACCACGCCTGGCTAATTTTTTGTATTTTTAGTAGAGCCGGGGTTTCACCGTGTTAGCTGGGATGGTATTGATCTCCTGAACTCGTGATCTGCCCGCCTCGGCCTCCCAAAGTGTTGGCATTACAGGTGTGAGCCACTGCGCCCAGGCAGCATATGTACATATTTCTATATAGGTATACACATGCAGTGCTAACATTAGTCTTTTAAAAAGGGAGAAATACACATTTATATATTTATATATAATATATATAGAGAGAGTAAATTACTGAAAGTGATGCCTCTAGGTAGTGGGGTATGAAGAGTCTAAGAGGAAGGCCAGGCACAGTGGCTCGCGTCTGTAATTCCAACACTTTGGGAGGCTGAGGCGGGTGGATCGCTTGACGTCAGGAGTTTGAGACCAGCCTGGCCAACATGTTGAAACCCCGTCTCTACCAAAAAATACAAGTTAGCTGGGCGTGGTGGTGCACACCTGTAATCTCAGCTACTTGGGAGGCTGAGGTAGGAGAATCACTTGAACCCGGGAGGCAGAGGTTGCAGTGAGCCAAGATTGCACCACTGCACTCCAGCCAGGGTGACACAGAGAGACCCTGTCCAAAAAAAAAAAGAGTCTAAGAGAAAAAGAAGGTAGATAAATAAACCAAATGATCAAATCTAACTTCAGCAAAACTGCAACGAACTGACATCAGGCACTCTGGAAGGGCCACACTGACAGAGACACAACGTTGCCTCTCACATATTCCTGGTAAAAACATTTAAGCTGAAGCTAATCATGAGGCGAAAATCAGACAAATCCAAATTGAGCGATATTCTGCAAAACACTGGGCTGGATTCTTTAAAAATGTCATTTGGCCTACAGAGGACAGCCAAATAAAAATGAAAATATCATTGTCATGAAAGACACAAAAGGCAGGGACACCATATTAAAAGAGACCAAAGAGATATGACAACAGAATACAATTGGTGATTCTTGATTGGATAGAAAAAATATAAACAACTATAACACATGTTATTGGGATAAATGGAAAAACTGAAATATGGACTGTGTATCAGAGTATTGTATCATTGTTAAATTTTCTAAATGTGTTATTTGTACTGTGATGATGTAGGAGAATGTCCTTGTTCTTGGCAGATAACTGCTGAAAGAAGTGGTGAATTATTAGTAGTCTACAACTAACTCTTGAAAGGTCCAGTGAAAATAAATACATAAATGGGAGAGAGAAAACACCAGAGCGAAAGCGAGCACACAAAAATAAGGCAAAATGGTGCAGCTAAGTGAAGGACGGGTTTATAAATATTCAATGTACTGCTCTTGCAACTTTCCTGTACATCTGAAAATTTTCAAAACAAACAGATGGGAAGAAAAAAATGAATATAGTACAAAATATGTGCAGTATCATAGTCTGCACTGTAAGTAAAAGTGTAAAGTCTTTTGTAGACCTTGGATTCTAACTACAGCTTTGTAGTGCATTAATGAAAAAGGTAAACATTAAACAATATCCAACAAAATAAAATAAAAATAAAAATGCCTTGTAAAGGGTGAATGAGATTAATTATTTTAAATGTTATGCAATGTACACCATTGACAATTAGGATACAATGCAAATTTAACATTATAACTACTCCTAACATAATATTTTCACAGCAAAGGTCTGAATTTTTACTGCACCTCTGGTTCACAACCATAAACAATTATATCTGTACAGTAATAATAATTTTAAAAACATCATTCTAGCTGGTTGCACTTGGATTGTCAATAATCCACAAATCCCACTAAAGAAAATTTTTTACCCGTTACATTTTCTAGAATGACTACCTCATTTCCCAACTTTGAAGTAACAGCTTTTAACTAAAAGGTTGCTTCAAAACTACTATTAAAAAGTGGTTCCTATAAAACACTACTGCTTGACCCAAAAAATAAAATAAAGCACACAGCCCAGCTTTCCTCTCAATTGGTCACTAAACCAGTATCATGAAAAGGCAGGGAGCCACGCTGTAAGCGCTCCCCCGTTTTCTGCCGAATGTTCAGGAAAAGAGTGTCAGGTTCAAGCCAGCATTTAAAATAAAATAAAATGAATCACAGTCAACTCCCTAAACTCCAATGTAAGAACCACGCACCTGCACCAAAATATGCCTGAGCGGGAACTCGAGTCGGCTCTCCGAGACCCCAAAGTTCCCAACCTAGCCCCAACCCCTCAAGCTTCCCCCAGGGGCACCGGCTTCTCACAGCCGAGGGGGATTCGGGGCCCACATGCGGAGCCTCCCGGGCCTGTCGAGCCACGGCAGAAGGCGACGACGCCCGGCCCCACAGGCCCCTCAAGCTCCTCAAGCTCCCCCAGTCCCTCCCTCCCCCGCCACTCGCTCTCCAGTCCCTGCCCCTTTCCCCGGCCCCACTCACTCTTCATCTTGGATGCGGAAGCCGGTGACAACCCCTTGCCGACACTGGACGGAAAAGAAAGAAGCAGGAAGGTTGTCCCCCTGCTTTCCACTTCCCTGAGGCGGGGTCCCGCACTAGGATCTCCGTGGTGGTCCCTCGAAGGAGAGCGTTAGAGATCCCGCCGCCATGTTGTGTCCCTGTCACCCTAGCAACCGTCAGGCCCTGAACGCCATGAGCTGTCGCCTGCGCATGCGCAAGATGCCCCGCCCATGTACGCGTGCGCAGTGCAGCCCGTCCCCTCAGCCCGGTTGCTAAGCAGCCTTTCCTCCGCTTCCATGTAAATACTGTGCAAATCCCCGCCTTTGACACAGGCGACCTTCGCTCGGCTCGCTCTCCCTGCTGGCCTGGGAACTTAGCGATTTGGAACCCACTACGTGGACGATAGCCTTGAGCTTTAATTGGGCTTGGGAGCTTCTACAGGAATTTTTTTTTTTTTTTGAGACAGAGTGTCGCTCTGTTACCCAGGTTGGGGTGCAATGGCGTGATCTCGGCTCACTGCAACCTCCGCCTCCCGGCTTCAAGCGATTCTCCTGCCTCAGCCTCCCAAGTAGCTGGGATTACAGGCACCCACCACTACACCCGGCTAATGTTTTTGTATTTTTAGTAGAGACGGGGTTTCACCATGTTAGGCTGGTCTCGAACTCCTGACCTCAGGTGATCCGCCTGCCTCGGCCTCCCGAAGTGCTGGGATTACAGGCGTGAGCCACCACGCCCGGCCCAGTTTTTCTTTTTAATTCAACAAGCATTTGTTTTTGCCCCAGGAACTGTCGCAGGTATTGGGGATTAAAGGACAGTGTAGACGAGGTGACTGAGTTCTTGAAACTAACATTCTAGTGTAAAGATGAATGAATGTACACCGGAATGAACTATGTGCAGACACGGTGCCTAAGCAACACAGTGGCCTAGTTCTCTGGACCCTGACAAAACAATAAAATAACAAGCATACTATGTATGGGTATAGTATTTTATGAAGCTCATTAGATTAGCCTCATAATTATTCCATGAGATCAAAACCCTGTTTTTTCCTCCATTTTTTTTCTTTTACTAAAATACATCGTTTATTTTTAAAACAGATAAGTAGCCTTGCCAAAACGAAGCCTCAGAAAATTGGTTTAAGACTGAATTGGCCAGGTGTGGTGGCTCACACCTGTAATCCCAGCACTTTGGAAGGCCGAGGCAAGAGGATCGCTTGAGGCCAGAAATTCAAGACCAGCCTGGGCAACATAGAGAAACCCCACTTCCCTCTTAAAAAAAAAAAAAAAAAAACTCCGGGCGTGGTGGCTCACGCCTGTAATCCCAGCACTTTGGGAGGCCAAGGCGGGCAGATCACGAGGTCAGGAAATCGAGACCATCCTGGCTAACACGGTGAAACCCCATCTCTACTAAAAATACAAAAAAAATTAGCCGGGCGTAGTGGCGGGCGCTATAGTTCCAGCTACTCCGGGGGCTGAGGCAGGAGAATGGCGTGAACCCTGGAGGCGGAGCTTGCAGTGAGCCGAGATTGCACCACCTGCACTGCAGCCTGGGCGACAGAGCAAGAGACTCAAAAAAAAAAAAAAAAAAAAAAAAAAGCCGGGCACGGTGGCACATGCCTGTAAACCCAGCTATTCAGGAGAATAAGGCGGAGGTATCTTGAGACCAGGAGTTCTAGGCTCAGTGAGCTATGATAGCACCACTGCACTCTAGCCTGGGTGACAAAGCAAGACCTTGTCTCGAAAGAAAGAGAAAGCGGCCGGTCGCGGTGGCTCACACCTGCAATCCCAGCACGTTGGGCGGCCGAGGCAGGCAGATCACTTGAGTCCAGGAGTTCGAGACCAGCCTGGCCAACATGGGGGAAACCCCGTCTCTACTAAAAAAATACAAAACGGCTGGGCACAGTGGCTGATGCCTGTAATCCCAGCACTTTGGGAGGCCAAGGCGGGTGGATCCCCAGGTCAGGAGTTCAAGACTAGCCTGGCCAAGATGGTGAAACCCCATCTCTACTGAAAATAGAAAAATGAGCCGGGTGTGGTGGCAGGCACCTGTAATCCCAGCTACTCGGGAGGCTGAGGCAGAGAATTGCTTGAACCCGGGAGGCGGAGGTTGCAGTGAGCCGAGATTGCGCCACTGCACTCCAGCCTGGGCGACAGAGTGAGACTCCGTCTAAAAAAGCAAATACATAAATAAAATACAAAACAAGCCAGGCGTGGTGGCTCACACCTATAATCCCAGCACTTTGGGAGGCCGAGGAGGATGGACCAACTGAGGTCAGGAATTCGAGACCAGCTGGCCAACCAACATGGTGAAACCCTGTCACTACTAAAAATACAAAAATTAGCCAGGTGTGGTGATGCGCTCCTGTAATCCCAGCTACTCAGGAGGCTGAGGCGGGAGAATCACTTGAACCCAGGAGGTGGAGGCTACAGTGAGTCGAGATCCTGCCACTACACTCCAGTCTGGGCGACAGAGCAAGACTCCATCTCAAAAAATAATAAATAAATAAATGGTTACAATGGTGAATTTTATGTAAATTTTCTCTCAATAAAAAAGTTGAAAAAATAAATAGCGATTATTGCTGGTGTATTATTGTTGGTGGTGCTATCTTTGTTGGCTTTGAGAAGCCACATCTAATCTCTCCAGACCACTAGGATTTGATCTATCCCTTCTTCTCTTCTTGTGTTCTTTCTTATTTGGGGGCTTGCCCTTATGTCACATTTATATTTCTAACCCTGTCTCTTGCTTGTTAGTTTCTTCTAACCAGGTGGGTTCTAAGTTCCTTGGGCCCCTCATGTGTCTTTTCTCTACCCTGCAGGGCAGAGTGTATTAAATAAGTGAACAGGTGAATGCATTTAGCAAGTGAGAGCCCCATTGTTTCCCAATTCACCAGGTGCTGATGGATTTTCTTCTTCCCTTCATTGTGGACAAGTGGTTCTCAGAAGTGACGTTGTAGAGACCATGTTGGTCCTGATTGGGCAGATGATTTAGAGCAAGGTGCCCCCAGGGGGTAGACACAGTCTATGTGCTTACCTAGGTGAACAGGGGCAGCTGGACTTGCGGCCTCACCTGCCCCTCTGGCTGAGCACCCTTGTTCCAAGTTCATCTTAAGGTTGGGTGAGGGGACGAACTCCAGAATGTTCCATTCGATCAGGGATTTCCGCCCCATTATTTCTAAATCTGTAAGTCTGGAGTGGGGGATAGTTTGCAGCTCTCACAAAATTCCAGGTGATGCTGCACCAGTGGCCATATTTTGAAAACCACTGGCCTAGAGAATTCCTTATTCTTTCTTTAATTCTAAATGAAATAGGAAATGCTGCTTTGAAAAGAAGGAACAATTGCTGAGGAGCTTCTCTTCCTGTGGTAAACACGCTCAAACATCAGCGGAGGGGTCAACCTGTTCAGGCTTCAGCTGGGTGGCCTCAGCACCTGCCTAGCTGGGCCACTCCAGCCCTGAATGGACAGATAAGTAAGAAGTACCAGGCTGTGAACTCCTCCAGAGAGGGTCTTCACCCCAAGCCTCTCACCTGCCCAGCTCACCCAGAGCCAGGAGCCTGCTCAGCACATATTACATGCTCAGGAAACGCTTGTGAAATGGAACCACCACGCATCTCAGAGCTCTGCTTTTTTTTTTTATTAAGTTATTATTTTTAAATTTTTTTTTTTGAGACAGAGTCTTGCTCTGTCACGCAGGCTGGAGTACTGTGGCTTGATCTCGGCTCACTACAACCTCTGCCTCCCAGGTTCAAGCAATTCTCCTGTCTCAGCCTCCCAAGTAGCTGGGACTACAGGCACGTGCCACCACACCTGGCTAATTTTTGTATTTTTAGTAGAGATGGGGTTTCACCATATTGGTCAGGCTGGTCTCGAACTCCTGACCTCAGGTGATTCACCTGCCTCAGCCTCCCAAAGTGCTGGGATTACAGGCGTTAGCCACCGCGCCCAGTTCCAGAGCTCCGCTTTTAAAACTGTATGAACACTACCTAATTATAACCACTTGAGCTTTTTGAATCGTTCTAAAACTCCCTCAGACTGTTCATCCCATATTCTAGCATTAGTTTTTCCCTATTTGCCAATGTCAAGGGATTCAGCCATGTGGCTATGTTTAGCAGACAACCTATTTCCTTCTGCTGAGCATCTGAATTAAGGTTCAAACCAGGAAACAAGTCAGAAAAGCTAGGGATGACAGACATTTCAAACGTGTTAACACTGTTAAAGTGGGTAAAACGCAAATCTACCTAAAGATATTAGAAATTAGATTGATTTTGTAAAATAATAAACACATCTCAGGGAAAACTAAGCTTGAACAAGGATATTAAATAAGGAGGAGCAAAAACATTAGCCACTGAAATTAACATGAAGGATGGTAGTTAACCAAGCACTCTAGAAATTAGATCCTGGTCTAGTGTGGATGCAAAAATAGGTAAAATTCTGTCTACGAAGAAGTCTGTGTAGGTTTCTGAGAAAAAGGAACTCAAAGAAATACATTTAGAATTTTTTAAGTGTAAGAAAAGGTTTCCTGGCCAGGAATAGTGGCTCACACCTGTAATCCCAGCACTTTAGGAGGCCGAGGCAAGCGGATGGCTTGAGCTCAGGGGTTCGAGACCAGCCGAGGCAACATGGTGAAACCCCTTATCTACTAAAAATACAAAAAATTAGCTGGGCTTGGTGGCAGGTGCCTGCAGTCCCAGCTACTCAGAAGCCTAAAGTGGGAGAATCACCTGAGCCTGGGAAATCGAGGCTGCAATAAGCCATGTTTGCACCACTGACCTCCAGCCTGGGCAACAGGAGAGAGCCGTTGTCTCAAAAAATAACAATAATAATACAAAAAATACAAAAATTGGCCAGGCGCGGTGGCTCATGCCTGTAATCCCAGCACTTTGGGAGGCTGAGGCCGGCAGATCACAAGGTCAGGAGTTCAAGACCAGCCTGGCCAAGATGGTGAAACCCTGTCTCTACTAAAACTATAAAAAAATTAGCCAGGCGTGGTGGTGGGCACCTGTAATCCTGGCTACTCTGAGGCAGAGAATTGCTTGAACCCGGGAGGCGGAGGTTGCAGTGAGCCAAGATGGCACCACTGCACTCCAGCCTGGGCAACAGAGGGAGACACCGTCTCAAAAAAAAAAAAAAAAATGCAAAACTTAACTGGGCATGGTGGTGCATGCCTGTAGTCCCAGCTGCTCAGGAGGCTGAGGTGGGAGGACCATTTAAGCCTGGGAGGCAGAGGCTGCAGGAAACCGAGATGGTGACACTGCACTTCAGCCTGGGCGACAGAGCCAGACCCTTCCTTAAAAAAAAAAAAGAAAAGAAAAGAAGAAAAAAAAGGAAAGAAAACAAAAGAAGGCTGGGCGCGGTGGGTCACACCTGTAATCCCAGCACTTTGGGAGGCCAAGGAGGGCGGATCACCCGAGGTCGGGAATGCAACACCAGCCTGACCAACATGGAAAAACCTCGTCTCTACTAAAAATACAAACTTAACCGGGCATGGCGGCACATGCGTGTAATCCCAGCTACTCAGGAGGCTGAGGCAGGAGAATGGCTTGAACCCAGGAGGTGGAAGTTGCAGTGAGCCGAGATTACGCCATTGCACTCCAGCCTAGGCAACAAAAGCGACACTCCGTCTCAAAAAAAAAAAAAAGAAGAAAAAGAAAAAGGCTCACTGGATCGTTCACCTCCCGGGTTCAAGCCATTCTTTGCCTCAGCCTCCGGAGTAGCTGGGATTACAGGCGCCCACCACCACACCCAGCTAATTTTTGTATTTTTAGTAGAGACAGGGGTTTCACTGTGTTGGTCAGGTGGAGTCTTGAACTCCTGACCTTGTGATCTGCCCGCCTCTGCCTCCCAAAGTGCTGGGATTACAGGCATGAGCCACAGCACCTGGCCTTAAAATTCAGCTCTTAAAGTGGTAGGAGAGAGACTCATACTATGTAACTCCTGCCAAGTTGTAGTACTGCTGTTTTCTTGTTTTTGTAAAGCAGGGATAAAAATATCCACTGCAGACTGGGTGCAGTGGCTCACGTCTGTAATCCCAGCACTCTGGGAGGCTGAGGTGGGTGGATTGCCTGAGGTTCAAGAATGGCTTGAACCTGGGAGGTGGAGGTTCCGGTGAGCCTTTTTCTTTCTTTTTTTTTTTTTTTTTGAGACGGAGTTTTTTCAGACGAAGTTCAAGACCAGCCTGGCCAACATGGTGAAACACTGTCTCTACTAAAAATATAAAAATCAGCCGGGCATGCATGGTGGTGGGCGCCTGTAATCCTAGCTACTTGGGAGGCTGAGGCAGGAGAATCATTCAAACCCAGGAGGCGGAGGTTGCAGTGAGCCGAGATCACACCACTGCACTCCAGCCTGGGCAACAGAGCAAGACTTTGTCTCAAAAAAAAAAAAAAAAATACCCACTACAAAAGGTAGTAGAAGGCCGGGCATGGTGGCTCAAGCCTGTAATCCCAGCACTTTTGGAGACCGAGGCTGGTGGATCACCTGAGGTCAGGAGTTCGAGACCAGCCTGGCCAACAAGGTGAAACCCCATCTCCACTAAAAATACACAAAAAAACTAGCTGGGCATGGTGGCACACATTTGTATTCCCAGCTACTTGAGAGGCTGAGGCAAGTGAATCGCTTGAATCCCGGAGGCAGAGATTGCAGTGAGCCAAGATCGTGCTATGGCATTCGAGCCTGGGCAACAAGAGTGAAACTTGGTCACTAAAAAAAAAAAAAAAGGTAAAAGGTAGTAGAAGATTAAATGAGATGTCCACGTGTCCATGATGAATACTCTACAAATGCTCATTGATTTTTACTCAAAGTCTAACACAGGGCCTGGCAGAGCAGGTGCTCAATAAATACTTGTTGGGGCCAGGTACAGGGGCTCACGCCTGCAAACCCAGCACTTTGGGAGGCCAAGGCTGGAGGATCACCTGAGGTCGGGAGTTTGACACCAGCCTGACCAACACGGAGAAACCCCATTTCTACTAAAAATACAAAATTAGCCGGGCGTGGTGGCACATGCCTGTAATTCCAGCTATTCGGGAGGCTGAGGCAGGAGAATCTCTTGAACCCGGGAGGTGGAGGTTGCAGTGAACTGAGATTGTGCCATTGCACTCCAGCCCGGGCAACAGGAGGGAAACTCTGTCTCAATACATACATACATACATACATACATACATACATACATACATACATACTTGTTGGATAATCAAGAAGCAATGCCACCTGCCACTTGTCACCTGCTCTGTCATTCCTTTCTGGCAGGGGCAAGCCCAATTTTAAATGACTATTGAGGATCCAGGACAACCTTTAACTCTTGATAAAATTAAACGGGCTGGTGAGAGAGAATCCTTGCTTACTTGAGTTTATAGAAGCCATGTGGCCTGTTCTTGGAGACCCAGAGAGGAAAAGGGCTTTGTTTGCCAAGGTTCCTCACTTGCTGGTGGCTCCCCTGGGCTTGGATCCTAGTTCGTGGCTTCCAGTTCCCTGTCTTCTACTGCTTATTATTATTATTGCTATTTTTTTTTTGAGATGGAGTCTTGCTCTGTTGCCCAGGATGGAGTGTAGTGGTCCCATCTCGGCTCACTACAACCTCCACCTCCCGGGTTCAAGCGATTCTCCCGCCTCAGCCTCCCAAGTAGCTGGGATTACAGGCACCCGCCATCACGCCCAGCTAATTTTTGTATTTTTGTAGAGACAGGGTTTCACCACATTGGCCAGGCTGGTCTTGAACTCCTGACCAAAGGTGATCTGCCCGCCTCTGCCTCCTAAAGTGCTGAGATTACAGGCGTGAGTCACCACGCCCAGCCTATTATTATTATTATTAGTTTATTTATTTTTGGGAGAGATGGAGTTTCTCCAAGTTGTCCAGGCTGGTCTCAAACTCCTAGGTTAAAGCGATCTGCTCGCCAAGGCCTCTCAACGTGCTGAGATGATAGGTGTAAGCCACTGCGCCTGGCCTTCTACTGCTCTTTCCTACATCTAACAAAGACTTTGGGCCTGGCGCGGTGGCTCCGCCCAAAATCCCGGCACTTTGGGAGGCTGAGGCGAGCAAATCACCTGAGGTCAGGAGTTCAAGATCAGTCTTGCCAACGTGGTGAAACCCCGTCTCTACTAAAAATACAAAAATTAGCTGGGCTTGGTGGTGGGCGCTTGTAATCCCAGTTACTTGGGAGGCTGAGGCAGGAGAATTGCTTGAACCTAGGAGGCAGAGGTTGCAGTGAGCCAAGATCACGCCATTGCACTCCTGCCTGGGTGGCAAGAGCGAAACTCCATCTCAAAAACAAAATAAAAAAGACTTTTGAGACTTTGTCAAAACTTCGCAATAATGTACGTGCTTCCAGGCCAAGGCAGGTGGATCACTTGAGGTCACGACTTCAAGACCAGGCTGGCCAACATGGTGAAACCCCATCTCTACTAAAAAGACAAAATTAGCCGGGCGTGGTGGTGAATGCCTGTAATCCCAGCTACTCAGGAGGCTGAGGCAGGAGAATCACTTGAACCCGGGAGGCGGAGGTTGCAGTGAGCCGAGCCAAGATCGCGCCATTGCGCTCCAGCCTGGGCAACAAGAGGGAAACTCCGTCTTAAAAAAAAAAAAAAAAAAAAAAAAAAAGGTCTTCAGAGTGACTTTAGTCCATTATGACTGGCGTCTACACAAAAGGGGCGATTTGGACATAGGGACACACAGGGAGAACAGTATGTGAAGATGCAGGCAGAGATCAGAGTGAAGCTTCTACAAGCGAAGGAAGGCCAAAGTTGGCCCGAAATCCACCAGAAGCCAGGAGACAGCCTGGGGCGGTCTCCGTGGGAGCCTCCGAAGGAAGCGACCTTCCCGACACCCTGACTTTGGACGTCTGCCTACTAGAACTGTGAGGCCATATATTCTGTTGTGTGGCCACCTACCTTATAATACTCTGCTGTGGCCGACCTGGGAAACTAACACAGCGGGTCGTTACTGTCAGACCAAAGGTTCCAACTTATAAACAGAATGAAACATTTCGTAAGTTGAGTTTAAAGAAAATGGATTATTTAAAATGCACATGGGCCCCCCGCCCCACATTAAAAAAACAAAAAACAAATACAAGGCGGAGGTTGCAGTGAGCCGAAATCGCGCCACTGCGCTCCAGTCTGGGCGACAAGAGCGAGACTCCGTCTCAAAAACAAAAACAAAAGCAAGAAAACAAGCCCGAATGGTATTCTCTACCACTTAATTCTGAAAGTATGTAGATTCGTGTTTTCGTCACTCAGAGAATGAAAATTAGCGTTTGTTTGTCTAAGAGCTCTAAGACGGGGTGAGAAGTGGAGGAAGAGGTCCAGAGGAGGAAAGAAAACTGCTCGCCCGCGCCCGCCCTGCAGCTGCACGTGGGTCGCCCTAAGCCTGGGTTCGGAGCTGATGGCGCAGGTCCCAGGTGCCCTCTAGCGGCTGACGTCAGTCACGGCGCCCCGGCCCCGGCGCGCCCCGTCCACTCTGCCCACTCGGGACGCGTGGCTTGAAGTCCCGGGAATGCCACGGTTGCACCCACAAGGGTCGATCAACTCGGCTTCCTTCAGGAGACCTGGACTGACCACCCGCTGTGTGCCAAGCACTGTTTAGGTGCTGGTAAAATAGAGCCCACTGCTCCTGGAGTTCGCTCTAGCGGTGGGAGGCCGACGATTAGCAGCGGGAATAAGCGATGGAGGGGGGTCGGGCCGGGAACCGCAGGGATCCTGGGTGCGGGTTGCGATTGCAAATGGGGGCATCGGGTAAACCTCGCTGAGTAAGTGACATTTAAGCAGCGACCACGACGAGGAGGAGGAGCTTTGACATTGTCTGCAGGAAAAGTGGTCCAGGAAGAGGAACAGAAGCGCAAAAGCCCCAGCACAGGAGCAAGGGCCAGGGAGGAGGCGGAGGGGCTGCCGCGGAGGGAGCCGGGCAGGGGTGCAGGAGGGCAGAGGGGAAAGGCGCAGGTCCGGTGGTGTCTTTCAACGGGATGTTACCCTGGGCGTAGGGTTGTCAGATACAGCACATGTATTCTTTTAGTATAAGTATGTCCCAAATATGGCGTGGGACATACTTACACTAAAAAAAGTTTCATTGTCCTTTTGCAATTCAATTTTAACCCGGCATCTTGATCTATATTTGCTAAATTTGGCAGGCCTGTTAGGGCTGCAACAAAAGGAGAGAGTGTGAGCAGAGAAATGACTTGATCTGACTGTTTTAAACCCATGTGACTCTTACCTATTGCTATGCCAGAGAGTGTGCTAGGTTCTGGGCATTCATTCAGCTGTAAGCAAAATGGACAGGATGCCTGCACCCCCACCAGTGCTCTGTGAGAGGGCTTTACCCCTTTGGCCTGCTCATCTATCCTTGTCCTTTGGACACAGTAAAGTGCTCCAGACTTCAGGACGCTTGCCCAGCCTCCCAGCACACCACCTAATCTTCTCCGTTCCCTATAATATCCGCCTTCCTTGTTATGCGGAGAGCTCCATCAGGATGGGGATTAGGTTTCTTTGACTCACAGCTGATTGGGGGCCAGGGCACTGCCGGGCTGAATGAGTATGTCTTCACTGAGTGTCCGTTTTTCTAAACCTGGTCCTCTAGCCTTACTCGTGGAGGGTGACCTACCTAACATCCTTTACATAAAATCTTTTCGAATCAGCTAGACTCGGTTTCTGCTGCTTGTGACATAGAACCCTGACGATACCTCAGTCCAAGCAGTTTAGTGGAGTAATCAGAGCAGAATGTATAATGTTAAAAAGCTGGCCCGATGCGGTGGCTCACGCCTGTAATCCTAGCACTCTGGGAGGCCGAGGCAGGCGGATCACTTGAGGTCAGGAGCTCGAGACCAGCCTGGCCAACATGGTGAAACCCCATCTCTACTAAAAATACACACACACACACACACACACACACACACACACACACACACACACAAAGTAACCGGACAAGGCGCGTGCCTGTAGTCCCAGCTACTTGGGAGGCTGAGGCAGGAGAATCGCTTGAACCCAGGAAGCAGAGGTTGCAGTGAGCTGAGATTGCACCACTGGACTCCAGCCTGGGTGACAGAGCGAGACTCTGTCTCAAAAAAAAAAAAGCTGGTGCTCCTGGAGTGGGAGGGCCACGCAGCACACCATAGTCAGGCCCTGTAGGAGAACAGTAGGCCTCTGGGACATGCAGGCTGGGTGGTGGACACGGTGGTGGTTTGTCTTCCCAGCCTTTTCTTTCTCTCTCTCTTTTTTTGCATACAGATCCTACGCTTTTAGGGGTGGGTACCATCGTTGCCTACTCAGTGGCTGTTTCAACCCTTCTGCCTGTACCATGTGATTTATTTATGTGCTCAGTTAACAAGAGAGAGAGCAAAATGAAAACATTTTTACAGACACTAAAAAAAAAAAAAAAAAAAAAAGGAGAAAGCCATGGTGGTTTGTCCACTCAATGAAACACTGAGAAATCATTTAAAGTGACATTTGCAATTGTTTAGGGATATGCTTATTCTAGAATATTAAATGCAAAAAGAAAGATAAAAAATAGACTGCTTCATTGAGCCGAAATCTCGCCACTGCACTCCAGCCTGGGCGACAGAGGGAGATTCCGTCTCAAAAAAAAGACTGCTTCATACAAGGCTTTGGATTCCGTGTGTGTGTGTGTGTGTGTGTGTGTGTATAAATACACGTGTACTGTAGGAAAAAAAACCAGCAGGAAGGAAGCCAAGACCCCAGCGGCCCTTGTTTATTGGGCGATAGGGAATTCGGTGGTTCTTTTGTCCGGTTTTCTGTATTTTCCAAGCTTGATTTAACCATGCTAAAGGCCTCTGTTACACGAAGTTTCCACGCTGCAGGATTCTCGGAGATAAAAACAACACTGAGTTGGCATGTTTGAAAACCTTCTCACTGCGGAGCTAAGCCTCCCATGTGCAATTTGCATTTTTCCTGTGAAAAAAAGCCGCCTTCGCTGTAGGGAGTCGCCTCCCTTCTCCTTGAAGTCCCCTAAGTCTTAGTTTCTGCATCGGGCCAATGGGGATGACTGTGAAGAGGTCGGAAGTCGCGGCTGTGGCGAAGCGGAATGCAGCCAGCGGCGCCGGCCCGGCAGGGAGTCGCTAGGGGGCGGGCGCGGGCTTGGAGCCCTCTTAGGCGCTCCCGTGGGGGCCCAACGTCAGGCGGCCGGTTAGCTCAGTTGGTTAGAGCGTGGTGCTAATAACGCCAAGGTCGCGGGTTCGATCCCCGTACGGGCCAGGCTAACTTTTTTTTTTTTTTTTTGGTCCCCGCAATGTTCCTTTCTGATACTGTAACCGGCGTGCAGGCAGGAGAGAACTGCGGAATCTTTTGGACTGGCCCAGAGGTTATCCAAGGCTACCTGCTGGGGAGAGCGGGAGGAACTCAGAGCGCGCTGGGGCGGTGGCTCCTCACCCCGAGTCCCCGCGCCGCCACCTGAAGGGTCTGTTTTAGAATGCCATTGGTTAGGCCTTTTACTTTTGTCGTTTTAAAGGACACTCTGGACATCCAACCGATGCACATCCCACGCCCCCACCCCCCACGTTTCCTGAGGCTGCGTCTGGCCTGGAGGAACCGCCCAGTGAAGACAGGTGCTCGCAGATATCACCGCCTAGTGTTCCCTGGGCCCACTTGCGGGGAAGTCTTGGAGGTGAAAATCCAGGTCTGGAATGAATGCATTCCACAGATGCATATGGAGAGCTACTGCATGCCCAGCACCATTCCTAGGCTGGGAGCAAAACGGTGAGACACAAACCCCAACCCGCTGGAGACAGTGACCAGCCACTAGATGACTGCCATGTTTTTAGTGAGGCATTCAGGTTGTGGAAGCCTCTGGAAACCTTCTCTTGCTTTTTGTCCCCCCTCTTTTCTTTTCGGAGACATCTTAGGCTTCACATTTCTTCCTCTTGGTTCTACATTTTGAAGCCAGAGCAAGTGGATGAATTTCTCACTCGGTTCGTTTCTAGGGTGGTCAGGTGTGCTCAGCTGAACAAAAGCCGGTTGTATAAGGTTGATGCCATTTTATGTCAGGATCCGGCAAGGGCTCCACCTGTTTTTGAAAATTCTACAGTGGAAACAGCTACTAGTTCTGACCTAAATAAGAAGCAGCTCAACATCTACAGACCTTGGTATGTGCCCAGGGTGTAGTAAAAGTTCTCAATAAATGCCAGCCGATGGCGCTGCTGCTATTATAAGCAAAGTTAGGAGAGCCTGGGGCAGCTGACACTTAAAATAGACATCTGTACACAGGATGGATGTCACATCTTTTAATAGTCGTGCCAGGCACGTTGTTAGATGCAGGGACACAGCATGGAGGAATCGGTGGAGGTTGCTGCCCTCAAGTTTCCTGAGCTTGAAGGGGTTTAGAATATGCCACGGTGGCATGAAAATTATTTTGAGCAGAAGGCATGTGAATTCCTGAAATCTGGTCGGGTGTGGTGGCTCACACCTGTAATCTCAGCACTTGGGAAGGCCGAGGCGGGCGGATCACCTAAGGTCAGGGTTTCAAGACCAGCCTTACCAACATGATGAAACCCCGTCTCTACTAAAAATACAAAAATTAGCCAGGCATGGTGGCGGACGCCTGTAATCCCAGCTACTCAAGAGGCTGAGGCAGGAGAACCGCATGAACCCAGGCGATGGAGGTTGCGGTGAGCTGAGATTGTGCCACTGCACTCCAGCCTGGGTGACAGAGTGAGATCTTGTCTCAAAAAAAAAAAAAAATTGTGGTAAGATACCCATAATATAAAATTCACCATTAAAAAATAACACGGAAGGGATCATCGTGAATGCAATGTGAGTATTGATGAGGATGGTGGTGATCTTCCAGAACCTTCTCTGACGCCACCCAGGCCGCCAGCCTTACTTTACCGGCTTCGGCGCTCATCATACTGTGCTGCAAATGCCAGTTTCCTCCTTCCCCCTTGGGAAGTTTCCTCCTTGGGGGTCGGCACCTAGACTGTATACCCCCCAGGGCGGAAACAGCGGTTCACCCACCAGGTGCTTAAGAAGGGTTTGTGGACCAGTGGACCTCCTGCTCTCCCTGGGGAAAGGAGCTGGGACATGTGTACACACCTGCAGCTACAAGATTCGGAGGGCGCACAGAGCCTCAACCGTAAGAAGGAGAGGCGATCAGGCTGAGGAAGATGGGGCAGTGGAGCTGGATGGATAGAGAGAGGGTGGGTTCATTCATTCGTTCACTCATTCGTTTATTCATATTCATCCATCCATCATTCATGCCCTGAGCGTGCGTTGTGTTCTGGGCAGGGCCTGTGCTGGGCACCGATTGTGTAATATATCATCTCTCCCTTCAAGGTGCACCCAATCTGGGTGGGTGGGTAGAGAGAAGCTACGGTGACAAGGCAAAAATTTGGGAAACACTCTCGTTAACAATTCAAACTGTGGTCCCCTCCCAGATGTATAAATCCAAATGTTTAGGGGTGGGCACAGTACTCTGCATCTCCAGACAGCATCCTCCGCTGATTCGGATGCATGATGACGTCAGAACACTTGGATATTGTGGTAACTTTTGGGCCAGGGGCTCTGAAACCCCGAAGACCTCCCCCTGGGAGATCCGGGACAGCTCCCAGAGAAGGTGAGTCTTAAACACATCCGTGACAGGCAATAAGGAAAATAAGGGGGGTCCGCTCTGCTGATCAGCCCTAAGAGCCGCGGCGGTTGTCGGCTGGGGCGGGGCACTCCACGACTTTCCCGGCCAGACACGGTCGCCTTCCTAGGTGTCTTGGCCTGCGAGGCACTCGTAGCCCGCCCCTCTCCTAGGTGACGTACATTGGAGACGCCGTCGCTCAGCGACCCGGGTTCGAGTCCCCGCCTCGGCCGCCATGGCGGATGCGGAGCCGGAGGCTGGGGGCGGCAGCGAGGATGGCGGCGGCGGCGGCGGCCCGGCTCCTCCGGGCCAGAGCGGCAGCGTCGCACGTGTGGCCCCGCTGGGCCCCGAGCAGCTGCGGCAGGTCCTGGAGCAGGTGACGAAGGCGCAGCCGCCGCCGCCGCCGCCCCCCTTCGTGCTGCGGGACGCGGCGCGGCGGCTGCGGGACGCGGCCCAACAGGCCGCCCTGCAGCGGGGCCGGGGCACCGAGCCCCCGCGCCTGCCGCGCCTGCTCCCGCCCCAGGTGAGGCGTCGGGAGGGACGTGGGGAAACTGAGGCCCGAAGGGGGCCGACGCCCCGCGGCGGGGTAGCTGCTTGTCCGGGGAGGCCAGTATCCGCCCGGGTTAAGACTCAGGGCGTCCCCAGGCTGAGCTTCTTAGGGACGGCGTTCGGCCCCCACCTGTCACCACCCTGGCATTTTCACCCCAGGAGCCTCACTCTAGGAGCGGTTGCTCACGCTGGGCCCTGTGCCTGGAACGCCCTCGTGCCTTCTCTGCCTTCACAGCCCTGCTGGGGGCTTTTGCGTGCTCCCTAGCTCTTCTTACAGGCCTTTCACCGCTGGTTCAGCCTTTGTGGAGCACTTAGAGACCGTGTTCCCAGCACTCCCCACTATGTGCAGGAGGTGAAGCCTTGAACACACTTGCTGAAGAACGAACATAAGGCAGGTTCTGGGATTGACGGGGGCTGCTTTAGAGTGGGTGGTCCCGTAGGCCAGACACTGGAGCTGAAACATAAATGAATTAAAAGGAACCAACTTAGCTTTTCAGTTGTAAGGTGCCAAGGCCCAGGCTTGGAACAAAGTCAAGCACAATACACTAGTTCGCTGCAGGACTTAACATCCTGGGTGATAGTGACTGATTTGTAACCGCAGTACCCAGCACAGTGCCTGATACACAATGTTTGGAATATGTGAAAGCACTCTGTATACTACAAAACATCCTTTCCCAGTGGGTTTATTTCCTGGGCCACACACCTTTTGGTTGCTAGGGGGGTGATAACTAGAAGACGGTCGCCCAACTCCGGAGGGTGAAGCATAGCGCCTGAAGCCAGAGGGCCTACACGGCATCTGTAAAATTCCACCCCATTTCAGCGCTGGGGTTGTAAACAAAATTAGTCTCACCCCAAAATTGCCAAAAGAAGACAGCTTTTTCCACTAGAAGAAACGGGTTAGGGAATAGAATCAGGAACCTTCACTCGTTGAGTTTTTTTGACTGATGTTAGCTGCTTAGGGTTGTATCCAGTTAATCATCAAGACTGGAGAGTTGTCTTGCTAAGGTTTAGGAAGACCAGTGTGATTCTGTCCAGATGCCACACTATCACTATCTAGAGGTGTGACCTTGGGTAAGTCAACCTTTTTGGACTTTGGTCTGGGTCAGAAGGCTGCAAGGTGCCATCTGGGGGCAGCTATCTGCAAAGCCTCTGCTCTGCGCCCGGCGCTGTGCGGGGCCGCTCAGTTTTCAGCAGTGTTTTTGTACCGGCATTTTGCAGGTGGGAAACAAGCTCAGGGAGGTTGCGTGGCTTTGCCCAAGGTCCCTCAGGTGTGGCTGCTCTCCCTAGCCCCTGTACTCCTCACCATACCCTGCTGAATATGGCCACAGCTTTTTGGGTTTGGAATCCAAAAATGACATATTTTTCGTAAAGCAAAAGCAAACTTATTCGAGCTTAGGCAGCATGATGGGATTGTATTTTGTAGCTAATCTAATGGAGACGATATAAATTCTACCTGCAATAATATACCTTTGCAGCACATTCTTTTAATACTCTTTCAGCCCCAGCTGTGTCATGGAGGCCACAAAGGCAAACCGGATGCGTACTTTGCCCCTCAGTAGTTTATGAACTAACAGGAGATGAAACAAGACCCAGATAACTTCTAGTCAAGGCCAGAAAGCTAAAGATAGTGAAAAAGAACTGAATGTATTTAGAGAAAGGGAGATTGTTCCTGGCTGAGGACATCAGAAGCAGCTTTGTTGAAGAAGTGGTATCTGAACTAGATTTGAAAGGGTGCGTCTGAGTTGAAAATGCAGAAGGGGAGAGGCAGGTTCTGGGGCGGTTGGGGGTGCATTTCAACAACCACAGCAGAAGGCCCAGTGTTCGCTGTGGGGGTGGTGTGGATCAGCAGCACAGACCAATGGACACACTTGGGTCAGATCGAGGCCCCTGTCTCTCCCCATCCTCCCTCTTCCCCACCCCACAGAAATTTCCAGTTCCATCCAACATGCTGTGCCCCTTTTCATGCATCCGTGCATTTACACATGGATGTGTGCCCTTTTTCACCTGGCAAAAATTCCCAGCCTTCAAAATGCCCCTCAGAGATCACAGCTTCTGGGCAGCCCACCACCTCTGGGCTGTTCCTGCCTCTTGATTGCACCTGTTGTACCATGATGACATTTTTCCTGTCTGCCTCACCTGTCTGCATTCCTTAGGGAAGCTTGTCTGCCTTCAGAATCATCAGTGGAGCTTTTGAAAGGGCAGATCTTGGGGCCTCACCCCAGGAGATCCGATTCAGCAGGTCTGCGGGGACTGAGGTATGGCAGGGGAAACCGCCCCCATCTCAAGGGTGAGGTTAGGACTTGGCTCCTGTGTATGTATTCCACCCAGAAATACTGAGTTAACATTAGCTGAATTAACTAAACAAAGTATCAAGCATAATACCCACAGGGTAAGCCAGTGAGGATAGAGGATAAATACATTATTAGTCTGGCTTTGCCGCTGTGGTTATCCTCAAACAGTAGGGTTTAGTGTATGTATGTATATGTATTATGTTTTTGTTTTGGGGTTTTGTTGAGACAGGGTCTTTCTTTCTCACCCAGGCTGGACTGATCTCGGCTCACTACAGCCTCGAACTCCCAGGCTCAAATGATCCTCACACCTCAGCCTCCCGAGTAGCTGGGGCTACATGTATGCACCATCATGCCTGGCTAATTTAAAAATGTTTTGTAGAGACAGGGTCCCGCTATGTTACCCAGGCTGGCCCTGAACTCCTGGCCTCAAGCAGTCCTCCCGCCTCAGCATCCCAAAGCACTGCGATTACAGGTGTGACTGGCAGTAAAATGAAAGAGATGGGGTTCTTGAAGGATATGCGCAGTCAATCTCGTTGTCATTTGTTTCACAAGTAGCCCAGGAGTCGGGGACTCCCAGGGCTATGGTGCCACCTCTCTACAATTCTTCATACAAAGTGTTGGCTGACCTCTGCTATTTGTACTAGTATAACAGACAGACGAGAGACACACTCCAGCTTGATCTCAGTGAGGATCTTTATTCTGTCCTGTGTGACATTTTTGTTGATGCTCCACTGTTTGAGGGTCACACCAGAAGGTTGAGTCCAAAGAGGGCCAGTTGGTCGTCCCAAATAAGTGATTCTCAACCGAGGGCAGTTTTGCCCCACAGGGGGCACTTGGCAATGTCTTCATTGTCAGGACTCGGGATCACTACTGGCATCTAGTGGGTAGAGGCAGAGATGCTGCTGGCCATCCTCCAGCCACCCATGTCAAAGGATTATGTTCTGAAATGTTGGTTGGGAAATCGTGCTCTGGATGATGAGGTTTGCCTCTTTTTCTCCCTGGAGGAAAGTGCTCATTATTTCTGCTCTGTGAGGGCGGGAGCCTTGTTTCTTTTGCTTCCCCGTCCTTCTCCCCTAAGCTGTAAGACAGCTGTTTCCCTGACACCTGTAACAGTGTTTCTGGCACGCGGTCAGTGCTCAATAAATATTTGTGGGGTGTTATTGAAGGTAGTTCTCCCCTTTGGTAGGTGTTTTGCTATTATAGACAGTGCTGCCCTGAACTTCGTAGAACAGAACATCTTTGTGGCCACCTGCGTGTTTTTTTTATAGAATCCAGGAAATGGAATTACTGGGTCAAAAAGCACATGTATTTGAAATTTTGTTAGATATATTTGTAAAAAGTTATTGAAGATACTCAGCCCTACGCCTAGGTACATGCCCCTGGAGAAAGTCACACATGTATACACATACATCGTGAAGATTCAGAGCAGAACTTAGGAACAGAAGGTTGGAAACCACCTGTCCATCAATAGGAGACTGGTGTACTCATACTGCAGAGAAAATGAACCCGTGACACCTACCCATGTTAATGTGGATAAAATTCACGAAGCAAAATGAAGTAAAGAAACCCAGAAAAGCCCTTTCAAGTTGCAGGAGATGATATCATTTATATAAAGTTTAAAAACATTTCAGAACTGAACTATATATTTTTAGAAATATCTGCATATGCCACATAAATTTTTAAAATCATAAGAATGCTAAACAGCACATTCAGGACAGGGTGAAGAAACAGGCATGCAGGTTGTGCAGTAGGAAGCTGGGTAACATTGTTCCTTATGGCTTTGTTGTCGCTTCCAGAATTTCATTAAAAACTTTTTAAAAAACATGGGCCCACATTATGAATTACGTCTGCTTTTAGAGTACTAAAAACTCCAAGCAAAAACACATGGGTAACGCCGGGCACGGTGGTTCATGCCTGTAATCTCAGCACTTTGGGAGGCTGAGGCGGACAGATCATGAGGTCAGGAGTTTGAGACCACCCTGACCAACATGGTGAAACCCCGTCTCTACTAAAAATACAAAAATTAGCCAGGTGTGGTGGCAAGCGCCTGTAATCAGGGCTACTCAGGAGGCTGAGGCAGGAGAATTGCTTGAACCTGAGAGGCAGAGGTTGCACTGAGCTGAGATAGCGCCACTGCATTCCAGCCTGGACCACAGAGCGAGACTTCATCTTAAAAAAAAATTAGCTGGTCATGGTGGCACACACCTGTGATCCCAGCTATTCAGTAGGCTGAGGCAGGAGAATCATTTGAACCTGGGAAGTGGAGGTTGTGGTGGCACTCCAGCCTGGGCGACAGAACGAGACTCCATCTCAAAAAAACAAACAAACAAAAAGCCAGCCGGGTGTGGTGAGGCAGGTGGATCGCCAGAGGTCAGGATTTCGAGACCAGCCTGAATGGTGAAACCCTGTCTCTACTAAAAATACAAAAATTAGCCGGGGCGTGGTGGTACGTGCCTGTAATCCCAGATACTTGGGAGACTGAGGCAGGAAAATTGCTTGAACTCGGGAGGCGGAGGTCGCAGTGAGCCAAGATAGTGTCGCTCCACTCCAGCCTGGGCGACAGAGCAAGGGTCCGTCTCAAAAGAAAAAGAAAAACCTCACATGGGTAAAACTGTTAGGAAGGCTCTTATCTCTTCACTGGTCATGAAATCAACTTAGTGGATTATGACTAGTATTTTTTAAAAAGTGATGTAGAATAGGGCTGGGCGTGGTGTCTCACGCTGGAAATCCCAGCACTTCGGGAGGCCAAGGCAGGTGGATCAATCACTTGACGTCAGGAATTTGAGACCAGCCTGGCCAACATGGTGAAACCCGTCTCTACCAAAAAATACAAAAATTAGCTGGGTGTGGTGGCAGCTACTCCGGAGGCTGAGATGAGAGAATCGCTGAAACTGGGAGGCAGAGGTTACAGTGAACTGAGATCGCACCACTGCACTCTAGCCTGGGTGACAGAGTGAGACCCTAATCTCAGAAAAAAAAAAAAAAAATGATGTAGAATAGATACAATCAGCGGGCATTTATATAGGGATGGTAAGTAGTTCCATCAACTTTATTTTATTTATGTATGCAGATATTTATATACACGTGTACTAGGTCATAATGTAAAATGTATCATTGTGGTCTCTGTTTTTGTTTTTGTTTTTTTCAGATGGAGTCTCACTCTGTTGCCCAGGCTGGAGTGCAGTGGTGCGATCTCAGCTTACTGCAACCTCCTCCCGGGTTCAAGCGATTCTCATGCCTCAGCCTCCTGAGTAGCTGGGACTACAGGAGTGCATCACCACGCCCAGCTCATTTTTGTATTTTTAGTAGAGATGGGGTTTCACCATGTTGGCCAGGTTGGTCTCGAACTCCTGACCTCAAGTAATCGGCCTGCCTTGGCCTCCCAAAGTGCTGGGATTACAAGTGTGAGCCACCAAGCCCAGCTTATATCACTGTGGTCTCTGGTCAGAAAGGTCTGGAAAATACCACCTTAGTACAAACACATTACATCAACTTTTATATGTAAGATGTAATTTAGAAAAAATGTCAATAATGGTTTTATGACGAGACTGAAATTGCAGACATGTTCATAAGCACAATGCTTCTTTTCTCTTTCTTGTCTTTCTGTACGTAAGCAACTAGAAGCCATTTGTGTCAAGGTAACGTCTGGAGAAACAAAAGGTCAGGAAAGGCCAATGCTCCTACCGACCACAATCCAGCCCCAAACTGCAAGAAAGAGCCAGCTGCCCCGGGGGAATTCCTGCCTGGTGGGGCTCCATATCGCCAGCCCTCAGCTGCTCAGGGTACAGCCGCTTGTGAGAACCGAGCCAC
Source organism: Homo sapiens (assembly GCF_000001405.40). Classification (NCBI taxonomy): domain Eukaryota; kingdom Metazoa; phylum Chordata; class Mammalia; order Primates; family Hominidae; genus Homo; species Homo sapiens. The sequence continues at coordinate 102,326,181 of NC_000014.9, forward strand.
AGTCCTGCTTCCTAAGTGACTTATGCCAACCTCCTGCTCAGGGGTTTGTACAGAGACCACTGCCAGCCCTCCAGGTGGTCCCTGCAAAGAGAGTCCCAGCCCCCAAGGCTCCAGATGAACAGGGCTCCATGTTGACCCCTTTGTCTGCCTCTGACCCGCTGGCAGTAACATCTCTTTCATCCAGTTCAGCACATCCATTTATTTCCAACTTGCATACAAGACATACTGAGAAACTAAAAAAATCGTTAAAAGTAAAGACACGTTCTGGACGGGTATCTCGACCTCCCAAATATAAAGCTAAAGATTATAAGTTCATAAAAACAGAGGATCTGGCGGATGGTCATCTGTCAGATTCTGATGATTACTCAGAACTCTGTGTGGAAGAAGATGAAGATCAGAGGGAGAGGCACGCACTCTTTGACTTATCGAGCTGCTCCCTGAGGCCCAAAAGCTTTAAGTGTCAGACTTGTGAAAAGTCATATATAGGGAAGGGGGGACTGGCCCGACATTTTAAACTTAACCCAGGCCACGGCCAGTTGGACCCCGAGATGGTGCTGTCTGAGAAAGCCAGTGGAAGCACCCTCCGGGGGTGCACGGAGGAAAGGACGCTCAGCCTGACCTCCCTGGGGCTGTCCATGCCAGCGGATCCATGTGAGGGAGGGGCCCGCTCCTGCTTGGTGACAGAGTCAGCACGCGGTGGCCTGCAGGTAATGTTTCTGTCTGGGTATGTGTCTTTTTATTTGGCCGTTCTCGGATTGCTATAAAGAAATACCTGAGACCAGGTATTTTATAAAGAAAAGAGGGTTGGCTCACGGTTCCATAGACTGTACAGGAAGCATGGTGCTGGCATCTGTTTAGCTTCTGGGGAGGCCTCGGGAAACAGAGTCACGGTGAAGGCAGAGTGGGAGCAGGCGCCTCATATGGCCACAGCAGGAACAAGGGGCAGGGGGAGGTACCACACACTCATTTATTTTTTTTGAGATGGATCCTCGCTCTGTCATCCAGGCTGGAGCACAGTGGCCTGATCTTGGCTCACTGCAACCTCCGCCTCCCCAGTTCAAGTGATTCTCCTGCCTCAGCCTCGCAAGTAGCTGGGATTACAGGCGCCCACCACCACGCCTGGCTAATTTTTGTATTTTTGGTAGAGACAGGGTTTCACCATGTTGGCCAGGCTGGTCTTGAACTCCTGACCTCAGGTGATCTGCCTGCCTCAGCCTCCCAAAATGCTGAGAGTACAGGTGTGAGCCACCACGCCTGGCCACCACACACTTTTAAACAACCAGATATCATGAGAACTCACTCACTGTCATGCTAAACCAGCCATGAGGGTTCTGCCCCCATGATCCAGCAGTCACCTCCCACCAGGTCCCACCTCTAACTTTGGAGATTGCACTTCAACATGAGATTTGGTGGGGACACAGATTCAAACCAAATCAGTCCCAGTTCCTGCCCCTGCCTGCTCATCATCCTTACATTGACCCTTATGGTGTCTGATCTGATGGGGATTCAGGCGAAGGCTGTAGCGGGACCAGAATCACTCTAGTGGAGGATCTGAGACCCCCACGTTGTCTGCACTGCTGCCAAACAGGCCAGGAAATGTGTGTCTTCTGTGTGCTAGGATGATTTAGTGAGCACATCTCATGGGAATGCATCCGTCAGCTCTAGGTTTGGTCAGTAAAACCAATGGCAGTGCGCTCTTGGCTGATGTTGCCATTACAGAGGGTGTTGAGAAAAGGAGTCCCTGGGGGTGCTTCTGGAGTGTCAACAGCTCCTGGCTGCTTAGCGTGTCCTCTCCCCCTTCTGCTGCTTCTGCAACTCCTGATAAAGTAGGTGTGAGTCGCTATGAATTTGCATTATCACATCAAAAAATTTTTTTCTAAAATATTTTATTGAGCCGGGTGCAGTGGCTCACACCTGTAATCCCAGCACTTTGGGAGGCCGAGGTGGGCGGATCACCTCAGGTGACGAGTTCGAGACCAGCCTGGCCAACATGGTGAAACCCCATCTCTATTAAAAATACAAAATAAGCTGGGTATGGTAGCACATGCCTGTAATCCCAACTACTTGAGAGGCTGAGGCAGGAGATTTGCTTGAACTTGTGAGGTGGAGGTTGCAGTGAGCCGAGATCATGCCATTGCACTCCAGCCTGGGCAACAAGAGTGAAACTCCATCTCAAAAAAAAAAAAAAAAAAAAAATATATATATATATATATATATATATATATATATATGTATACACACACACACATATAGTAGTAAAAAAACACATAGCATGACATGTACCATCTTAACCATATTTAAGTGTGTGGTTCAGGGGTATTAAACACATTCACAGTGTTGTGCAGCCATCACCCCCACACATCTCCAGAACTCTTTTCATCTTCTAAAACTAAAACTCCGAGCTTCACGTTGGGCTAAGTGAAAAAGAAACAAAAAAACTAAAACTCTGTCCCTGTAAACACCAACTCTCCATTCCCTTTTCCCCCAACCTTCGACTTTCTGTCTTCTATGATCTTGACTACTCTAATTTCCGTATAGAAGTGGAGTCACAGGGTATTTGTCTTTCTGTGGCTGGCTTATTTCACTTTGCACGATATCCAAGGTTTATGTTGTAGTAAGTGTCAGAATGTCCTCCCTCTGTAAGACTGAGTAATATCTCACTGTGTGTACATATCACACGTTGCTTGTTCATCTGTCAGTGGACACTTGGGTTGCTTTCACCTTCTGGCTATTGTGAACGATGCTGCTATGAACACAGATGTTCAATTACATCTTTGAGACCCTGCTTTCTTCTTTTTTTTTTTTTTTGAGATGGAGTCTTGCTCTGTCGCCAGGCTGGAGTGCAGTGGCGCGATCTCAGTTCACTGCAACCTCTACCTCCCGGGTTCAAGTCGTTCTCCTGCCTCAGCCTCCCGAGTAGCTGGGACTACAGGCACGAGCCACCACGCCCAGCTAAGTTTTTGTATTTTTAGTAGAGATGGGGTTTCACCATGTTAGCCAAGATGGTCTCGATCGCTTGACCTTGTGATCCACCGCCTTGGCCACCCAAAGTGCTGGGATTACAGGCGTGAGCCACCACGCCCGGCCCAATTTCTTTGGGTATATATCCAGAAGTGGAATTGCTAGATTTTAAGTGGAATTATTTTCTTTATTTTCTTTTCAAATTGTTCATTGCTAGTGTTTAGAAATGCAGCTGATTTTGTGTATTTATTTATTTATTTATTTTTTCAGTCTGACTCTGTTGCCCAGGCTGGAGTGCAGTGGTGTGATCTCAGCTCACTGCAACCTCTGCCCCCTCGTTTCAAGCAATTCTCCTGCCTCAGCCTTTTTAGTCGCTGGAATTACAGGCGTGTGCTACCATGCCTGGCTAATTTTTGTACTTTTAGTAGAGACGGGGTTTCGCCATATTCGCCAGGCTGGTGTCCAATTTCTGGCCTCAAGTGATCTGCCCACCTCAGCCTCCCAAAATGCTGGGATTATAGGCATGAGCCACTGCACCTTGCCTCATTTATTAATTCTAATATTTGTGTGTGTGTGTGTGTGTGTATGTGTGTGTGTAATCTTTAGGCATTTCTACATATAAGATCATATCTGCAAATAGAGATAACCTTTTTTTTTTTTTTTTTTTTTTGAGACGAAGTTTTGCTCTGTCACCCAGGCTGGAGTGTAATGGCGTAATATCAGCTCACTGCAACCTCCATCTCCTGGGTTCAGGCGATTCTCCTGCCTCAGCCTCCCGAGTAGGTGGGATTACAGGTGCCCACCATCATGCCCAGCTAATTTTTTGTATTTTTAGTAGAGACAGGGTTTTACCATGTTGGCCAGGCTGGTCTTGAACTCCTGACCTCAGGTGATCTGCCCGCCTTGGCCTCCCAAAGTGCTAGGATTACAGGCGTGAGCCATTGCGCCCGGCCTCAGATTTTCTACTTCTTTGTGATTTAGTTTTGGCAGGTTTTGTGTATGTAGGAATTTGTCCATTTCATTTAGGTTATTCATGTTGTTCAGTGTTGTAGTATTTAGTATTCTATTATAATTCTCTCTCTTTTTTTAATTTTTATTATTATTTTTTGAGACGGAGGTTTGCTCTTGTTGCCCAGTCTGGAGTGCAATGGCATGATCTCAGCTCACTGCAACTTCTGCCTCCTGGGTTCAAGGGATTCTCCTGCCTCAGCCTCTCTAGTAGCTGAGATTACAGGCATCTGCCACTATGCCCAGCTAATTTTTTGTATTTTTAGTAGAGACGGGGTTTTACTATGTTGGCCAGGCTAGTCTCAAACTCCTGACCTCAGGCAATCCACCTGCCTCAGTCCCCGAAAGTGCTGGCATTACAGGCATGAGCCACTGCTCCCCGCTCTTTTTTTTTTTTTTTTTGGCGATAGAGTCTCACTGTGTTGCCCTGGCTGGAGTGCAGTGGTGCGATTTCAGCTCACTGCAACCTCCACCTCCTGGGTTCCAGTGATTCTTCTGCCTCAGCCTTCAGGTGTGCACCATCACACCTGGCCAATTTTTGTAATTTTAGTAGAGACAGGGTTTCACCGTGTTGTCTAGGCTGGTCTCAAACTCCTGACCTCAGGTGATCCACCCGCCTCGGCCTCCCAAAGTGCTGGGATTACAGGCATGAGCCACCGGGCACGCCTGGCCTTTATTTTATTTTTCTACGTTATTATTCCTGTTTTCAGAGGAGGGAATTGTCAGGGAATGAGGAAACAGGACATGAGGACAAGGCCAGATCTAGGGTTCTCTTCAAAAGCCATGCAGATGCATGGAGACAGAAAGTAGACCGGTGGTTACCAGGACCTGTCGGGAGGGAGGAGGAGGAGTGACTGCTAATGGGTACAGTTTCTTTCTGAGCTGATGAAACTGTGTTGGAATTAGATAGTGGTTATGGTTACACAATTTCGCGAATATTTTGTATCCACTGAATTATGTACTTTCAAAGGATGAATTTTATGGTATTTTAAATCTATCCAGTAAAATAATTTAAAAGTTTAAAAAGTCATGGATACGTAATGAATTAGGAACAAAATTCAGGTCAGGTTTTAAAATGACAGTCACATCAGAGAAATCTTTTTTTTTCTTTTTTTTGAGACAGAGTTTCCCTCTTGTCACCCAGGCTGGAGTGCAGTGGCACCATCTTGGCTCACTGCAACCTCTGCCTCCCAGGTTCAGGTGATTCTCCTGCTTCAACCTCCCGAGTAGCCAGGACTACAGGCGCGCGCCACCGCGCCTGGCTAATTTTTTGTATTCTTAGTAGAGATGGGGTTTCACCATGCTGGCCAGGTCGGTCTCAAACTCCTAACCTCAAATGATCCACCCGCCTTGGGCTCCCAAAGTGCTGGGATTTCAGGTGTGAGCCACGGCGCCCGGCCACTAAAAGGTTTTTATGGGGTATATAAAGCATGATTGTTTTATTTTACTTTTGGGTGTGCAACACTGTCTAGAATGGTCAGTCTGTAGACGTTGAAGAGACATTGCCATCTGAACCAGAAAATGGAGCTCTTTTGCGATCAGAGAGATACCAAGGACCTAGAAGACGCGCATGCTCAGAGACCCTTGCAGAGTCCCGCACAGCTGTCCTCCAGCAGAGAAGAGCTGCTCAGCTACCTGGTGGCCCTGCTGCGGCAGGGGAGCAGAGGGCGTCGCCAAGCAAAGCCAGGCTCAAGGAGGTACCTCACTCTTAAACCCTGTGCTTGAAACCCGTGTCTTTAGCATGGATGTGGCAATCACTATCAGTTTCTGAATCACCTAAGCAGTTCACCTGAAATGTCATTGCATTAAGTGTGTGATGATGCCAAGGACAGTAATATCTGAACTAATTCGTACTCTTACCTGTTTAAAGTGACTGTACAGCCTTTGGTGCAGCTCCAAAAGCTGCTTGACTTGATAAGTTTTGGAATAATTATAACCTGTGTTTATATGGAAGCAGTTTAGAAAACAACGGAAGTGGTTTTCAAAACCATTCTTTTTTTTTAGACGGAGTCTCACACTGTCATCCAGGCTGGAGTGCAGTGGTGCCATCCCGGCTCACTGTGCTTCTCCACCTCCCAGGTTCAAGCGATTCTCCTTCCTTAGCCTCCTGGGTAGCTTGGATTACAAGCGCCTGCCAACCACACCCAGCTAATTTTTGTATTTTTAGTAGAAATAGGGTCTCACCTTGTTGGTCAGGCTGGTCTCAAACTCCCGACCTCGTGATCCACCCGCCTTGGCTTCCCAAAGTGTTGGGATTACAGGCATGAGCCACCATGCCCGGCCTTCAGAACCATTCTTGACTTACAGATGATAATTTCTCCAGAAATGGATATTAATTTATACATTTACTGGGTGTCCATCAAGTATCAGTCCCTGTTCTAGGGATGGAGGGGACAGTGTGCACAAGATAGACAGGGCTCGGCTCTTAGGGGAGAAACAGGACAGTCAAACCAGTCATCTGACAAAACTGTCAGTTGAGGCCGGGCACGGTGGCTCACACCTGTAATCCCAGCACTTTGGGAGGCCGAGGTGGGCGGATCACCTGAAGTCAGGAGTTCGAGACCAGCCTGACCAACATAGTGAAACCCTGTCTCTACTAAAAATACAAAAATTAGCTGGGCATGGTGGCAGGCGCCTGTAATCCCAGCCACTTGGGAGACTGAGGGAGGAGAATCGCTTGAACCCAGGAGGCGGAGGTTGCAGTGAGCCAAGATCGTGCCATTGCACTCCAGCCTGGGGGACAAGAACGAGACTTCGTCTCAAAAACAAAAACAAAAACAAAAAAAACTGTCAGTTGAACCTAAGTGTTAAGCAGAAAATTGTGGAGTTTCCCTGTCTGCTGTTATTAAGCTCATACAGAATTTAGGTCAGGCCATGGCAAGGTAATATCCCATATTCCCACCTTCTCCCACTTCCTGTGGAGTTGAAAGTCAGCTGGCCACTTCTTTCAAAAGATTTTTGAAAGTCTTAATTAAACATTTTTGTCTTATAATGAAAAGATTTTTCTGTAGCTTTTCTGCTTGTTTTGCGAGCATCTGTGGCCCTCCTCTGAAGCCCTTCCAGCCCTTTGCAGCTCCTACTCAATCTCTTGCTCTCTCTCTAAATGCCAATCTTTTTTTTTTTTTTTTTTTGAGAGAGGGTCTCATTCTGTCACCCAGGAGCGTAGTGGCTCAATCATGGCTCACTGCAGCCTCCACCTCCCAGGCTCAATTGATCTTCCTGCATCAGCCTCCCGAGTAGCTGGACCCACAGCACAGGCGCACACCCCCACACCCAGCTGATTTTTAATTTTTTTTAGAGACAGGGTCTCATTATGTTGTCCAAGCTGGTCTCGAACTCCTACCCTGAAGTAATCCTCCTGGCTTGGCCTCCCAAATTGCAGGGATTACAGGCGTGAGCCACTGCGTCTGGCCTTCTAAGCACTGATCTTGTGATCTCCCTGGACCTCAGAAGACTTCCTGTTTCTAGGACTTCCTCAGCTTCCCTCTCACTTTATTGCTTCCCTGGGGATCTCACCGTCCTCCTGGTTTCCCAGGCCTTCTTCCCTCTACAGACTCCCACGCTTCCCGTTCAGACCTCTCTCTGGTGCCTCAGATCTCTTCATTGAAACATCTCCACCTGGCTGTCCTGTGAACCCCTCTGCCTTTCATGTCTGAGCAGAGCCCACAAGCTGGCTTTCTGTCCACCCCTGCATTGTCAGGGGCCGTTTCGCCTACCCCAGGCTCAAGCTGGGAACCCAGAGCCATTCTTGACTTTCTCCTTCACTCACTCCTCCCCATGTCCTGTGGTCGCTAAGCCTGGAGGGCTATGCTCTCCCCTCATCTCCCTCCCCTGCCACCCACATCCCTCTCCTTACCTGAGTCCTCATCTTTTCCTGACTGTACTGTGGGGGTAGTCTTGACTGCCTGCCAGGCTTCCAGCCCTGCCCCATCCTCTGCACCACCACCCAAGGCACCTTCCTAAAACCTCCCTCCACAGCTGCCTGGAGAAGGAAATCCAAACCTTGGCCCCTCTCAGCCTGGGCCTGGGTTGCCTTTCAGCCCTTCTGGCCTGCCCGTCTCCAGGCGCCGCCTCCAGCTGTGCCACCCCCTCACCTGAGTATGCGGCGCAGCCTGGGTGAGTCCTGGAGGGCAGGACACACATCTCCTTATCACCGTGTCCTTATTCCAGGGCCTTGCCCAGGACAGTGCCCAGAGCTTGTCATGGGGGACCCAGAATGGATCATAGTACTTCATTAAGGAGCAAACAGGTGAAATAGTTAATAAAGCAGAATGTTTAGAGTTACTTGGTCACTGAAATTTTTGGAGAACTTTCTGTTTTTTATGTTGTATATTGCACCAACTTGTTGGCTATTGGGAAATTCTTACGGGACATTCAAAGGCATGAAATGCTTTCCCTTGGTAGTTCCTCCAGCAGTGTGACCGGGAGGATCTGGTGGAATTGGCTCTGCCTCAGCTGGCTCAGGTTGTGACCGTGTATGAGTTTCTTCTGATGAAGGTGAGTACTCTTAGTGTTTCTAAATGATAGCGGGATGATTAGAAGTTATTTAGAAATAATATTATTATTTATTAATTATTTTTCAATAGCCTGCATAGTTGTTAATTTTATTTTTGAGACAGGGTCTTGCTCTGTCGCCCAGCTAGAGTGCAGTGGCACCATCGTAGCTCACTGCAGCCTCAAACTGCTGGTCTCTAGCAATCCTTCCACCTCAGCCTTCCAAGTAGCTGGGACTACAGGCATGCACCATCATACCCGGCTAATTTTTAATTTATTTAAAAAAATTTTTTTTGTAGAGATGGGATCTAGCTTTGTTGCCCAGGCTGGTCTCAAACTCCTGGCCTCAAGTAATCCTCCTGCCTCGGCCTCCCAAAGTGATGGGATTATAGGTGTGAGCTACCGTGCCCAGCTCATAGTTGTTTTGGAAAGAGCCAGGCCATTTGGAATCGTTTTCCTTTTGCAGGACAGCTGAAGTGAGCCTGCTGGTCACACACCGTGCCTGGTGTGGGGGCCGCTGCCTGGGTAGCTGGGTGTCTCGGGCAGGTGCCCGTTTACTCCCTTGACTTTTAACTTGGTACAGGAGGAATGGAAGTGGCAGCCACAAATAATGGCTATCCTGGGCTCTCCTAGAACCCACTCGCCCCAGCTGGCCTCTTCTGCCCGCGGCTCTGCTCCTTCTGAGCCCACTCTGAGGCTGCAGCCCAGGCTGCCTGTGCCCCACACTCCCTCTGGAGCTGACAGTCCAGCCGGGGCTCAGGGCCTTTCTGCCTTCCCTTCCCACCCTGTCCAGGAGCTCACCCATGCCCTACATGGCCCCCACCCAGGGCTTGTTTGTTTCTTGGCCTGCTCCTCCCATGCCCATCCTGGCTTCTCTGCACCATGCGGGGCACACAGTAGGTGCTCACTGGGGACTGAAGGAAACGCACACCACTGAGGGCTGCTGAGGGGTTAAGGAACCGAAACTTTGTTTAGATTTTCTTCTGTATTTTCCATATCAGTGCCTTGAGTTTAAACTTTTTTTTTGGTCTTTATCTTCACGAAGGTTGAAAAAGATCATCTAGCAAAGCCTTTTTTCCCAGCTATATATAAGGAATTTGAAGAGTTGCATAAAATGGTTAAGAAAATGTGCCAAGATTACCTCAGTAGTTCTGGTCTGTGTTCCCAGGAGACCCTGGAAATAAACAATGATAAGGTAACAATCTCCCATGGCAGAAAGAGTTTTGCTCATAGAGTTAGCCAGAAGAAAGAAGGGCCACGTGCAGTGGCTTATGCTTGTAGTCCCAGTGCTTTGGGAGACTGAGGCAGGTGGATCACTTGAGGTCAGGAGTTTGAGACCAGCCTGGCCAACATGACAAAACTCAGTCTCTACTAAAAATACAAAAATTAGCTGGGCGTGGTGGCACATGCCTCTAATTCCAGTTATTCAGGAAGCTGAGGCACAAGAATCATTTGAACCTAGGAGGCAGAGGTTGCAGTAAGCTGAGATTGCACCATTGCACTCCAGCCTGGGTGACAGAGACTCTGTCTCAAAAAACAAAACAAAACCAAAAAAAAAAAAAACTCCATGTATGAAGGAGAATGTTTTTAGTAATGACATTTTCCTGTTCGACCTCATTTTAGCTTTTTCCCATCAAGTGAAAATTTTTTTTTCTTTTTGTTTTTTTGGGAGATGGAGTCTTGCTCTGTCACCCAGGCTAGAGTGCAGTGGTGTGATCTCAGCTCACTGTAACTGCCGCCTCCCAGGTTCAAGCAATTCTCCTGCCTCTGCCTCCCAAGTAGCTGGGATTAGAGGCGCACACCACCATGCCCAGCTGATTTTTTGTATTTTAGTAGAGACAGGGTTTCACCGTGTTGCCCAGGCTGGTCTCGAACTCCTGAGCTCAGGCAGTCTGCCTGCCTCAGCCTCCCAAAGTGCTAGGATTACAGGTGTGAGCCACCACATCCGGTCCCCAGTTTTTTTTTTCTTAAAGCAATAAATGCTCTTCCAGAAAACTCAAAAATGAAGATAAGCTAGAAGAAAATGGAAAACACCATAATCTTCCCACTCACTGATGATCAGAGTTAAAACCTCAGGTATCATTTTCTTCTTTTTTTTTTTTTGTTTTGAAACAGGGTTTCCCTCTGTCTCCCAGACTGGAGTGCAGTGGCACAATCACAGCTCACCGCAGCCTCAACCTTCTGGTCCCAAACAATCCTCCCACATAAGCCTCCTGAGTAGCTGGGACTACCGCCGTGTGTCACCATGCCCAGCTAATTTTTAAATTTTTCGTAGAGAAGGGGTCTCGCTGTGTTGTCCACTCTGGTCTTGAACTCCAGGGCTCAACTGATCCTCCCTTATAGGCCTCCCAAAGTGCTGGGATTACAGGCATGAACCACCATGCCTAGCCCTGTTTTCTTCCTTATGTGGGTTTTTGGGGATGGATTATATAGGGGCCATTCATTTTTGTTTGTGGTGGTTCCGACACAATTCTCATTTCAGTGTCATTGTTATTATCAAATTGCCTTTAGCTACATTGGATTTTTTGGGGTGTTTTTGTTTTTTTGAGACAGAGTCTCGCTGTCAGCCAGGCTTGAGTGCAATGGTGCCATCTTGGCTCACTGCAACCTCCCCTCCTGGGTTCAAGCGATTCTCCCACCTCAGCCTCCTGAGTAGCTGGGACTACAGGTGTGCACCACCATGCCCAGCTAATTTTTGTATTTTTAGTAGAGACAGGGTTTCACCGTATTGGCCAGGCTGGTCTTGAACTCCTGACCTCAAGTGATCCGCCCGCCTCAGCCTTCCGAAGTGCTGGGATTACAGGCATAAGCCACCATGCCCTGCCTTATTTTCTTAAATTACATATGATGAAAATGTAAAAGGTTTTTGCTAAGCCTCATGTAGATGCCCTCCACAGCAGTCACCTGTGTGTTTTTTAAACTCTTGAGTTTAGCAAGTGTGGGTATCATCCTGCTTTGAGGCGGAACTCGGCACACACACACTGTGCCTGCCCTACAGAATCCGGCTTTTTCAGCAGCTCAGACTGTGCCATCGCCTCTTGGGAGCATGACAGTGGCTCCGTTTGTGAGGGGACACCATCCAGGTTGGTCCGCGCAGAACCCACATGGCCCGTTTTCTCCTTTAACCTTGTTCTGCCGCCCTTCCTGCCGTGCCCACCCCCATCTCATGCTCTGTGGGGTTCTCTTTATAACATCCATGTATAAATGATACCAGCTGTCTCTTAGCACTTTCACATCTGGTGTTTACGTAGGCATTGCATATGGAGTCAAATCTCATCTTCACAAAAGCCTTTCCAGGTAGCTGTAACCTCTTGTCTGGATAAGTCAGGGAGATGGACAAGGGAGACTCAGGAGATGGTGGCTCACCAAGATCACCCAGGCCATGGGCAGAGAAGCTGGGATCCAGCTCAGGCCCCCAAGCCCATGCCTTTTTACCAGCTGGGAAGGGAGATCTGGGTGTGGGATAGGCAGGATCGTTTTTCTCAAGAGACCAGTGAGAAGTCAGTAAAGGAGGGATAGTGGGAAAGAAAGTTACTATGGTATCAGCTAACATTATTAAGCTCGTGATAGCATTAAAGAGAGTGTTTTAAATGTTTTGTAAAGACTGTTCTGGGCTGAGCACAGTGGCTCACGCCTGTAATCCCAACACTTTGGGAGGCTGAGGCGGGTGGATCACTTGAGGCCAGAAGTTCAAGACCAGCCTGGCAAACATGGTGAAACTCCATCTTTACTAAAAATACAAAAATTAGCCAGGCATGGTGGTGCATGCCTGTAATCCCAGCTACTCAGGAGGCTGAAGCAGGAGAATCACTTGAATCTGGGAAGCGGAGGTTGTGGTAAGCCAAGATCATGCCACTGCACTCCAGCCTGAGCGACAGAGCCAGACTCTGTCTCAGAAAAAAAAAAAAAAAAAAAAAAAAAAGATTGGTCTCCTCCTCTAAATTGTGCTCACATAGAACCTTCTAGTTTTTATAATCCATTTTTATCATCAGCTAGTCCATCTAACATTATATTGATCTTCATCTTTCTCATTGTTGAGATGGCATCTCACAGTAGGTGAGGAACTTTGTA